>NC_000004.12:58225981-58552387 GCF_000001405.40 Homo sapiens
TTTGTAACCCATGGTGAGACCTCAAAAAATTGTACAGTTAGAATGTGTTAGTATTAGGTGTAGAATTCAGGACTCCACTCTGCTTTCATCTTTCCATAAAACCAAGCTACTGCCTTTGTAACTTGAATTCATACATCAACTATGATCTAATCACATTTATTAAATGCATGGTTTTATGAAAGACAAATATTTCCTTCTTTATTATTAAATTATGATGAAGTATGTACTATGATTCTGATACTACTCAAAAACAAAGGAAGGATGGCCAAGCTCAACCTCTCACCTTTTCAGTTTTTCCTATGCAAATCAACAAATCTCCTAAGCAACCTAAAACAGGACAGCTAATATAAATGTTAATTGCTCCAAAATCCCCATTTCTCTGTCTTTACCTTCTTGGGTTCATATTATGTTCATTTTGTTCATTTCTCAAGCCATTACCTTGTTTAATAACTTAGAATGGCACCATTGTGCATCAAGAAGCCTAACCCTGAATTGTTAATCTGTAATTAATTTCTCATCTCAACCAATCTCATCTCATCCATCTAGTCATTGACCCCAGTTTTAAACCTCAGTATTACTCTTCACAAAAATTACAGTCATTATCACATTCTTCTTCTACACTCCAGGGTACTTGAAGAGGTGCTTTAAATCAGTACCTGCTTCAAATGAGTGTGCTTAGAATTTTTAGCATCATGTTGGCACAAGGTTTTTGCTTGCTGAAGAAATCTGGAAATTTGAGACTTAGATGCATTTAAGCCTCAAAAATACCTTACAGATAATATTA
Organism: Homo sapiens; assembly: GCF_000001405.40. NCBI lineage: Eukaryota > Metazoa > Chordata > Mammalia > Primates > Hominidae > Homo > Homo sapiens. The sequence continues at coordinate 58,226,766 of NC_000004.12, forward strand.
AATCCTGACTAGTTTTTAGAAAACTCAATTAAAGAGAATAAATTAATCTTTACTCTTACTTAATAGAAAGCCATGTTATTTATGAAACCATTTTACTTTAACGAATATTTACTAATCTTCTATTATATGTAAAATGTCAGTGATACCATAGTAAATGTATAAGACAAAAACCCTTATGTCCACAGAACTTAAAGTTTAATTGATAATGAGGAACTACAGAAAACATAAGTCAAGTGGTAGGGATTTAGTAGGCAATAATTGCTTTGTAGAACATTAGAGAAGGAAACAATGATGGAGAATACAGGGCTGAGTGTTTAATTATAAGTCAAGGAATGCATCACTGAAAAGAGGACAGTGATAAAGGCTTAGAGAGGTAAGGGAGTGAGCCTGGAACTATCCTGGGAAAAGCATTCCAATCAGAGAGAACAGCCGATGCAAAGATTCAAAATGGTATTGGACATATTGTGTTTTATGATTCATAAATTCAATTCTGGCCAACTTACTGATATGAAGTTTGATATTATTGATCTCAGAGTAAATTTTAACCACTTCATATGACAGTTAACTGTTATGGGCTGACTGTTTAGGGGACTATGTCCATCCAAAATGTGTATGTTGACGTTCTAACCACTAGTACCTGAAAATGCGACTATTTGGAGATAAGGTGTTTAAAGAAGTAATTGAGAGTAAATAATATCAGGAAGGTATCCCTAATCCAATATGACTTGTGTCCTCATAAGAAGAGATTAGGATATGGATATACATAGAGGGAAGATCATGTAAAGACATCCTCTACACGTTAAGCAGAGAGATCTTAAAATAAACAAACTTGGTGACATCTTGATCTTAGACTTACTTCTAGCCTTCAGAACTGTGAGGAAATTAATTTCTATCATTGAACCCACACAGTTTGTGGTATTTTGTTATGGCAACCCTCACAAACTAATACATTCACCATTTAACAATTCTAAGATATAAATGAATAATTTTGCAAAACAAAAATACATCTTTATGGGATACTGTTGTAGGACACGTAAATAAGTTGTTATGCTTCCCGGAAAACCTATTAGTGCTATGGTGAGATATGGGGAATCATAGGAAGTACAAGTCACTGCATAGTTATCATTTATTGCATAGTCTGTTCTGATCATATTAGTCTGGATTAATAAGAATAAAATTTATTCTGGAATCGTATCAAGGTCGACCTTGGTTACATAAAACACAGCTGTGGAAATATTAATTATCCTATAATACTGGATTGTGTTATAAAATCAAGCCAGTCAGAAAATCAAGATATTGGAAACATACTTCATTCAAATCTCTGCCTCTTTCTTGTAAGAGAGTCTAGTTTTTAAAGCAGTGCTTATAGAAGGCATATTTGGCAAGCACCCTGCATAATGACAAATATGCTTACCTCTTCAGGAGGACGTGACAGCCAGCAGGGGCTTTGGATAGCCTGCAATTTGTGAGCAGGTAATTTTTTTTCACAAACCTTATAACCCATGAAGTAAACCATGCACAGATAATCCGCCTGTTCTCCAGGCTTCTTTTGATTAACTGCATAAAAGAGCAAAGATTTATGAGGGGATTTTGTTTCTGCATTGACCTCTTGTGGTGCTCCTTTCAGAGTATGAAAAATGGCATCATCTGATTCCAGAAGGGGCATACAGGACAGTGTTCTCATCAAAACCATTATAGGGGTGCATTTGCAGATTCTTGCTAATTACTCTTCCAGGGAGCTTACACTCAGCAGAAATAGACCCATCTTGACTTCACCTGTGCCTGTCATTAACACCTTCTGTAGAAAGAAAATTCCAACAAGTCTCTGTTAATTCCAATTTATACCAAGAGTTTTCAAGAAGCTAGTGATGAACCTAGCTGGGTTCAGCATTGTATCTTCACCTGCAATGATTCTTCAGCCTAAAATAACTTACAGGAAATCAAGAGGAGAAAGCGTCAAGATTCTGGATTGGTAGAGTTCATCCCTTGTACTCATTCTTCTTATTGCTAATGTGCCTAAAAATTATCACAATAATAATAGCTGCTATTTTTAAGATTTGCTTTTAATTCTGCATATGGCATTTACATTTATCATCTTAAATGCTCAAAACATTTGTCTGAATTAGGACCTATAATACTCTCACTAAAGAGATGAAGACACTGATGTACAGAGAAGCTAAATAATTTGTTCAGTGTCACACAAATGAAAGAGTTGATGTAGGATTCAAACTCAGACAGTTTAACTCCAAAATTTGCTTGCTTAGCTCCTAAAATATACTAAATAGCCTATATGCAATGGATACTTGGTATATTTAAGTAGCTCTGTCTCTTTCAAATTAATTTTCTTTTTCAGAAATAAATATCAGAATTGACACATCTCCCAGCTTAGTTCTAAATAAATAGTTACATGTTCATTAGGTTTGAAAGGATGACTTTGTCTTCTGATTTACATGCTGAATGTTTTCTTCTTCGCTATCCCTGGGGCCCTACTTCTCTTTTTTTTTTTTTAATTATACTTTAAGTTTTAGGGTACATGTGCACATTGTGCAGGTTAGTTACATATGTATACATGTGCCATGCTGGTGCACTGCACCCACTAACTTGTCATCTAGCATTAGATATATCTCCCAATGCTATCCCTCCCCCCTCCCCCCACCCCACAACAGTCCCCAGAGTGTGATATTCCCCTTCCTGTGTCCATGTGATCTCATTGTTCAATTCCCACCTATGAGTGAGAATATGCGGTGTTTGGTTTTTTGTTCTTGCGATAGTTTACTGAGAATGATGATTTCCAATTTCATCCATGTCCCTACAAAGGACATGAACTCATCATTTTTTATGGCTGCATAGTATTCCATGGTGTATATGTGCCACATTTTCTTAATCCAGTCTATCATTGTTGGACATTTGGGTTGGTTCCAAGTCTTTGCTATTGTGAATAATGCCGCAATAAACATACGTGTGCATGTGTCTTTATAGCAGCATGATTTATAGTCATTTGGGTATATACCCAGTAATGGGATGGCTGGGTCAACTGGTATTTCTAGTTCAAGATCCCCAAGGAATCGCCACACTGACTTCCACAATGGTTGAACTAGTTGACAGTCCCACCAACAGTGTAAAAGTGTTCCTATTTGTCCACATCCTCTCCAGCACCTGTTGTTTCCTGACTTTTTAATGATTGCCATTCTAACTGGTGTGAGATGGTATCTCATAGTGGTTTCGATTTGCATTTCTCTGATGGCTAGTAATGATGAGCATTTTTTCATGTGTTTTTTGGCTGCATAAATGTCTTCTTTTGAGAAGTGTCTGTTCATGTCCTTTGCCCACTTTTTGATGGGGTTGTTTGTTTTTTTCTTGTAAATTTGTTTGAGTTCATTGTAGATTCTGGATATTAGCCCTTTGTCAGATGAGTAGGTTGCGAAAATTTTCTCCCATGTTGTAGGTTGCCTGTTCACTCTGATGGTAGTTTCTTTTGCTGTGCAGAAGCTCTTTAGTTTAATTAGATCCCATTTGCCAGTTTTGTCTTTTGTTGCCATTGCTTTTGGTGTTTTGGACATGAAGTCCTTGCCCACGCCTATGTCCTGAATGGTAATACCTAGGTTTTCTTCTAGGGTTTTTATGGTTTCAGGTCTAACGTTTAAATCTTTAATCCATCTTGAATTGATTTTTGTATAAGGTGTAAGGAAGGGATCCAGTTTCAGCTTTCTACATATGGCTAGCCAGTTTTCCCAGCACCATTTATTAAATAGGGAATCCTTTCCCCATTGCTTGTTTTTCTCAGGTTTGTCAAAGATCAGATAGTTGTAGGTATGCGGCGTTATTTCTGAGGGCTCTGTTCTGTTCCATTGATCTATATCTCTGTTTAGGTACCAGTACCATGCTGTTTTGGTTTCTGTAGGCTTGTAGTATAGTTTGAAGTCAGGTAGTGTGATGCCTCCAGCTTTGTTCTTTTGGCTTAGGATTGACTTGGCAATGCGGGCTCTTTTTTGGTTCCATATGAACTTTAAAGTAGTTTTTTCCAATTCTGTGAAGAAAGTCATTGGTAGCTTGATGGGGATGGCATTGAATCTGTAAATTACCTTGGGCAGTATGGCCATTTTCACGATATTGATTCTTCCTACCCATGAGCATGGAATGTTCTTCCATTTGTTTGTATCCTCTTTTATTTCCTTGAGCAGTGGTTTGTAGTTCTCCTTGAAGAGGTCCTTCACATCCCTTGTAAGTTGGATTCCTAGGTATTTTATTCTCTTTGAAGCAATTGTGAATGGGAGTTCACTCATGATTTGGGGGGCCCTACTTCTCATCTCTCTACCTGTATCATGTCCCAGAAAGATGACATACATGGACTGCATGAAGAGGTTTCTTCTTTCAGGTTTCTGGTGGATAGCCACTGGGTGGTCAGGCAATACGTTGGAAAAGGAGAATGAGGTAATATGTCCTTATTACTATTTTGCCATCCTTGTAATCCAGCCAGGATCCAATTGAGTCTCTTGACTATGTTCATCTTAAGAAGATTTTAACTCCTCAAGATGACGAACTTTCCACAAAGACTTTTCAGTCTTCAAATGGACCCCTTTCCTGTTCGGGCCATTGGGTAGGAATTGTGCTCCACTCTTACTAGCTGTGGGGTACTGTACCATCTTTTGCAGTTTTCCTTGTGCTTTAAAATTTGTATGTTATCTCTACAAAATCCTCCTTGTCACAATTTGTCATAATTTCTATATGCTGTTTCTTTGGTGACCTGAATTGATACAGTTTGAAAATTTGTATGGCTTAATATAGAATATTAAGCTTAAGCATGCTTGTCCATAGCCTTCAAATATTTTCAGCATCTCTCTAAAAATCCATCTCTACTGGATGCCTTTGACTTACTAAATGTCAGGGTCCACATTGATCTAACAACTAAATTGGTGATTTGGGGAAAAACAAAACTAAACAACAAATGAAAACAAAACAAAAAAATTACAATGGCCTATAATTGTGGAGCTTGTCTTCTACATAGGAAAAAAAAAGTGCATCCCTTTTGTCAAAATTCTCTAGTGATCATTAGTGTTTAAAATAGGCTTGCCAGGGTGAGGCAGGAGAATTTCTTGAGTCCAGGAGTCCAAGACCAGCCTGAGTAACATGGCAAGACCTTGTCTCCTTAAATAATAAAAAAATTTTAAAAATCTGGGCATGATGGCACATGCCTGTGGTCCCAAGCTGCACAGGAGTCTGAGGTGAAAGAATTGCTTGAGCCCAGATGGCTGAGGCTGCAGTGAGCCGTGATCACTCACTGTACTCCAACCTGGGCAATACAGTGAGAATTTGTCTCAATAAAATAAATAAGTAAATAAATAATAAAATAGGCTTGAATATTTTTCAACCATATTTAGTGTCTTAAAATTTTTTGGTTTTGAATAAAACAAGCAGATACAGATTATTCCTTGCCTGGAAAGCAAGAACTCCCCCAAAACAGTGAAATATTGATCAACTGTGCATTACAATTATCATCATCATCATATTGAAGGAATATTTACTGAGGCCTCAGTGAGTGTGCATAATAGTTTCCATGTTATAATACATAAAGATACATATTCCTACCAAATGAAGCTGTTTGTAGTATGCCCTGCTCCAATCTCAGCCATATTCCCACTTTGGCATTTCTGGATTCTCTGTCAATTCTATTTCTATTTAGATAATTCTGGCAAATTACTGTTGTTATCTTCACTGTTCTGGCATTAATGCTGCCCACTTCATTTTGAACTCTTTAATATTAGTGTTATAGATACCTTACATGAGCCAAGACCTGAATCTAACTAGGTTAATTAATTGGAAGATCCATCTATTTGGGCCAACATTAGATTTTTTAAATTTGTGCTTACTACTTCAACTTGTTCAATGGCCATGATGAAATTTTCAATCAATGCTAAGAACCTTGCAAATGCGGGTCTAGTCTTGTATTCAAAGAGGAGAAGGGCAAGTGGGTAGAAGGACTCTAGCCCATTGCACAAGAGTAGGGATAACCCTGAATACATAAATTCTATTGATTGGGTTGAATTATATCACCTTTGTACTCAGAAGGCAAGTTAATAGGAACTGCAATTTAAGATTTCTTACCTCAAAATTGAATCACCACTCAAATTGCTTAAAAACTGTCTCACACATATATATCTATATATCTATTTATGTAGAACATTATTGAATTTCAGATATCCTGGTGTATAGATATAAGACACCAAGATTTTTAAGGTTGCTGAATAGAAGTGAAGATAAGGGTTAGTTGTTTTCAGACACTAATCACAGAATAATCTGCTACTTTTATAACATGAACAAGTTTGACCCTTAAACTACGATTGTTTTCTTTCAGTAGTGATAGAATTGGAGACTTGGCTCCATCCCCAAGAGAACACAATTTTATATTTTCCCTTTAGCTCAGACAAAAGTAATTTTCTTCATGCCAATATGTTTTTTTAGTTGGAACATTTTATGACCAGCTTACATTACCTCACCTTTGTACTATTCCCCCTTGAGAATAAAAAAAAAAAAATACTTTAACTCAAAGTAGTTTTTTTTTTATTTTTTCTCTTCTTTTTTCCTCTATTAGTAAATCTATTTGAGAGAAAATAAGAATTGCTTAGACAACTTTAATGATTGCTATCATTTCAGAATAGTTTGTTGACCATTGATTAAATTGCAATGCTACATGTGAACACAGTTGTGATCAGATTTCAAATCACTGAGTTCTGATTTTGCTTTGGTAGACTGTAAGTGACTTAAGACACTTATTTATTGAAAATAAAGCCCAAGACTGTCAAGATATTTTCTTTGCATATTTGTACACAGCAAACAATAAAAACAAAATACATTGTTTTCTGTACATTATTAAAGTGATAGTACCTGCTCAGAGCAATATGACATACCTTTGGTGACATATGATGTGTTCAACAAGATCAACTAGTTTCTTATGGTTTGGGAGAATGTAAAGTGCCAAATCATAATGTGGTAGCACCAGTCAAATAACAGTGATGAATGGGTAAGTTGTATTTATACTGGATCTTTTCTGTTTTCCTAATGTACTCTCATTTATTCTAAATTTATTTCTGTGTAAAACTTTTCTCAAAAACTTCATCTATTAGCCACTAAATCTAAGGACAAATGAAAAGTTATCTCATACAAAAAGAAAAAGAAAAAGTTTGGAAATATCACCACCAGTGAAGCTCCAGGAACACATAAGAAATATATTACAGTGTTCTCTAATTAACATGTGAGAAAAGAATTAATGCATAATATGAAATAAATGTATTTTAACACATATGAAAATTACAATTATATACTGTATATAGCTGTGCTTTAATTTAACTTTACCACTTAAAATTTCTGTCTAAATAATGATAATATTTAGGACGAAAGAAAGAAAAATGGTGGTTGCTTTTAATGGTAAGCTCTTAAATTAACTAGAGTAAAATAAATAAACAAATGTTATAATTTGACCAACACGAAGAGGAAAAGAATAATTGACAAAGGGGTATAACGTATGATTGCTAAAGTCCATCCTCTAAATTCTATCTTCTCATACCATGAAGAGCAGGGAAGACTCTCTTATCATAGTGTAAGGGAATATTTTGTCTTATTGAGAGATTACAAATTGGTTACTATAATGGGTTTGATATGAGAAAGGAAGAAAGTCACTGGAGTAGGGATAAGAAAGCTGGCTCTTCTATTACATGGTTGTATAATCTTCAGAAATCATTTCACCTCTTTGTCTTACTTTCTTCATCCAGTAGTATACAGTAATGATTAAGATTGCTTGCTTAGAAACCAATTTGCTAAGGTAAAAATTACAGTCCATCATTCATGTGTGATGTTGGGCATGTTTCCTAATGTCTCTGGAACTTTTTCCTCACTTTCACAATCAGATCATTAAAGTACCAGCTCATAGGATTTTTGTGAAGATTAAGTGAGAAAATACATTTAAATCATTTAGATTGCTGTCTAGTCAGTTGTAAATTCTTAATGAAAGTTGCCTTTAACATTCTATGATACTGTCACAAATTAATTAAACTTTAAAATTTTATTTTGATTAACATTGTATTTGATTAACATACAGTATTTATTTAAGATTTGAATATTAAATGAGAACGGTGGCTTCTTATATTTGGCTAGCTTGTTTATATGAAATTCTGCATTGATAAATGTTTTGCCAAAGTGTAAGGAAGAGAATAAACCATTTAAGGGATAATACATCTGGCTCAACTCAGATAAAAGCAACTGGACATGTGGGGCCATCAACACTCCTTCTCCCTTCTGACTGACCTGGCATCCACTTTGCAAGATTCCATCAGCAGCAGAAATGTGATAAGTTGAAACAAGGAGCTTCTTGCGGTGCCCAAAGAAAAGGGAAAGATTATTTTCTTTAGAGATTCGCTCTGAATTCCCTAAAAATGTTTCATATAAAAGCTGTTTTGAAAATGAAAATGGTCTTTGGAAAAACTGGGGCCTGTGCAGAAAAATCTGGGCCTGTGAAGTAAGTGGTATTATGTAAGCCGCAGTTGGGGTGGTATGTTGTCCTTACTACAGGAAATTCTGTAGAGCTCCAGAAACATAGCAGGGACTTAAAAAGACAGAGAGAGACAAAGACAGAGAGAGAGAGAGAGAATTAATTGTGATAAAATACACATAGTCTAAAATTTACTAACTTAGTTTTTTTTTTTTTTTTGAGACAGGGTCTCTGCTGCCCAGGCCAGAGTACAGTGGCCTTGAATGCCTAGCCTCAAGTGACCCTCCCACCTCAGCCTCCCAAGTAGCTGGGACTACAGGCATGTGTCACCATGCCCAGCTAATTTTTAAATTTTTTGCTGAGACAGGGGTCTTGGCTCATTTCCTAGTATTGAACTCCTGGTCTTAAGTGGTCCTCCTGCCTCTACCTTGCAAAGCAGTGGGACTAAGGGTGTGAGACCCCTCATCCAGGTTAACTATTTTTCAGTGTACAGTTCAGTAGTGTTACATATATTCACATTGTTTTGCAACAAATATCCAGAGCTCTTTTCATCATACAAAACTGATACACTATGCCAATTAAAGAACAACTCCTTATTTACCTTTTCCCACAGCAGCTGGTTACTCTTTCTGTTCTCTATCTTTATTAATTTGACTATACTAGGTACCTTGGATACATGAAATTATAAAATATTTGTCTTTTGGTGACATTTCATTTTGGCATACTTTTTTAAGTTTCGCCCATGTTGCAGCATATGTCAGAATTTGCTTCCTTTTTAAGTTTGAATAATATTCCATTGTATGTATATACCATATTTTGTTTATCCTTCCATTCATCAATAGACTGGACTGTTTTCACCTTTTGGTTCTTGTGAATAATGCTTCTATGAAATGAGTGTACAAATGTCTCTTCAAGATCTTGACTTCAATTCTTTTGGATGTAATTTTACCCAGAAGTAAATTTGATGGATTACATGGTAATTCTATATTTAATTTTTGGAGGAACCCACATACTGCTTTCAAAAGCAGCTGCACTGTTTCACATTCCCACCAACAGGGCACAAGAGTTTCATTTTCTCCACATCCTCACTAACATTCATTTTATGTTTGTCTGTTTATTTTGTTTATTTTTTTAAGTAGCCATTCCAATAGGTATGAACATAGCAGGAACTTTAAATTTTTCTTTTTTTTTCTCTATATTGTAAACTCCTCAAGCCAAGTCTCATAAATGTCTTGTTTATTGCTATAACCCCTATACTTCGTACAGTTCCAGAACTCAGTAGAGCTTCCATAAAGGTGCATTAAATATAAGAATAAATGGAGCACCTTTTATTATGAGTTTTGGCACCTTGAGGGTTTGCAACTCTGTGACATACCAGGCAGTAGCATTTCAGGCAAGGTGATTTTCCAGCAAGCTCAGGAAGCAGATCAGAGGTGATGCACCTCTCTGGAGAGATTTATGAGCAGCAAATATCAACCAAATGGCTGCTAGGAAGGAATAGAGATAGCAGGAATTTCTGTAAGGATACAGGGATTACTTGAATGCTTTTGAGAGCCTCTCTGGGGCTCACTCAAATTATGAAGGGAGATACTCCACTTATGAGAGGTAAAAAGAAAGGATAGTACTGACTCTGACTTCTTACAACTAGGATAAGCCAACGCATTTTAGATAATACAGTTTAAATGACTATAATCTAGTTTAAGTTCTAAATAGTTATACTTTCACCCCCTTAATTGGTTAAACTTTCTCTATTTGTGATTTAGTATTTCTGAGTAAGTAGCTCATTATATCTTCACATTATAAGTAAATTGGTGGTAATACTATTTCAGGCATTACTAACAATATTTGATGGTAAAGAAGAATTAATAATGGACACCACCTATTAGCTTTAGTTCATGGCCTTGAAATGAGCTTTGTTTGACAAAGACTTCCACTAGATAATGCTTCTTTACATAAATAGGGTTTACTCAAAATATAGATGCACACAGATGCTAATTAACAATTGACAGGACATAAAAGAACGAACACAAGTTGCATGATTATCTCCTGTGCTCTGGCTTACTGTATCCTTTTATGAAGCAGCCCAAACTTGGAGCTAAGTAAACTAAAACCGTGAAATTTGTTAATTGGCAATAGAAGTAGTGACAAAAATAATAGAAGATCCAGAGAAAGCCGAAGTTATGCATGAGTAGAGACTAAGTTTGCAGAGAAAACAGCAGTAAGGAGAGACAATAAAGCAGATGAGTGACAACTGGTAGACAAAACAGAGAGGTTTCCCATGGTTCCAGAGAGGGGAGGAGAGTAGGTTGTGTGTATGGTTGTCTCGTTTTGTAATAAATTTTCTGTTCAACTTCAGCCTACAGGTATTATTAAAATCATCTCACTTTTTCTTAAAGCAATTCGAGTCTATTTCATCCTTTGAAATGAATCTAAGAAGAGAATGGTGTCTTCTTGGGAAACCTGATCCCAAACCTACTCTTATCTGCTGATAGCAGTTTCATTGTCCACTAAACTTTAATTTGTAAATTGATTAAATGCAATGGAAATTCAAGTGAAAATGTTTTGCATATCTTGTTATTACTTTCTATCTTATAAGTCATCTGCTTTTATTATGGAAAATTAATCCTGGAATTACATACAAGTGCCATTTGTTGAGGGCTTTTATGCAGTAGGCATAGAACAAAGCATTTAAAGATTTAGACTTCAAAATAACTCTATAAAATAAGTCATAATATCTTATTTCAAGTATTAAAAAATTAAGGCCTTGAATATTTAAAGATTGTTTCAGGAGTTACATTCAGGTCTATAAATAATTCAAAAACAAAAGCTCTGAAACATTATGGTAGAATAAGAGAAGACCCTTCCAGCTTCTGCATAGAAGAGGCTAGCTAAATCATGCCAAAGAAACATTTATGTTTAGTTTTCAAACATTCATAGCATGTACAACTACTAGTAATTGGCATGGCAGTTAAAACTGTTTGAGAAGATTTTTAAAGGTAGAAATAGGTTTTCATATGTTTGGAAGGTGAGATCCTGTGAAGAGTGCCTGTAGAGCTGATGACAGACAAACAGGCTTGTTTGCCTCTATTAAAAACCAACTCTCTTCAGGGTTTTCCAATGAATAAAACAAATTCTGACTTAGGCTGCTTTCCCTGAATTTGATTACAGTTCCACAAAGACAATGTATCTTTGCAAATACAGACCAGTACATTTTTACTAAATGTATATATTTTTCTATTATAATTGTTGCACTTGAAATATAATGACAAGATTCCTGTCTTCTGCCCTTGTTCTTTTAGCTGATCTCCCTGTTTTGTAAGAGTCTTCACTGGAACCATTTGCAAAGTGCAACCAGGACGATCCTTTAAAACATTAACAGAAATATATCCACACATCTACTTAAAACTCTTCAATGGCTATACGTTTTACTCAAACTACTGTGTCAAAATTCCCAGCATGTCCTAAAGGATTCAATGTGAGCTTGTCCTGCTTTCCTTTCTGTTCTCTTGTTTTTAAGCCTCTGAATCCCAGGCTTTTTCTCTATGTCTGGAACACTAGTTTGAATTTTCTTTATTCCCTGTGGGTTTTTTTTCCCCCGTTTTTCTATTGTTAGAGAAAATGTATCTGAACCGGACATTCAATATTTGTTCCAAGTAGTGTCTATCCTCTCCACTTCTACATATTTTCAAAGAGTATTTGTGTTTATTCCAAACAACTTGACCTTCTCAATACAAGTAGTTATGGACCAAGATGGTCCCCTAATAAATAACAGCCATTTCCTGAGACTTTGGAAGCGGGGCCAAAAACGTTACGCCTTAGCCTTAATTTTCCAGGATAAAAAAAGAGATTAAACCTAGAAACTGTTATTGGAATTCATTTTCTCCTAGGTGAACTAGATGTGAGGAAATCTCATCTGTGCTAAGATACATGTAAGTAGCAATACACAAACAGAAGCTGTCTGTGGCCACGCCACTAATCCCCCACAGAAACGTCCTAGTTTTCCTTCAGTGCTTCTTGCAGTCAATGGTTCTGACATCTGCCTGAGTCCCAGCTGCACCCCTGCTTTTATGTTTCACAAGGAACCATGGTATCCTAATCAGAAATATAATGGATGCCCTATTAAGCCACTTGCACTTTACCGATTCACAGAATTAAACAACATTCTCCATTTCCTCTGAAAATCATATTGTATTGACTTCTCATTTCAGTCATGGCTGAGTATTCATGGCTAGTAAGATCCTGTCTAGTATCCCCCACTCACTCCTGGTCCTGCATTTCAGTTCAGTGCTTAACTAGAGTCAGCCTTGTTTGTTCCCCAATATGCAAGCTGATTGTTATTAAGTTGAATTACTCAGTTCAATTACCTATTTTGAAAACCAATAGAATTTGAGAGCATAATTATAAACAATTGTCATTGCCATAAAAACTGAATTGAATATTTTGAAAAGAAAGAAAGAAAAAAATGTTTTTAAAGTACTGGGGAATTAGATGTGGGCAAGTTAATTCTAAAAGGTTGAGGAACAAATAATATTCCATCCATATTTGACTTTACATCAATATTTGGCAAACAAATATACACTTTTATATTTAAGTTGAAATATAATATGTAAGTTTTAAATGTGTTTTTTGCCACAATTTAAAGTGGATTTTAGTTAGTCTACTATTTTCCTGAGCCCTCTTGCATTGTATAATAGCACTTTTACTAACCTCTTATTACTTGAAGTTGAACTAAAGTGAGTTTATTATTAGTCCCCCTTTCCTCACCGAAAAATCCAAAAACAAACCAAAAAACACACTTTTCTTTTTTCCCCCAAGACAGGGCCTTGCCTTGTTGCCCAGGCTAGAGTTCAGGAGTGGCCTGATCACTACTCTGCAGCCCTGACTTCCTGGGTCAAGCAATCCTCCTACCTCAGTCTCCCAAGTAGCAGGAACCACAGATGCATGCCACCACATCTGGTTAATTATTTTATTTTATTTTTTTGTAGAGACAGGATATCACATATCACTATGTTGCCCAGGGTGGTCTCAAATTCTTGGGCTCAAGCAATCCACTGGCCTCAGCCTCCCAAAGTGTTGGAATTATAGGCATGGACCATCATGCTTGATTGAAAAACAAAAAACAAAAACCAAACTACTTAATTTTACAATTTCTCATGGATTGTTTGATATTTCTGAGTAGAGAGGCCAAGGTGAGGCAGAAAACATATTGGGAGGAGGTGTGTTCAGAGGAGGGCATAGGACTCAATAGTAAGATGTTCAAGTTTGCTAGGTGAGATTTGTTTTCTTACAAGAAGTGAATTCACTATTTAAGTAAGGAATATAAACCAGTGTTACAATGTCTCTGTTTATTTGCTTCTGCATTTATATTTCACCTTTTACTTAAAGGATTTGAAGCAGCTTATAGTAAAAACAATTCACTAGGACTGAACTATTAACAGAGATTGTTGTTACGTAACATTTATTGCACTCCAATTCCACGTTGTATTTGAAAATGTCCTTGTTTTTTAAAAAGATTATAAACAGCTTGAAAGAAAAGTCAGCTCTATAAAACTGCATATGTATTTTCCTTTTTTCCTTCTCTGCCAATCTACCCTCTTCACACTTTAGTAATCTAAAAGAACAGAAACTTTATATGATCTATGTTACAAACCTTCTTAAATCCATGAAGAACTTACCTATAATAATTATTTAACACATGGTCTGATTTTATTTTGTTTAGATGTGTACACATATATGTGGTTATGGAAGGGAAGGTGATTGCTTTTAAAGATGATTTTGTAATAGAGATTTTATTTTTTTATGTGTGGCTAGAAGACCTATAAAAATAAAATTCAGGCTAGGCGCAGTGGCTCTCGCCTGTAATCCCAGCACTTTGGGAGGCCAAGGCGAGTGAATCATTTGAGGTCAGGGGTTCGAGACCAGCCTAGCCAACATGGTGAAACTCTGTCTCTATTAAAAAATACAAAATTAGCCGGGCGTGGTGGCGGGTGCCTGAAATCTCAGCTACCGGGAGGCTGAGGCAGGAGAATCACTAGACCCTGGGAGGCAGAGGTTGCAGTGCGCCGAGATCGCCACTGCACTCCAGGCTGGACAACTGAGCAAGACTCCATCTCAAAGAAAATACATAAATAAAATAAAAAAAGAAAATTCAGGACTTGCCTACTTATCTATTTTCTAATTTCAATGTGAAAACTTCATCACTATTTTTTTGCCACACTACACCAAAAACTATGCCAGTTTAATAGCTATAAATCTTTTTGTTCAGTTTTCTGCAATCGTTTCAAGGCTATAAAAATTCAACCACATTACTTATGGGTCTAATTTACTGACTCTGTAAATCTGCCCAAACGCTTGATTGACAATAGTGAATTCACTAATTTCTGGCAGACATTTTATAAGAAAGGGTAAGCTCAGGCCTCCTATTGTTGAATGAGGTCACTGTGATAACCCTATACATACTTCAATCTGAGCTCCGATAGTGGCAATCTTGGCATGCTCCTTTACAACATCTCTGTTGTAAAAGAGAGAAAAATATCAGAATTTTACATTTATTTTGGCTCTTGAGTCTATGTCTGTCGAATCCTCAAAAATATCCAGTGTTTAGACCTGATTGATCAAAATAAAGAAAACTGTTTTTTAAAATATTTGATATGATTGTTGTGAGATTTTTAAAAAACGAATGCAAACACACAGGAGCAAATATCTATTTTGCATAATAAAATGTCTTTAAAAAAAAATTTGTAGAGGTTCATTATAGTTCTGATCTGCTCATTCCATTACGGAAATTATTAAAGATTGCTTCAGGATGTGGCCAAAGTAATGAAGTGCTCAGAGTAATAAATGTCATTCTTACAAGTAATGACTACTGAGTAGCCATTTTAAATATTAAACCATTTAAACTTATCTTTTTGCATACTTATGATTTAGGGAAAGGTACTTTCTACTTATTAAGTGTGAGTCCTCTTCTGCTTTTATATAAATGCATGTTTACCTGTATGTTTATTTGTATAGGGCATTGACACTATAACCCAGTGATTCAGGTTGATTCTAATTCTATCAATGTGCATTTGAATTTGGAACGAATAAATATTACTAAGATGTAACCAACTTCATACTTCCAATAGCCTTCTTTAATATATTCTATTTAATTATCTTCAGGTCTCAGCAAAAAGGTCATACTCAAATAGAAGAAGTGTAGATTTCTTGGGGCAGGGACCCATAAATATTTTGCCAGCTTTTGTATGCCCCCAGTTTCAAGGAGGGTGTCTGGGGTATATTTTGGGCTTAAAGGAGCAAGCTCCAGAGTAAGTATGCCTGAGTGGGAATCTAGTATTGCTACTTGCTTGCTGTGGGATGTTTGGCAGGTTATTAACTGGTTCATGCTTTAATTTCTAAAAAGAAAAGAGAATAGATATGTTTTCTACTGCTGTACATGTATGTAGGCTGTATCTACTCCTCTTTTTAGAATTAGTTCAGTTCCAGCAAGATGCTACATGCTTCGCTAATTAGCTAAGAAACTCAATCTTTTCATTTCCTCCCTCCAATCCATAGCCCACTGGGAAATTTTCAATTTGAAATTGATCTCAAATCCTTTTCACAAATAGTTAAATACATGATCTTCTTATGTAGTGTGGGTTTTGCGTCACCTTTATTTTAAAGTTTTTAATGTCCTCATAGTAGTATAAAAGTAGTTGGATCTTTTGAGTCAAATAGTGTGTATATGTGTGTTTGTAGATGTGCAGTGCATATGTGTACGTGTGTATTTGTGTGGTATATGCGAGATGAAAGAGAGTGACTGTAGTTGGTATGATGTGACAATGTTTTCCTTTTTCTAAGATCAAGATGGGCATCTATCTACTCAGAGAAAATATCTCAATATCTTACATTTACTTGACTTTCTCAATGCAAACTCACATAATTCACATCATTCCTCAAAAAGATCTTTAAAAATCGCACCTTAATAGAAACAGCAGTATATATTGTTTTCTGAATTAAAATATAAGCACTTTTTTGTTCTTTCTTTAAATTTTATAACATTCTCTGTTTTTCTGTAATTGAAATATTCCTACGCCAGTTAGAATGGTGATCATTAAAAAGTCAGGAAACAACAGATGCTGGAGAGGATGTGGAGAAATAGGAATGCTTTTACATTGTTGGTGGGAGTGTAAATTAGTTCAACCATTGTGGAAGACAGTGTGGCGATTCCTCAAGGATCTAGAACTAGAAATACCATTTGACCCAGTGATCTCATCACTGGGTATATACCCAAAAAATTATAAATCCTTGTACTATAAAGACACATGCACATGTGTGTTTATTGCGGCACTATTTACAATAGCAAAGACTTGGAACCAAACCAAACCAAATGTCCCTCAATAATAGATTGGATTAAGAAAATGTGACACATATACACCATGGAATACTATGCAGTCATAAAAAAGGATGAGTTCATGTCTTTGCAGGGACATGGATGAAGCTGGAAACCATCATTCTTAGCAAACTATCACAAGGACAGAAAACCAAACACCGCGTGTTCTCACTCATAGGTGGGAATTGAACAATGAGAACACATGGACACAGGGCAGGGAACATCACACACCAGCGCCTGTCTGGGGGTGGAGGGCTGGGAGAGGGATAGCATTAGGAGAAATACCTAATGTAAATGACAAGTTGATGGGTGCAGTAAACCAACTTGGCACATGTATACCTATGTAACAAACCTGTATGTTGTACACATGTACCCCAGAACTTAAAAGTATAATTAAAAAAAGAAATATTTCTCAGAGGGGCTGTGTGTGGATTTAGTTTTAAAGGATGAAGAGAGATTAGCCATGTAAAGGAATAAAGATGAAGAGGGAAGGAAATGCATGACTGTATGGGTAAGAAGAAATCTCCTAAATTGCAGTGAGACAAATTGGTCATGGTTTCACTACCTGCTGTAGAGTCCTGGTGATGGGGTGGCATTTGTCTACTTAGGCCCTCCTAATAATGGGTACATCAACATCATTGGCAATCAAAGGCTGAAGAGTTCACCAAAGTTAGAGACTGAGAAGTACCCATTAGATATGACTATAAAGAGATTACTAGAGCCCATGCAATGGAGTCGTGTGAATGTTGTATTATTATCTGAGCCTGATGGCAGAGGAGTAAGAGGTTAATGGCCAATAAACTCATGGTGACAGTACATAGAGATTCTTGCTATTTAAATGATGATCTATGGACCATGGCATCAACCCCATCTAGGAGATACTTGTAAATGTAGAATCTCAGGTACCTCTTCACAACTACTGCATCAAACTCTGCATTGTAACAACATATTCATATGATTGCTCAGAACATTAAAGTTTGAGAAACATTGGTGTAGACCTCCATTTTTAAAAGATTGTTTACAAAACAAGAGACAAAAATAAGGCAGTAGTTAGAGGAAGGTAGATAATTTGTGAATTGTATTATTACTATAAAACATATTGGGCATATGGAAAATGAGAATGGATGAGGTTTAAAGGGTATGATTTACAGGTAAGAGCAAATCAAACTTAAAAATAATTCTCAGTGTATAGATTTGGAAAACAAACTTCAGAGAGGTTAAGATATAATGTTTTGTCAAAGTTATAAAATAGGATGGATAACCATACTCAAATGTGAGTCTGTCTGTCTCCAAAGCTTATGCCCCTTTTTCGTGATTAGATTGATGGTTAATGAGAATAAATATACTTAATTAAGCAACAAATAAAAGCTATGGTGGTTGCGATTTTTAATTTTTGTATTATAATTGATGGTACCAAAGGGTGTAAGATTTAGTTTATTCATTTCCCAATAATTTTTTCTAGCAAAGTTAGTAAATTTGACTGATAAAATAATCAACAGCAATTTTTAGACAATATTTTGTGAAATGATGGGCTGATAACAGATATAATTGCTACTGATATGGACAGGAGATAGGGAAATACTGGATAGAAGAGTGTGGTTCCCTTGGCAAAGGCGCCACTCTAAAGCCTGAAGACCAGCAGTTCTAAATGAGGACAGGCATTTCTGTTTTTGCTCCCAAAAAGTTGCCTTATGGCTTGCCATGCCACCTATCCTGTCCCCATATAAAGCCTGAACCCCAAGCTCCAGAAGAGACCCACAAACAAGGAGACAAGGAGGCAAACAGACCAGCAGACCAGTGGACCAGCAGACCAGTGGACCAGTGATACTGAAACAGTGTGGCATTGACAGGGAGAAAAGCTGAGGGGAGTTCAGCTGTGGGTGGTCAGTTGGAGAAGAGTCCAGCCGCTGGGTGGCCCAACTCCAAAGGAAGGTCACTTCCCATTCCATCCCCCTTTAAGCTCCCCATACATCTCACTGAGAGCCACCTCCACCACTCAATAAAACCTTGCACTCATCCTTTGAGTCTGTGTATGATCAGATTCTTTTGGGACATTGAGCAAGAGCTCAGGATACAGAAGGCTGTCACACTGGCCCCCTGCCCTTGCCATAAGGCAGAGGGTGCACTGAGCTGATTAACACACAAGTCATCTGCAGATGGTAAAGCTAAAGGAGCACACTGTAACACATGCCCACTTGGGCTTTGGGAGCTGCAGACACCCACTCCTAGATGCTGCCGTGAGGCTGGAGCCCAAAAGCACTTGCCTTGGTTCCTGAACCTGACCATCTCTGTGCTCCCCTTCCCATAAAGGGTATGAGCTGTGCGGCAATGCAACAGGTAAGCTGCACCCCTGTCGCACGTCTTGCCAGGTGAATTAGGGAACTCTCCCATTTCACTACTGTAGTTGCTACTATTTTTAGAAGCTAAATATTATGAAACACTTGAATTAAAATGTAATTTTAGGCTGGGTGCAGTGGCTTACACTTGTAATTCCAGCACTCTGGGAGGTCGAGGCGGATGGATCACTTGAGGCCAGGAGTTCAAGACCAGCCCAGGCAACATGGTGAAACCCTGTCTCTACGAAAAATACAAAAATTAGCCAGGCATGGTAGTGCGTGCCTGTAATCCCAGCTACTCAGGAGGTGGAGGCGCGAGACTCACTTGAATCCAGGAGGCAGAGGTTGCAAAGAGCAGAGATCCTACCAGTACACTCCAGCCTGGGTGACAGAGTGAGAATCCGTCTCAAAAAAAAAAAAAAAAAAAAAGTAATTTTATACAAACATATTCAGCCTCCTACCAGGAAGTCGATGGATACCATGGTTTCTAATCCTAGATAATTTTCAGATTGAGGCCCTCTCCTTTAGCTGCAAAGCTAACTACTTTTTAAGAATTACCCTTAACTTTATAGCTAAATGACGAGTTAATGGGTGCAGCACACCAACATGGCACATGTATACATATGTAACAAACCTGCACGTTGTGCACATGTACCCTAAAACTTAAAGTATAATAATAATAAAATAAAAATTAAAAAAAAAAAAAGAATTACCCTTAACTGAAGGGGTAATACGGAGAGCATCTGATCTTCCAATGTCATGTTGGATCAGCTGCGGCCTCTGTTATAATTGCACTATATTTCAATTCAATGGTCTGGGACAAGAGAAAAATTGTTGGATTTTTTTAGGGAAGATGTTTCATCATTTTGGTTTTTAATCTTTATTGAGCTTGAGGCAGACAAAAAACTTAAATTCATATTTTTGGCATTTGCATGCCTTTGTTGCAGAATGGTTATGGGAGATTAAATAAATTATAAAAATTATATTTTAACAACTTTTTCATCTTATATCTTATCTTAAGATAAAGTTCCAAAAGTTTGCGTTTCCTGACATCTCAGCTGTTATAAGGTTGGACATGGCTCTCTAATTCAAAGGATTAAGTTGGTTTAAACAGAAAAAGTCGGGCTTGGTTTTCTTTCACAGATTGCTATGGGAACATGAGTGCTGCAAAGCTATTATAACTCTCTCCTGCAGCATTTCAAAAAATTTAGAATATCTCAAATAATGACATTCAAAACCTCCCAAGCATGATCATCCAGAATATTAAGGTTAGAAAACTGGGCTATTTTATAGTTAAGTGCTGTTCCAAATATTCCAGGGGTACTAAATTAACAAATCATGACTTCATTTGGAAGAACATTTGAATTAGTGGTATTTTCTAAAAGCCTTAATTAGCGTAGACTATGTATGGTTGAAATATAGCAAGCCCAAAGATAAGGTAACAAAGCACTATGAGGGGCAAAACACTAGCAATAGAACAGTTTTTCCTATGGTCACACAAGCATTAAAAACTTATTTTGGAAAAGAAGCCCATTGAAATTTTTTTTCACTTTTGCTGCCACTACTTAACAGGAGAAGTAAAATAAGACTTTTTTTTTTCTTTCAGGATGAAGCACAAATTTTACGATTTTAACCAGGCTTGTTGCTACTGCTGTCGTAATAAAAAACTCTATATGCAAGTGTTTTTTTTTAAATTGAGATATATTCATGTTTATTCTTACTTTAACTTCAATGTTGCTGAGAGCAATTTCAAGTACTTAAGATGAATAGAGAGACACATTTTCTAACAACAACAACAAAAAAATCAAAACTTTCTTTTATCTTTTTTATATTTAGACAAAATGGCTGCTATTGACTGAATGTGTGTGTCCCCCAGCAAATTCGTATGTTGAAACCCTACTTTTATGTGATGGTGTTACAAGGTAGGGTTTTTCAGAAGTAATTATGATTAGATGAGGTCATGTGGGTGGCAACTTCAAGAATGGGATTAGTGTCCCTATGAAGGAGATTCCAGAGAGCTCCTTTGCCCCTTCTACCACGTGAGGGCACAGTTCCTATATCTATGAACCAGTGAATGGTCCCTCACCAGACGTCAAGTCTGCTGGTGCCTTGATCTTAGACTTCCCAGTCTCTAGAACTGTGTAAAAATAGAAACAAAAATAAATTTCTATTTTTATAAGTGGTTTTTATAAGCCACTCAGTTTGTGGTATTTTGTTTAACAGACTAAGGCAATGACTATCTGAATACAATTCAAATGTCATGAGGCAAACATTCTTTCATGCAACCTTGATTTTTCTGTTAATTAACCAGCTAGTTTTATTATTATCTTCCTTTGTTATTTTGTGAACACTTAAAGTTACCTTATCTTTAATAATCCATTGTGGACTATACTTTAAATTTCCAGGTATATAGGTAATATATATCTTCCCACCCAACTATAACAAAATGTATTATTTTTCTAATGATTTTAACACATTCTCTGACTTATGAGAAAGAATACCCATTTCTCCTAAGTCAAGACTATATGTGATCTCTTTCTTAAACTTTTCACTTTTTCTACCTAACCAGGGTCAGGTTCATTATGCCTTGAGAATATACATCTAAATGTTTGGTTATTCATTCTTACTGTACTGATCTCAAACATTTCCTACAATGTTGCATCTTCCTCAGAGACAGTAACTGGAATTGTTTACAATACTGTAGATAAACTGTAACTGAAGGGTGCAGGGAAATCAGTCAGAAGAAACATAATATAAAATGTAAAAGCATGATTTATTTTATTTTGTCCTTAAACAGGGAATAAATGTGTGAGGATAATTACACTTTCAGCAATTAAAAAAGCTTGCATAAAAATAATTTTCACTTAATAGGAAATGCTTCAGAATAGATATCTCATTGTTAGAAAAACCTATTTCTGAGGTATTTTTTAAAGCACAATCCAATTATTGTAAAAGACAATGTTGAAAACATTTTTATTATTTTTCTTCCTTCAAAACCTGGGACAAGGAAAAATTTGTGGCTGTACTTTAATTTTATTGCTACTGAGTCTTTCTTAAAAATGAACTGGCAGATGCCATTAGTAGGTTAATTGATTTAATCATGTTTCTATGAATAAGCTAGCATTTCTGACTTGAATTACTTTCTCAGTTGATTGGTGCTCTATAATAGGATTCTATAAAATGTATAAAAAGAGCAACAAGGAATTTAGCTCTGGATTTTTCAGCTAATTCGTTAGCATTTCGAAGTCCAAGAAATTATTGCATTTTCAATTTGCTAAATACACTCATTTGTTAGTAGTAATTAGGCACGTGCATTACTTTTACAAAAGCTCTTTAAAAATGCAGTCTTGTAAAAATGACTCTAGAAAAAAAAGTGCATTAATAGCTTAGTAAAGTGTTTGTTTTTCAACTGAGAGCAAGTAGTAGTACTGTCCCAGGAATATATAAGATGGAAGAAGTCAGAGGATCACTTAAGGTAACCTTAAGGGCAGCCTCAGTCCAGGGAAAAAAGGAACAAAAGGGACTGCCATGGAGAATAAGTAAGACTCGTGAATCCAGAAGAACAAGAAGGACCACTTTGGCTGTAATCCACTTTCAAAACAACAACAACAAAAACAACAACAACAAAAATACACTGAGGTTTTGTGAAATGACTGCTACTTATTTTAGAGTTATTTAATTCAAAATGTGGCCAAAGGTCAAATGGTCCCATGTTAAAATGTATTTCCCTATTCATTTAATTATTTTAAAATGATTAGATATTTAATCATAATAATAAATGTATTGTTAATATTAACTGAATGTCAGCATATCAAAAAATATGAAATTTTTAAAATTTCACATTGCAGCTACTATACTTACCTATATTTGAAAGAGATATGGAAATATTAACAAATATCTGAAGGATGTGCTTTGTTTGGTGTAGATATTTTTGCGCTGATGAAATATCATGGGAACCTATGTGACACGAAGTCCCAAATTAAGTATAGATGTGTTTCTTCAATGCTACCATTTCCATAAGAAATTTCATTTGTCATTAGATCTTATCACTTCATTGTTTAAGTAAATTTATCCATTGTCCATTTTAATTAGAAAAATAGCTAATCTTCTTAGGACTTATTTATTCATGAAAAATTTATGAATCTGTTTCATGTACTAGCCCCTGTTTCTGGCATCAGAGATAAAATAATGCATAAAACAGAATGAAGACTGTCTTCATAAAGCATATATTCCAGGAGATTTGATGAGTCTTGATCAACCCCTGTCTCTCAAGGAGTCCAGGACTAGGGCAAGGAGAATGAAGTACTCTCCACTGGTACAAAATGTAAAGGGACTCCAAAAACCTCAGTAACAAAGACAGGTAATATTTTAATACAGTATTTTAAATTATCAAAATTAATGTAAGTAATTCATGATGAAGAAAATAGAAACATAAGGAGTGTCTTGAACAGACACATTGCAGCCAAAGCAAATGAATAATGACACAAATTCCACCTTTTGCTGAGAGGGTGACATGTGCATATGAGGAGGAAAAAAAATATGATATGCATGAGCCATCTTCCAGAAATTCAACACTGTGGTATTAGTTTTCTATTGCTGTGTAACAAATTATCATAATTGCAAAACACCCATTCATTAGTTCACAGTTCTGAGGTACGAATTATGGCACAGCATGATTACATTCTCTGCTCATGCTGAAATTAAGGTTCTGGCGAAACTGCATTCTAATCTGGAGGTTCTGGGGAAAATCCAGCTTCCAAGCTCATTGCTGTTTGCGGAATTCACATCTTTGCTGTTGTAGGACTGAGATCTATGTTTCCTTGCTTGCTGTCAGCTGAAGCACACTCAGTTCCTAGGTGCCACCCTCTTTCTTTGACACTTGGGCCTTTCTATCTTCAAACCAGCAGTAGGGTATGGCATTGTTTTTATGCTTCAGATCTCTGACTTCCTCCTGTGCTAACAACGGGAGACAATTATCTGCTATTAAAGGGCTCATACAATTAGACTAGGGCTACCTGGATAATTTTTCTTTCTTAAGGTCAACTGTGTCATATAACATAACCTAATATGGGAGAAAAATCCATCATATTCACAGTCTCATAGTCAGGATGGAAAAATCTTGGGAGCTGTCTTAAAATTTGGCCTACCACACTTCTACACTTTACCAGTCCTAATAGGGAGGTTTCCTGTGAGTGCCAGGTATGTGGAAAGCTTTCAAGAGGTACCTTGCATTTTCTGACCTGCCGTGGGTCCTTTGTAGTGTCCTGTCACTGCCAGTGCCTATAGTAGAAGCCATATAGCCTCTACCAGCTGCCAGAATGAGCATCAGCCACCCAATGTGCTTACATTACACCTCAGTATTGCCTTTCTCATTTCCTAGACAAAACCATAAGTTGTCTGAACTCTCTTTGATTCCTCAGTAACAGGTGTAGCCATAGATATGACCTAGCCTTGGCCTAGAGGACCTGAGCTTGGGTCCATTTAGACCTTACAGAGGTTTCCCTTCTTCATGGACATTGCTGATCCCATAGACGATGCTCCCAACCCTTCCAAACCAGAAATTGCCTACTGCCTGCTACCCTAGATTGTGTGATGCCAAATGGTTTAAGCCATCTTTAATCCTGGGGTTTCTGCTCATCGTGTGAGATGGATTCAGAACAGAATTGGGTACTTCTGGCCTGAAGGGAATGGAAGGCCTTTTGTGGGGACCCCTGGGTTTTCTTCAGAGATGACAGCAGAATGGTAGGGAGCAGGCCTAAATTTAGGTTTGAGCTCATTTGCATTGCTGTCCAAGATCTCCTTGGAGAGAGTGAAGAGCTCTGTGGGCAAGTCTTGTGGTCTCAACTTCAAGACTACATTGAGCCCAGAGCTCATCCTGAAGAACCGTAGTCATGACAACCTTCGGCAGCTCCTGGAACAGGAAGAATTGGGTCTCTTGTTCACACAGAATGTGCCACATTCCTCAGCAATGTTGAGAAGAAGCTGTATCCAAGACCTGCGTAAAGTCTAAAAACTAATAATGAGGTCACTGAAAGTAAGATATAATGGCCCTCCCAAGATGGAGTTGACATCTTACTAGGAAACAAGCATTCCTTAAACACTCAAATATAAACCGGTAACTACAATAATGGTTAAAGGTGGCATCCTTGATGCTGTTCACTAAGACTACACTTAATTCTCTACTTATCAGTACCTCTGGGTCTGTCCTTTTGTCTGTCTCCTAGGTGCTTAGATCATTACTACAGTCAGCTCTTACCTTGTAGTGGAGGGATCCTTATCTGTCTGCTCTCCCTTTCTACTGTTATGACTAGTCTTAATGTATCTATTCTCCTCATTGTCACGGAGTGAACCTGAAGTCTGAGGGTTGGAAGAGTAATGAACTGCTGCAGCGCAAGGTCATCCACTTCCCTCTCAATGCTGCCGTGTGCAGGGAATGATCCCCATGTGGCAGCCAAGGGGACATTAAAAAACAAAAAACAACAACAACAAAAAAAAAACTAGAGCTCTAGTCCTGTGGCTGCCAGTTTTCTTCAAGAATTGGACTTCCATGCCCCCAGGCCCATCTCCATCTGGGACTGCCTGGGAGTCTGGTTCCATTTCAGAGGAGACAGGCAGGGTCATTATAGTTTAATGTAAAATAACCAGAAAGCAGAAATGACCAAACTCTCTGTTGTCACGGGTGGATAAACATACTACTACATCCACATAATGGAATCCTAGTGGCCATTAAAAGTTACTAATACAGGAAACCACATGGATGCATTTTAAAAGCATTAAACAAGTGAAAAGGGCCACATACAAAAGATGCGATTCTTTAAAATTTTATTAGTATGAATTCTACTAAAGGCAATTCCACAATGATGCAAAGCTGGGTCTGGGCTTGTGCGAGGGGATTGATTGCCAAGGCCATGATGAAATTTTATGTGATCATGAAATTGCTGTGTAACTTCATTTTGGCAGTGGTTTTATCAAATTCATTGACTTACAGAGTTAACATTGGGGAATTTTCTCTCTCTATATATGTATGTGTATATATATATATATATATATATATATGCTTTAATAAGGCTACTTGTAAAAATTAAAAAGAAGTGAGTTTATAAAACAGAGAAATATTGTATGTCTTTAGATACAATATAAAAGAAAACCTACACATGAGCTTATCGTCAATGGATATGTAAAAAGTTATCAATAAGCATATTTTATATAAACAGCTTGAAGTAATTTTATACATGACAAAAATTTTCTTACATAACATGAAAATGAATCTTGCATAAAATTTCCATTATGCTTGTCAAGCATTTAAAGAAAAATGAGAATCTGTAATTATACCTTAAGTAAATTATGAATAAATAGAAAAAATTTTTCAGTTGACAGTGAAGGGTAAGTAACAGAGACGAAAAATAATAAGTAGCCCTGAAAGTCTGAATTTCTGTAAAATCTTACAAAAGCTCTTAGACTAAAATTTTGAGTACCTAATGTCATTTAAACAAATTTAGAACTCAGAAGTTATTAAGCATAGTCAAATACAAATATTTCTTTTGCACCCTAACACACTCTTGCTTTCCCTTTATAAACTCAAGTAAAGCTATCTATTAATTAAGTGAAACACAATTTCTACTAATAAAAATGAATTATAAGCCTTGAAAAGAATGTCACCTGTTCAATTGATATGGTGATTCATTTTTAATCAGAGTTTCTACTCAGATGGTTCAGTTTTTTTTCATACATACAGAATGAAGAAATCGTTAGAAATTGACCTAGGTAATTAAGTCCTAAAGATGAAACATTTTAGCAGTGATAGGTTGACAGAACTGAATGATTAACAAAGGAAAAGCAAAGTTTATATGAATTTACCATACTTGAAATTTTCTCATTTGTAAGCTTGTCAGTTTACAACTAAATGAGAATTATTATTGAGTAAAATAGAATGCTGTATGATTTTTCTTACTGTTAATATGGAAAGAGATAACTACATATACTGAGAGTAGAGAGTATTTGTACATTTAAAACTGGGTCAAGGAAAAGGAAAACGACGGGTACTAATCAGAAGGAGAAAGATATAGGTGATGTGGTACCAAAATGTAAATAAAAATGAGGAAGAATTTGTATATCAATTTAACTGAATACTATTTAGCCAATATCTGGAATTTTTTATGGTTTTAAAAAGCATAGCATAAAAATTTAGTTACAAACTGTACAATCTGTCAAGTACTCAAAATATGTATGACGCCTTAAAGACAAAAACTCCATGCTAGTTTTGAGGATAATCCATCTTAAGTCACTTAGGCCAGCATTTTAATCTACTGTGTTACCATAGGAATCCCTGTAAGGAGGGTTTGAAATCTCATTCATGGAAATCTCTTGGAGAATAAGAGTGGGCAGGACGGTGACAACTGCTTTTCAGAACCAAAGACACTGTGGGGGCCTATCATGCAGAGCTTTGTAGTTCTTTTTCATTCCAGCTGCCTCCCAAAGCACCTTCTCTCTTAAAAGTTCCAAGCCACATTGACGCTCCCTGGAGAAGCGCTAATCATTAGCTAATCATCATAGCAGTCATTATCTGCAAACCTGGCCAATTTGAATTTCACTCCAACTTTCCTGGAATCAGCCAGTTCTCTTTTCTTTCCCAAAGGAACCATTCCAGTCTCTGCACTTCTGCTCTCACTCAAGAATAAATCCCTTTCAATCCACACTGAGAAGTCCCAGGAAGGGCCAAGCTTGTCATGTAACTGGGTGAGTGAGTTGGTGCTTCTTTGTGCAATCTGCATGATTCTGCACATAGGAGGAAAAACAAAATTATTAAATTAAAAATTCATTACAGAGTTTCTAGAAGAGACCTCTCTTTCCCTTTCTCTCTCTGGGAGAGCATAACCCTTAACGGACTTGTCTGGTGGAAATGGGCCCTCTAAATATGACTTGGAAGCTCAGTCACACGTCAAAAAAAAAACAAAAAAAAAAACCACTTTTCTGAAAAGTATGAAATGAGATTTTGGGGACTGGGATCAGGAATATTAGGGAGATAAATGAAGGAGGTTGGTAGAGTCATATGAATTATAACAACATGACAAAGGACTAAAGCTTGCACAGAAGAAAATTGCAGTGACAATTTTCCGTAGGAAAGAATACCCAAGACACTTTTAACAGCACAGTTTATAACACTTATGTGCAAGCCCTTTTCCCCATCCAAGTCCCTGACATGCATGGTAAAGGTGGAGAAATAATGAAGTTGAGTAGTATGTGGAAATTCAATGCAACTTTCTCCATCCTTCTCAATAGTTAGTTCTGGCTCATGCTTCCTCTTCCAGTAGAATGGCTAAAGTCCAATAAACTGGCAATACCAATTACTAGTGAATGAATGAAGCAACAGGAACTCTCAGTCACTGCTAATGATAATGCACAATGGTACTGCCACTTTGAAAGACAGTTTGGCAGATTTTTAAAAAGCCAAACAGAGCTCTACCATATAATCCAACAATTGCGCTCCTGGGTGTTTACTCAATTTATTTGAAAACTTATGTCTGCACATGAACTGGTTTGCAAATGATAACATCTTTATCCATAATTACCTCAAACCAGAAGCAATCAATATGTCATTCAATAAGTGATGTATCAACAAACTCCACATATTGTAAAATGAAAGAAACTAGTACAAAAGTGCTACAAAATATATGATTCCATTTACATAAAATTTTCAAAAGGTAAAGCCATAGAGAAGGTGCACAGATCAGGGTTGACAGGATTTTGAGTGGGGAAAGGTTAAATAGGTGAAACAGTAGAATTTTAGGATAGTGAAACTATTTTGTATAATAACTATGATAGCTCAGAGTGAATCCTACTATATGTAAATTTAAAAAATAAATTAGGAGGTCATGAGAGCCTAGGGTAGAATGCTGACTGTAAAAAAATATATAATTGTAGTACAAATGTATTAAACAGCCTCCCTCTTGTAGGAAAAGGCATGGCAAAAAGCTGCTGACCTTGAAACTGACCCAATAGTCACATAGAGTTTTGTTTGTCTGTTTATTTATTTTTTAGATAAACATAGAAATTGGCCATTCTGGTCTTAAAGCTTGAAACTTACATTATTTTATCTGAGTTTCTTCCTCAGGAAAGGAACCACAGGCTTCTCTAGAAGTATCAAAGATCCAGAAGTATCAAAGAACTGAAACTCACCAGATTATCTCATCCAGATAATGAGATGCCAGGTCCCTCATTCGTCCTTATTCCTTCCTTATCCCTCCCAAATTCCTGTTCTCCTGTACATGGCTACATTTCTTCCCTGCTATATAAACCCGTAATTATAGTCAGAGAGATGAATTTGAGGCTGATCTTCCAACTTCTCAGCTAGAGAACCCGATTAAAGCCTTCTTCCTTGGCAATAATCATCTCAGTGACTGGCTTTCTGTGCAGCAAACAGTGTTTCTAGAATTCATATTCAGTTTTCAAATAAATAGGATATTCCAAATTTTATTCATTTAGAAATGAATAGAATTATAAGACTAAAAGAAAAGAGAAGTGTACATAATACTGTATTATAGTTGATAAAGTTTTACATGAGGTACAGATGAACAAGTCTGAAATAGGTGTACATATATTTGGAATTGAACAGGTAAGTAAATGCGTAACAGATGATGGGAGCGAGGTTTCTCACTGTTGAAGTTGGAGGTTACAGACCAGCAAGGACAGCAGTCTAGAATGACTGAAGCCATATAAGATTCATCTAGAGACAACAGTTTGAACTTCATATAAATAAAAGTGGTTACATAGGGAAATCAGTACAGATATGTATATATACACAGGTTCATACACACACACAAATTTCCTTGCTCTGTCAGTTGGGGAAACCTAGAAAGAACAACACCACAGCAGCAAAGAATATACGAAGTGACTAGATCTTGATTTCTAATACCATTCTCCAATGAAAGAAACTAGAAATCCTTTGAGAAATGGCTTATTTAAAGACTCTGGCAGTAGATATAAATGATCCAGGAGCAATTTATAGTACCAGAAAATAGGTAGTGCTAAATTTTTTTAAAAAACCACATACATAATAGTAAGAACCTAGAAGCTTTCCCACTAAGATCAGGAACAAGGTAAGGATGTCCTCTCTTAGAACTGCTTTGCAACATTATACTGGAAGTGTTAACTAAGGCACCAAGACAAGAAAAATAGATAAAGGGTATATGGAGTTGGTAAGAAAAATAAAATAACATTATCTTTGTCTGCAGATGATACTTGTCTATGTAGAAATCCTAAAAAAAATCTAAAAAACACTCTTGGAAATATAAGCCATTATAGAAAGCTTGCAGGATATAAGGTTAATATACAAAAGTCAATCAATTTCCTACATACCTACAATTAACAAGTGGAATTTGAAATTAGAAACACATTTGTGTTATTACCCGCTCAACATGAATGCTTAGTTATAAATCCAACAAATTATATTGAAGATATATATGTGAAAAACTACAAAACTCTACTGAAATAAATAAAAGAAAAACTGAATAAATGGAGAGAGGTTTTGTGTTCATGGATAAGAAGACTCAATCTTATCAAAATATCACTTCTTCCCAACTTGATCTATAAATTCAATGCAATCCCAGTAAAAAATTTCAGCAATTTCTTTTGCAGTTATCAACAAACTGATTCTAAACGTAATATAAGGAAGCCAAACCCAAATAGCAAACACAGTATTAAAGGAGACGAACAAAGTTGGGGGACTGACGCTACCTAATTTTGAGACTTACCATAAAGTAAGCACGGTAATCAAGATACTGCGTACTAGTGAAGAGTTAACAAATGATTCAAAGTAACAGGACAGAGGGCAAAGAAAGTGACCCACATAAGTAGACTCAACAGATCTTTACAAAGGAGCAAAGGCAATAAAAGGAACCAAAGACAGATTTTTTTTTCAACAATTGTTACATGTGCTAGAACAATTTGACATCTAAATGCCAAAGAAAAAGCATTTAGATAGAGACCTTTTTTTTTTCCTACTGATTTGAAATTACACTGTAAAGCTATTATAATCCCAATTATATGGTACTGGCATGAAAACACACATGGAACAAAATACGAATCCCAGAAATAAACCCAAGTATATAATAAGGTCAACTAAACTTTGGCAAAAGTATCAAGCATACACATAGACATAGGATAATGTCTTCAATAAATGATCCTGGGAACACTGGATATCCACAAACAAAAAAACTTAAATTGGATTTTGATCTTTGCTCCATACACACACACACACAAAACCCAACTCAAAATGGAGCAATGACTCAAAAGTAAGATCTGAAACCGTGTAACTCCCAGAAGAAAACCTAGGGCAAAAGCTCCATGACATTGGTCTTGGCAATGTTTTTTTGCTTGTTTGTTTGTTTTGTTTTATTTTTGAATTTTGATTCAGGTGGTACATGTGCAGGTTTGTTACATGGATATATTGTGTAATGCTGGGGTTTGGGCTTCTATTTAACCTGTCACCAAAATAGTGAACATAGTTCCAGAGGCGTTTGAACCAGACCTATTCCACTTTGAGTGAGGGCTAGAAAAATAAGGCTGGGACTTGCTGGGCTGTATTCTCAGAAAATTAGACATCCCTAGCCTCCAAATGTTTACGGTTAAGGGAACAATTAGTAATGTTTAGTGAACAGACCCAGATTTGGAAGTGTCCAAATATCCTGATATCTGGAGAACAAAGGCATTCCTAATTTTGCTTTAAAGATAATAATATTGATTCCTTCAAAATATAGTAATTAAGAAAATTAATCCTTTATCACAAACTAGTGTAGCAGAGCACATCTCCCATATAAACAAGCATTGTGGCTAGGGTGGATGTGTTTCTCCTCTTACTTTCAGGAACATCCTACTCTGTCTATGAAGTAGCTCTTCCTTCACCACTTTACTTTCTTTTTTATTATTGTTATTATTATTATAGTTTAAGTTCTGGGATACATGTGCAGAATGTGCCAGTTTGTTACGTAGGTATACATGTGCCATGGTGGTTTGCTGCACCCATCAACCTGTCAACTACATTAGGTATTTCTCCTAATGCTATCCCTTCCCTAGACCCCCACCCCTTGACAGGCCCCCGTGTGTGATGTTCCCCTCCCTGAGTCCATGTGTTCTCATTGTTCAGCACCCACTTATGAGTGAGAACATGCAGTGTTTGGTTTTCTGTTCTTGTGTTAGTTTACTGAGAATGACAGTTTCCAGCTTCATCCATGTCCCTGCAAAGGACATGAACTCATCCTTTTTTATGGCTGCATAGTATTCCATGATGTGTATATGTGCCACATTTTCTTTATCCAGTCTATCATTGATGGGCATTTGAGTTGGTTCCATATCTTTGCTATTGTGAACAGTGCTGCAGTAAATATACTTTCTTAATAAACTTACTTTTACTTTGCACTGCAGACTGGCCTGAATTCCTTCTTGCACAAGATCCAAGAAGCATCCCCTGGGGTCTGGATTGGGACCCCTTTCCTGTAACAATAGCACACAATTTGTAGTTTTACAGTTCTTTACCCCTTTCTTTTATTCCCACTTTTGGAGTCACCTGAGTTTATTTTCTCCATCTTCATACAGATACAGACCTTGTATTCTTCACAAAAATTAAACCCCAAATAGATCATAGACCTCAACATAACATGCAAAACTATAAAACATCTAGAAAATAACATAGAAGAAAATCTAGATGACCTCAGGTTTGATGATGTCTTCTGAGACCCAACACCAAAGGCATGATTCATAAAAGAAAAAATAATAATTAAGACTTCATAAAAATTAAAATTTCTGCTCTGTGAAAGACATGGTCAAGCAAATAAGATGAGACACAGACTGGGAGAAAATATTTTCAAAATATGAATCTGATGAAGGATAATTTTCCAAAATATATAAAAAACATGTAAAATTCAACAAATTAAAAAGAAATCTGATTAAAAAATTGGCCAAAGACTTTAACGAAGACCTCAATTAAGAAGACATACATATGGAAAATTAACATATGAAAAGAAGCTTCACATCATTTTCCATTAAGAAAATGCAAATTAAAACAAGATACTATTTATACCTATTAGAATGGTGAAAATCCAGAGCACTAACATCAAATGCTGGTGAGGATCTGGGGTAAAGAGAAACTGTTGTTGATTGCTAAGGGAGATGCAAAATGGTACAGCTACCTTGGAAGACAGTTTGGGAATTTTTTCTTTCTTTTTGAGATGAAGTCTTGCTCTGTCGCCCAGGCTGGAGTGCAGTGCTGAGATCTCTGCTCACTGCAACCTCTGCCTCCCAGGTTCAAGTGATTCTCCTGCCTCAGCCTCCTGAGTAGTTGGGATTACAGGCACCCACCACCACACCTGGCTAATTTTTGTATTTTTAGTAGAGATGGGGTCTCACCATGTTGGCCAGGCTGGTCTCGAACTCCTGACCTAAGGTGATTTGGCCTGCCTCAGCCTCCCAAAGTGCTGGAATTACAGATGTGAGCCACTGTGTCTGGACAGCTTGGGAATTTATAAACAAAATGAAACATATTCTTAGCATGCTGGGTTGCATTCCTTGGTATTTACTCAAAGAACTTGAAAACCTGTGTCCACACAAAAACTGGCACATGGATATTTAAAACAGTTTTATTTATAGCTGACAATGCTTGAAAGCACTCAAGATGTCCTTCAGTAGATAAATGGATAAATAAATGGTGGTACATTCAATTCACATTAAATTCACAATAAATTCACATTATTTCATGCTAAAAGGAAAGGAACTATTAAGCCATGAAAATACATGGAAAAAAAAACTTGCATGCCTATGTCTAAGTTAAAGAAGCTAATCTAAAAAGGTTACATAATGCACGGTTCTAACAATGTAACATTATGGAAAAGGCAAAACTGTGGAGTCAGTAAAAAGATCAATGATTGCTAGCAGTTAGGTGGCAGGAAGAGATGAATAGGTAGAGTACTGACGATTTTTAGGGCAGTGAAATTATTCTGTATGATCCTATGATGGTGAGTACATGCCATTATACCTTTGTCCAAGCCTATGAAATGTAAAACACTGAGAATGAGCCCTAATGTAAACTATGGACTTTGGGTGATAATAATATATAAAAGAAGGTTCATCTATTGTAAAAAATGTACCACTTTGGTAGGAATGTTGTTAATGGGGGATGCTATGCATGTGTTGGGGCAGAAGGTATATGGGAAATCTCTGTACCTTCCTCTCAATATTGCTTTAAACATAACTGATCTAAAAAAGTCTTTAAAAAACAAAACAGCGATGGAGGTATGTTAAAGACACACAGATGCCAAATGAAAGAACTTCCAATTGCCAAATCTAGAAAATTTTGAGCAAGAAAATAAAGAAGTATTGAGCCATAATCCAAATATAAAACACATATCTGTGTATCCAGATTAATATGAATAAATGATTGAAGAAACAAATAAATGGGGAAGAATACACAAATCTCCCAGGCAGAAGACTTCCAAATAATTTATGAAGATACTTCACCCTCAAGGAGGTAGACTATAACTGCCCACTCCTTAAGGGTGGGCTGTGTGTAGGCACTACTTTCTAAAAATTTCAGTATGGAAAAGAGAAAAAGAGAGTAACTTTACACTGGAGAAATTTGACATATTCTATCTCAGCCAAGGTGTTGAAGTTTAACATTAACAGTGATAAGTCATATTGATAGTATGCACCTTTGACATGATGTAAGGAGACAAGCATTTTACCCCTGTGGTCTTCCTCCCCAGAACCCATTACACTAGATCTAACCAGTCTCAAGGAACATTCTATGAAATACATGAGTCATACTCCTTAAAATTGTTAAGAGCATTAAATACAAGCCTGAGAAAAGGTTACAGTCAAGAGGAGTCTAAGGAACATGATGATGAAATATAATATGGCATCCTACATGAAATCCTGGAGCAAAGAAAGAATGGTAGGTGCCAAGTAAAGAAATCTGAAGAGCATATGGACTTTACCTCATAATAATGTATCAGTATTCCTTCATTAATTGTGACTAATGCTCCATACTACTGTAGGATGTTGACAAGAGGGGAAAGTGAGTGTGAGGAATATGAAAACTTTCAGTACTATCTGCAAATTTTCTGTAAATTTAAAAATATTTTAAAATTTAAGAGTTCACAAATACATTAAATATTTAGTCCTGAAACATGAAAATTACCTTTCTTATAGTACATTTCTAGATCCATAAACTTGTCAGTAAATATATAGACTTCCAATAGAAGCTGAGGAAAAATATTTTTATTAACGTAAGGGTTGAATATAACAGAACCTGCTGTATAACTTAAAAAATAATGTGAGCAAAGTATAAATTTCTTTATACAGCTCAAAAAGATAGGATTAAGTCATTTTGCTACCAGTAAAATGTTCAGTCCCATATCCCAGCAGCACTAAAGGAGACATCTTATTATCTAGCACCTATTAATCAACTTGGTGGGAAATATACACCAGAAAACATTAGTGTGATGAGGATTTTCTTAAGTACTTTAGAAGTCATCTTGGTAAAATAAAAATTTTGTTGCACTGCTTGGAGGAAATGACATTTAGATTTCACTGCCATTATCATCAGTGGCAAGTCTTGTTTGGTTTTGTTGACAATTTATTTTGTTAGAATATTAGTTGTTTTTAGTCTCCTGAAAGGGAAGAAAGATCTATTTTTAGGGAAAAGCCATTTGAGATAGAAATATATATGACAAGAGAGATGTACAATCTCAGGTGGAAAACATGTTATTTTGATTTAAAAATTTGCGTAGAAACTGTGCTATTAACTTTGGACATTTCAAATATAATCATTAACTCTATAAAGTCTATTTCTTATGTTTTCTTTTTATCTCAAACTTAGTTGGATTATTCAGTATGAAATACACAGTACACTTAAGCGCTTATAATATCTGTATAATTGTTAGCAACCTTATTATTACTGGCTAAGACTCTTCGTGTTCTTGATCAGTTATTATTTTTATAAGAATATTTTAAGATATTTTATTATTCAGTTCAGCAAAATAGAATGGTAGTGCCACCCTCCGAAATAACCACCACACCCACGCACACATCTAACAGACTAGAAGACAACATAATTTTGTAATAAATATAATTTGTGATACTTCTTGCTACACATATCATGGTGAGAGTAAAAATGTTTCTTTGTACTGTTCTAGGTTCTTTGGTTGATCTATGAACTAAATCGACATAGAACTGATTAACAGAAGAAATACAATTTTAATTATGTTTGTACACACAGGAGTCCCACAAATATATCAGGCCCAAATAGGAAGCCAGATAATTAAGGCTTATATCATCCTGAGATACACAAAGGAATAGGGATTTGGGGTGTTCTAGGGGTGCTGCAGGCAAATTATAGGAGGGGAAAGGAAGGGAATATGGTGAATAAAGTTTGCCTTGTTCATCAGATAAGCCTCTCAGGTGATAAAAGATGTCTTAGAGCAGCTCTCTTACCAGTGAAAATTTTCTTTATAGATGTAAATTTCCTTTATAGAAGGGGAGTTTTATACTTTATTTTAGGCAATTGAGGGGGCTATAAAGAACGTTTCCTGTGCTGCCTGGATCTCAGTTTCTTTTAGCTCAAAGTAAGCAATATGCTAAAGTTACATATTTTGAGGTGGCGTATTCTGATCTCCTACAGTAATATTTCAGGGAACTGTGTCCTGAACCCCATCAAAGGTATCATGATTTTATAATAAGTAGCATTTTTTAGACTTCTTGCTACATATGAGGGTGAAAGGAATGTTAGTAGAAGAATGTAGTCTGGGGAGAAGCAAGTGACTTTGGAAAATATATCTACAGTTTAACAATAGCATCTCTGGGGGAAAAGACCCCATTTATTAAAATGTCTGCATTTTATTGCTGTTTTCACATTAACATCAATGGATATATACACATAATTTTAATGATTTTAAAATGATATGACTTTCCAAGACATTGGGATTATTTTTGTGATTATAACATGGCAACTCAGTGTATAAAAACACATCTGTTTTTTCTAATTATACCTGTTCCTAAACATTTCCATCCTGCTAATTTCAGTTGCTGAGTGAAAATAATTGAATTTGCCTTTCCTTTCATTTCATATTTGTTTAAGCAAACACCTGGGAATTCCTGCCTATAGGGAGTAATAGAATGAGATCATTCAAAGATATAGCTTACAACAAAATCTTAGTGTTTTCATTTTTTTTGCTGTTATTTACCTAAAGTTCAAATGTCCTTTTTTTCTCCAGAATCAAACTATTTTATTCTCTTCAGCTAGATGCTATTGGTGATAAAAAAGGAATATTACAAATTAAAAGACTTATCCAGAAAATAACTTTGATTAAATTTTATAATAAGTAGAAGCTGAAAAAGCAGCATATTTCTAATAAACTCATTTTTCCTATTAGTTGTTTGAATTCAAGCAAACTCATTATTTCCATTTTGACAACTTCCTTCAATGCCTCAGTGAATCATATTATCAGTCAGGCAATTTCAGAGCTTACTATTTTCTCTTTGCCACGGTAGGTACTGTACATGACATGAATTTTGTTGTTATTGAATCTATAATCTAGTTGAGGAGACATGTTCTAACTGACAAACATATTGTTACAGAAGCTACTCAGAAATGCACAGGGTAGGAGAGGCCCTTCACCCTAACAGGATTGTCAGGAGACCATCAGGTGATGGTCAGGCAGTTGTCACACTGTCTCTTTAAATTAATAATTGGTTGCAGCCTCTGCCAGGGAAAGGCAGTCTCAAAATAGATAGAAACACCTGAAACTGGGTGATCAGCAGCTTCCCAATATGATCTTAGGAGCTGGGCAAGTAGGCTCAAGTATGTGCACTAAGAGGCAAATGGTGGAGTTTTACTGATATATGACCTTCTAGGAACATATGATTGGTAAGGGAAGAGCATCTCAAGTGAGCCTGCATATAACTCTGGTAAACACGCTGCATATGCTCCCCCTCCAAGCGCTAGCAGGACACTGCACACCCTGAAAGGAAAAATCAGGGAAGCTCGGAAGTATGCCAACATATAAAGCCCGAAGTCAAAGGTCAAGTAGTGCACTTGATCTTTCAAGTCTCCTGCTTGGTCTTCTTCCTTCTTCCTATGGTATAGTTTACTTCTTTTTATTTCTTCTCTAAAGTTTTTAAATAAACTACTCCTGCTCTAAATTTGCCTCAATCTCCCCTTCTGTCTTATGCTCCTCAGTTGAATTTTTTCCTCTGAGGAGGCAAGAATTGAGGTTGCTGCAGACCTGTATGGATTTGCCACTGGTAGCAATATTAGACATTAATACTATTACCAATAATAATCAAATATATCACAGTATCTATATATAACTAATTATATGACAGTGTTAAAGATTAGAGATATAAAGCTTCAAGGAAAAGATAGAATCATGCATGAGCTTTAAAAAATGAGTAAAATTAAGACAGATTCCTGAGGATTTAAAAGTATATTTCAAAAAATTAAAAAATAGGAAGGCAAAACATGGCCAGATATGACTAAGCAGCTGTACTTCTACTGTGATCTAAAGTTGAAAATCAGTGATACAGACAAGGACTTTAAAAGCTTTCACATATATGTATGAGGAGTGTTAAGTTGAATGTGAAGTAGATATAATTATGCTAGAAATAAACAAGTAAAAACCCCATTTATGCCTAGCAGAAATTTTAACTTTACCCGAAGCTGGAAATAAATCACCTAATAAAGCAGGATCAATCTTCTGTGACCCATTTCACATATTCCTCCTTATTTTCTCTTTAAAAGTGTCTACTTCCTTTTATTTCATAATTAATTGTCAGGGTGACTGTGTAGCTTTTTCCTGAGCACTATAAATGTCAGTCACTTTATTTAGGCATGGACTTTTGAAACATGGTTAGCACCATTTCTTAGAAGCAGACTCTCTGACTCCAATACGGTTGTTCACAGTCAGAGAATTATAAACTATCATCCAACAGAGCAGCAGGGTCAAGCTTGTTGAGAATATATTTCCAAAATTAAGTTATACATGGTAATTGGTATTTTGTTGTAGAAGTTGGCACACTAGTGAAAAGTTGCTAGAACATTTCACAATTAGGCTATTTTCATCCTACTTAAAATAATCCTTCGATGAAACAGAAAGCAGAAACTTCATTCATTTGAGCATATTGGAATATTAATTCAACTCCAACTCCAAAAGTAATTTACTTAAGAAAATTATACACTACTTCTGTTGTTTAAAATGAAAGTTTTGATGCTGTGCTATAACACCAAGCAGGTGTTATATTCCCTTCAGGAATGAAGAATTTATTATGTAAACCACTGGGTAATGCTTTTTGGCTATCTTCCCACTTTGAAGATTATATTATCTAAAGAATCATCTGAACTAAGGCCACACTTTCTTCTAGGGTAACAAGGATCCAATGACTGAAGGATGCAGTGGTAAAGGCTGCTCCTTGTTTCATCCTGAGGTAATTATAAAGGACCTCCCCAACTCTAGATCTCCCCATTGGGGTCAGCAGAGACCTTCGCTGGAATTGAATTGCAGCTCAACCTCTCCCTCTGACTGATTTTGCTTCACTACCTATCATTTCAAAGGTGCTCATGCCAAGTTTATTTCCTGAAAAAGATTATCTCTCAGAGTGAGCTTCCCATGTATTCCAAATATTTATATTATGTTATTATATGTACCCAACATTTCTTAGGCAAATATCAAACCCATATTCCCATCTTTCCATAGAGTCCTTACTTGAAAGTCCCATATTTGCTTCAAGTTCTTCATGATCAAAACAGCTCATCTCCTCAAGATGTAAATAATATTTAGTATTCGTTCTTCTATTTTATTCCTAAAGTTAATCTCTGCTATGGTTGGAATGTGTTCTGTCTGAAATCCAGGTGTTTCCAATGTGATATTATTTAGAGGAGGGAACGTTAAGAGGTGATAAGGCCTGAAGACCTGCTGCCTTTTGAATGACATTAAGGCCCTTATAAAAGAATCTTCATCCACAGCATTTTCAGTTAGCTTGCCCTTCTGCTTTCCACTATGTGAGGAGATAGCATCCCTCTCCGCTGGGGGACACAGCAATAAGGTGGCATCTTGGAAATGGAAAGCAGCAGCCTGTACTAGCCAATTGAACCTGCCAGTACCTTGATCTTGAATTTCCCAGTCTCCAGAATTATAAGAAAAGATCTCATAAGAAGAACAAAATCTTCTTTGTAAATTATCCATTCTGTGGTATTTTGTTATAGCAGCACAAATGGGCTAGTACAATCTCCTTCCTAAATATCTACGTAAATGATGAATGCTAACTGAATGAGCCATCTGAAAATGCTGCTCATGTGATATTGGGCATAAGATGATTTAATAGTCAATTATCTAACATTATTCCTCAATAGTTTGGGAGCAGTCAGCGAGAAATGTATTTCAAGGAATTACATAATTATAGATTCATTTTTGGTTTACATTCCAAACATGAGCTTGCATGTCAAGATGAGTTTTGTCAAATCACATAATACTAGTTTTGGCAGAGAGAAACTATCTACTAATGAAATTCCTCATTTAATATTTATTCAATAATATTCTTATTGAATTCTTGTAATGTTTTGGTAAGCATTATAGCATAGTGAATAAAATAGATATGAACCCTAGCTTATTAGTGCCATTAAGATAATAAGATTGGTAATTGGTAAAGGTGTACTTGGAGCTGACTTACTTAGGAAGGCTTCGATGAGAATGTGCCATTGAGCTAAGATTGAATCATAAGGGATCAGCCATGCAAAGATCTGGAGAAAGCATGTTCCAAGGAGAAGTAAGACTATATGTAACGTCTCTGGATGTGGGATTGACTTTGTTTATCTGAAGATTTTTTTTAAATGCAGTATAGCTGCATCATGCAAACAGAATATCTTCAGGACTCATTCCCCAGAAACAGACCTTGAGAAGAGATTATTATGCAAACTATTTAAAAAGTATTTCCAGGACACAGACAAGGTAAGAGGGAACTGAGAGAATCAGGGTAAAGTACAGATATTATCCTCTACAGAGGAAAAGTAGGATGTGAATAGAAGACAGAGGGTAAGAACATAATAAGGAACTGGATGATATTTCATTTGATGAAATGCTTTTGAAAAGTTTTAACCATAAGAGTAACATAATTAGTGCTTTATAATTATTACTCTGAAGACTGATGTGCAAAAATAAAGGATTATACAAGGCCAAATCTGGTATCAGAGGAGAAGTTTGTTGTAAGCGATGGAAGTGGCCCAGGAAAGAGATGGTGTTGGCTTGATCAATGCATAAGTGAAGATAGGTAGCCAGATTCTGAACATATTTCACAAGTTGATTCCATATAGTTTGCTGGAGTTTAGATGTAGGGCAGGAAAAGAAAAAAAAACAAAACAAATTAGGATATCGCGTTGGATTTTGGCCTGAATGAGTGGGTTGTGGTATTTACTAAGATAAATAATCCTTGCAAATGGATAGGAAAGAGAGAAAGAGAAAGTCAAGAATTTAATTTGAAAAAGTATATATATCAAGTAATCAAATAGATCCAGAAGTTTGAAACTCCAAGAAAGGTTTGGCCTGGTAAATATACATTCAGAGTCAGGCATAGATGAAAAATATTTATGGTTATATTATTGGATGAGATTACATAGAGAGTAGGGCCAAAACCAATGGAACACTTCAACATTCAGAGGCTAGCAAAAGAAAATTGCTGATGAGGATGGATGAAAAAATAAGATGCATAAAAAGCTAAAAAAGAGTCTTTGAGGAAGAACATAGTCAACAGTGACAAATGCTATTGAATGAACAAGAAAAATGAATATTTGGACTGTTAGCATTTTGAAGCTTCTCAGCAAGATGCAGAATATCAGAAACAGATCTATTACATGTGAATGTCTATACAGCAAACAAAGTTTTGTTTGTGCAGTGACCTCTGTTACCATGATTCTAATCAAAGACAGCAAAAAGACAGAAGACTCGTGATATGTTTTGGCTGTGTCCCCACCCAAGTCTCATCTTCAGTTGTAACTCCCACAATTCCCATGTGTTATGGGAGGGACCCAGTGGAAGGTAACTGAATCATGGGTGTGAGTCTTTCCCATGCTATTCTCATGATAGTGAATAAGTCCCATGAGATCTGATGCTTTTATAAAGGGGAGTTTCCTGCACAAGCTCTCATTTCTTGTCTGCTACAATGTGAAACATGCCTTTCACCCTTTGCCATGATTGTGGGGCCTCCTTAGCCATGTGGACTGTTAGTTAATTAAACCTTTTTTTTTCCTTTTAAATTACCCAATCTCAGGTATGTCTTTATCAGCCACATAAAAACAAAATAATTGGTATCAGTAGACTGTGGCACTGCTGAAAAGATAACTGAAAATGTGGAAGTGACACTGGAACTGG
The DNA here is from genome assembly GCF_000001405.40 of Homo sapiens. NCBI lineage: Eukaryota > Metazoa > Chordata > Mammalia > Primates > Hominidae > Homo > Homo sapiens. Next base: position 58,269,357 of record NC_000004.12, read on the forward strand.
GTAACAGGCAGAGGCTGGAACAGTTTGGAGGGCTCAGAAGAAGACAGGAAAATGTGGGAAAGTTTGGAACCCCCTGGACACTTCTTGAATGCTTTGACCAAAATGTTGACAATGAAATGGACAATGAAATCCAGGCTGAGGTGGTCTCAGATGGAGATAAGGAACTTGTTGGGAATTAGAATAAAAATGACTCTGGCTATGTTTTAGTAAAGAGACTGGTGGCATTTTGCCCCGACCTCGAGATCTGTGGAACTTTAATCTTAAGGGAGATGATTTAGGGTATCTGGTGGAAAACGTTTCCAAGCAGCAAAGCATTCAAGAGGTAACTTGGGTGCTGTTAAAAGAATTCAGTTTTTAAAGAAAAACAGAGGATAAAAGTTTGGAAAATATGCAGGCTGACAATGCAATAGGGAAAAAAATTCTGGGAGAAATTCAAGCATGCAGCAGAAATTTGCACAAGTAATTAGGAGCCAAATGTTGATCACCAAAACAATGGGAAAATGTCTCCAGGGCATGTTGGAGAACTTTGCAGCAGCACCTCCCATCACAGGGCCAGAGACCTAGGAGGAAAAATGGTTTTGTAGGCCAGGCCCAGGGTCCCCCTGCTGTGTGCAGCCTAGGGACTTGGTGCCCTGCATCCCAGTTGCCCTAGCCATGACTAAAAAGGGGCAAGGTACTGCCTGGGCCATTGCTTCAGAGGGTGGAAGCCCCAGGCCTTGGCAGCTTCCATGTGGTATTGAGCCTGTGAATGCACAGAAGTCAAGAACTGAGGTTTGGAAACCTCCACCTAGATTTCAGAGGATGTTCAGGCAGAAGTTTGCTGCAGGGGTGGGGCCCTCATGGAGAACATCTGCCAGGGCAGTGCTGAAGAGAAATGTGGGGTTGAAGCCCCAAACAGAGTCCTTACTGGGGCACTGCCTAATGGAACTGTGAGAAGAGGGCCACCATCCTCCAGACCCCAGAATTGTAGATCCACTGACAGCTTTAAACTCATGTTTAAAAGGGAAGCAGAGCATAAAAGTTCAGAAAATTTGCAGCCTGATAATGTGACAGAAAAGAAAAACCCATTTTCTGAGGAGAAATTAAAGCCAGCTGCAGAAATTTGCATAAGTAATTTGGAGCCAAATGTTAAAGATGAAGACAATGGGAGAAATGACTACACAGCCTTTCAGAGGCCTTCACGGCATCCCCTCCCATCACAGGCCCAGAGGCTTACAAGAAAAAAATAGTTTTATGGGTCGGGCCCAGGGTCTTGCTGCTTTGTGCAGTCTTAGGACTTGGTGCCCTGTGTTCCAGCTGTGGCTAAAAGGGTCCAACCTAGAGCTCAGGTCATTGCTTCAGAGGGTGCAAGCCTTAAGCCTTGGTGGTTTCCACATGTTGGGCCTGCAGGTATACAGAAGTCAAGAACTGAGGCATAGGAACTTCTGCCTAGATTTCAGAGGAAGTATGGAAACACCTGGATGTCCAGGCTAGTTTGCTATAGGAGCAAAGCCCTTATGGAGAATATTTGCTAGAGTTCAGAAGGGAAATATGGGATTAAAGCCCCCACACAGAGTCCTGACTGGGGCACTGCTGTTGAGAAGAGGGACACCATTCTCCATACCCCAGAATGGCAGATCCACCAACAGCTTGAACCGTGCACCTAGAAAGGCCACAGATACTCAATGCCAGCCCATGAAAGCAGCCAGGAGGGAGGCTGTACCCTGCAAAGCCACAGGGGCAGAGCTGCCCAAGACCATGGGAACCCACCTCTTGGCTCAGCATGACCTACATGTGAGACATGGAGTCAAAGGAGACTATTTTGGAGCGTTAAGATTTGACTGTCCCACTGGATTTTGGACTTGCATGAGGCCTTTAGCCTCTTCATTTTGGCCAATTTCCCTCATTTGGAATGGGTGCATTTATCCAATGACTGCACCCCCATTTTATCAAGGAAGTAACTAACTTACTCTTGATTTCACTGCCTTATGGGTGATAGAGACTTGCCTTTTCTCAGATGAGTCTTTGGACTGTGTAGTTTTGAGTTAATGCTGAAATGAGTTAAGACTTTGAGGGACTGTTGGGAAGGTATGATTGGTTTTGAAATGCGAGGACATGAGATTTGGGAGGGGTTGGGGTGGAGTGATATGATTTGGCCATGTCCCCACTCAAATCTCATCTTGAATTGTAACTCCCACAATTCCCAGGTGTTGTAGGAGAGACCTGGTGGAAGATAATTGAATCATGGGGCTGGATCTTTCTCCTGCTATTCTTAGTAAATAAGTCTCATGAGGTCCGATGGTTTCATAAAGGGGAGTTTCCCTGCACAAGCTCTCTTCTCTTGTCTGCCAGCATGTAAGACATGGCTTTCACCTTCTGCCATGATTGTGAGGCCTCCCTAGCCAGATGGAACTGTGAGTCCAGTAAACATTTTCCTTGTAAATTACCCAGTCTTAAGTATGTCTTTATCAGCAGCATGAAAATGGACTAATACAATGCCTAATGATAAATTATTTGGCACACCTTCTCCAACCTTTAATTAGAGAGTAAATTCTAATGGCCATGAGTTATTGCAAATAATGTCTCTTCACTGTATCCTGGAGATAAATAATTTTAAAAAAGAGAATACTTCCAGTATCCCAAATATTCTTTTGCATATTTTGTTACCTTTATGTGTATTTCTTTACCTCACCTTAGAAGAGCAGTAGTATAGTGTAACATTGTAGTTAGACAACCAGAATTCCAAACTCCTTACACACACTTTTGAGTTGCATGACTTGTGCCTTGGTATCTTAAATGCAAAATAGGAGAATAACAATGACTATCTCCTGGGTTATTGTGAGGATCTGTTGAATGAATATGTGAAATGCCTTTAGGATTATTGCCTGGCATATGGTACTTGCTACCATTTTATTATTGCCTGAGAAAATTCCTACTCATTTTTTTTCTAGATTCTCTTCTATGGACTCTTTTCTGACAGACTTGAACAGAATTAATCATTTCACCTCTGTGTGTCCACTGTATTTTCACTTATACTTTGCTGTTTTTTTTTTGGCTGCAATTCTTACATGGTTATCTCTCCACTACACAATGAGCTTCCTGAAGGCAAGATTATATTTTACATATCTTGAATTTCTGCAACAAAATGATGTGCCAAGCACATACTGCACACATGATTATCACCCCTGGCTGCCTGACAGAATCACTAAGAGGAGTTTTCAAAATATGCATGCCCTGAGATTTGGATGCGATAGGAAATTTGGACTTTTTAGAAGGCTCATGGATTTTCATATTCAGGCAAGCTGAGATTCTCTTTGGTAGGCACACAATAAAGAGGTAAATGAATGAGATATAGTTTCTCTTTGCTTACTATTTACAACAGGAACTGTTCTTATTTTTCATTCATTCTGAATGCCTTGTTGAAAATTTTTAACACTTTTCATATTTTTGTGTGTTTATTAATAAAAAAGAGCTATACATGATATGTTTTAGGTAATAACATTTTTACCTGAATGCTATTATGTATCACTTTTGAACTTTCTCTGGCAAGTCTAAATAATCAAATATAATGCCATTAGGTTTATTTACGAGGGTCTCTGGGTCTTTCTATCTTACATAAAAGAGAGTGTAATTGTGCAGGGAAAAAAATTGAAATGTATAGGAAAGTAGTATCTAAACTTTGAATATGGTTCTACTTTCAGGGATTTCATTATTTGTACTATGGCTATTAAAATTTGTATAATGTTTCCACTGGCCAAATTGGCTAAAACATATACTATGTCCCTCATTATCTCTAAATTTCCAAAATAGAGAAGAGTATATGTCAATACATGGAACAAAATAACTTATTTAGGAATAACAATAAAAAATAAATAGTAAATGAATATAAAATGAAATGTTTAATTGAAATTGTTCCAGCTATTTATTATATAGTATTCATAACCATGAATTCAGTTTGTTGTTGAAAATACAAATACATTTTGATAGAAGTATCTGATATTATTAATAGTTTTTAATTATTATTTTACTAATAGTAGCTTTCTTATTACAGCTAGATTCATAAAATATTTTTTGTTGTTGTTGGCAGAATTTCAAATTTTCCATTGCAGATTTTCAAAAGTTTTGAAATGGAAATCTATGCATCCACGTGCACACACACACAAATAAACACATTTGTTTGTTTTTAAATTTAGAAACAGTATATGAAGAGATATTTAGCAAAGTGCCATTTGATGACCAGGTTAAAGTAAATGGATCTGTACCTGTGTAGTGGCCTTGGAACTGAAAGATAAAAGTGAACCAATGTGTCTTTCTGTAATCCTAGAACAAGTGTACTTTATCAAAAGGCACGTGGTTGGTTAGCAATATATCACCTGCATAAAGAACATGAACAATAGCTTACCTCTTCTCTGAACTGTAGTTAACACCCTAAGTATCATTTATTTATTTATTTATTTGGCTGAAATTTCCATTTACCTTTCCAATTACTTGAATATTTAATTGATACCTATTGTTTTGTTTTGTGTTTAAATATCTCTGGTATTTCTAATAGTCTATCTTTTCAAAATTTAATAATTGCAAAAAATTTTTGGAGGAAAAAAGACATCTAATAATATGGTCCTTCATTCGAAAATTGCTTGTATCATTTAAATATCATATTTCCTTTAACAAACTTAGGCTCATGAATACATATCATTTTTCTACATTACTTCTAGGTCATTTAGGTTGATACTTTGGTTTTCCACAGGTATTACTGTAGAGATGTTTAAAGGATATTTTGTAATATGTACTTGAAACATATTGATTTATTTGGTCTTCTGAATTTTTTAAAATGCCAGTTACAAGGAAAAGTCATTTAATTTTGGGGGCACAATGACCACTGTCATTGAGTTTTATTTAAACTTTCTACAACAGTGGTATTTCATCCCTTTCTTTCATAAAGCTGGAAGCCGATTTCCTGGAACTGTAAATAGGAAATCTACACTTGGGAGATCTATCTTCTCTTATACTCCCAAGGAGGATTCTTTCAAATCTTGATGCAACAGGAAACGTCTAAGTAATTAATGATTATGAGCATACAACTCCTGCTCTGAGCCAGGATTGTATCTTTGTTTACCTTGTCGTTTACTTTTGAATAAGGTCTCAGATTGTGTCCAATAGAGTTTCAAATGATTTCTGATCAACAGAAAAATAATCTGAGGCCGGGAGCAGTGGCTCATGCTTGTAATCCCAGCACTTTGGGAGGCCGAGACGGTCGGATCACTTGAGGTCAGGAGTTTGAGACCAGCCTAGCCAACATTGTGAAACCCTGTCTCAACTAAAAATACATAAAATTATCTGGGTGTGGTGGCTCACGCCTATAATCCCAGCTACTCAGAAGGCTAGGGTGGGAGGAGCTTGAAGTGGGGCTGAGGTGGGAGGAGCTTGAGGTGGGGCTGAGCTTCAACCCAGGAGGAGGAGGTTGCGGTGAGCTGAGATGTGTCACTGCACTCCAGCCTGGGTGACAGAGTGAGAGTCTGTCTCAAAAAAACAAAAACCAAAAACAAAAAACAATAAGAAAAGAAAGTGTTACATTATTTTTATTACTCTGTTAAAATTGATCAGTTTTGTATCTTACCTAGTTTCCTAGTTCCCCAAATATCTAGTTTCTCAAAATGATTTTTGAACCATTTTTTTATATTCATGTTTCCCCTTTAATTCATTGAAAAATTTTTAAGTGTATCATCTTGTACTTGAGAACAAAAAGGTTATGAGCATATTACTAATCTTTATAATTCTTATTTGAGTAGGACTGAACTTTGTTTATTTCACAAAACAGTTTGACGTTATTGTGATGTAGAGGCCACAGAATGCCTCGATAGACTGTCATAGAGACAATGAGACAACTCAAAGTTGAAGTGCTTATTTTCAAGACCAGTCTTTATGCTAAAATTTTATGACTGAAATTATCCTTTGAGTATCTTTTTAGTTACGAAGTACAATGAGAAGATGCTGTTCATGCCAGTGCTTTTCCTAGTGTATTCTGGAAATTCCAACTCATTCATAGGTAATGGACTCCTTCAATTATTTTCCCAATGGTGAAGACTGGTAGGTCTAGACAGACACTGGAAATCACGGATTGCATTATACTATCTCATAAATAAACTTGAAACACATGTCACGCCCAATTTCACAATGTTACTAGCTAATTGTATCAGCATTTTAAGATTCTTGATATTTGAATTTGCTGCTAAGAAGAAGTAAAGCAGCAATAATTAATTGCTATTATTCTATACATTATTACTGTCACAAATTTGTGAGCTATATTATGAAGATGAATAAAGCAACACTTAATTTTGAAATAAAGAATTGGTTTTCTTATTTCATAGAGCTGTATAAGGATACAAGTATACACTTATTTTCCTGAATGCCTACAAATTACTTAGATGTCCTTGGAAGAAGGCAGTTAACTTGGGAACAAAAGCCAAACCCTAAGATAAATTTTCAGTCATCCAAGAAAAAGTAGGATAAAATCTTGAGTTATGTTACAGGGACTAATCAACTAGAGTCCACTGCTTTTTAAAAAATATATTTTAAAATTCAATGTCCTTGTATTTCCTTTTATACTTTTCCTCATGCTTGAGTTATGCACCATTGGTAGTGTTTTAAACCATAGCATCTACAACTTGTCTTTATTGCATATTTTATTGCATACTTGAACAGCATATTTCAAAGCCTGGAGGTTTTTCATATTTGCTTTAGTGAGATTTACGCAATAGAATTTGTAGAGTCAGAAAAAAGGAATCAAGAAAAGAGGGTTGATGACTCTATTTAATGTAACCTTTGACTGCCACAGGGTAACTCAGACCTAAGGAAAAAAATCAAGTATCCAACTTAAACCAATGAAGCTTTAATTTTTTTTTCTAAGTCTCCATTGAAGTTTCAGCTCCACCAGTCTTCACAAGTGACTGATAGTGATGCCAGAATGCCTCCTGGTTTCTTTTCTTCTTTTAATATCAAGAGCAACTTATATAGGGAAATATGCTCACCAGAGTTATAAAATACCCCCCAAAGTATTTACTGAATGCAAGGGCAATGGGAAAAAACCTGACTAGTCCTCAGGCTGTAGAATTCCCTTCAGCAATGGAAGAATATCCTTTGGTATCTGAGGCAATCAATAAACTAGGGTTGCCTCCACTGAGAGCCACATATTTCACGGGCATCATGGTACTATAAGATAAAGCAGAAAAGTTCCAAAACCAAATAGACATAGATTTTATTTGTATTTATTTCCTAATGCTTGTATAATTGCAGAATCAAAAAGGCATAGATTTTAATCCCACCTCTGTGTGGCTATGGACACGTTACTTGACCTTCTGAATGTTAGTTTCCTCTTATGAATAAGAGACATGACCTTGGTATTTTGCTAGCAGATTAAAGGGATATAGAGCACCTGGAACATAATAGACATTCTATAATAACTATTAGTAAAAAATATCAGAACCCATATGGAAAGAATTGTCTTCTATTTTAATTGCTCTTAGATAGTCTGACTGATACTTATTCTTGCCTCACAAGGTAAGGAGTTGATCACGTATATCACGTTCTCTTTCAGTGAGGAATTTATGTCATGTTCTCCCAGGAACTGGAAGAGGAGCTTTTCTGTCAGGGCTTCATGCCAAGCTAAGACATTTTCTCCATTGATCTGCCTCATTTTTCCTGAACTGAAGTTTTGTAATCAAATCTGTGCCTAACCAAGCTGTAAGGAGCTGGAAGTACAATGTTGAGTAAGATATATGGTCCCCACATTGGGGATAGTATAATCTCCCAAACCACTAATTCTCAGTCCCCCTTTAGAATGCCCAGTGCAGAGACCTTGGAGACCCTAAATGCTTCTAGTATTTTTGGAGAACTAATTAACATAAATTGAGATTATCTTAATTTCATTTTCTATTAAAGTAAATTTTTAGACTATTAAAATAAGTCATATGCTACCATACAATTGACTATTGAGAACTTACTTTAGATTTTAAACCCAAAATACATTGTCCTCTCAATCTCCCAACATGTACACCCTTTAAACCACTGTCGCAAAGGAATAATAAGCCATTTACTATTATTATTATTATTTTTTTTTTTTTTTGAGACGGAGTCTCGCTCTGTCGCCCAGGCTGGAGTGCAGTGGCGCGATCTTGGCTCACTGCAAGCTCCGCCTCCGGGTTCATACCATTCTCCCGCCTCAGCCTCCCGAGTAGCTGGGACTACAGGCGCCCGCCACCACGCCCAGCTAATTTTTTGTATTTTCAGTAGAGATGGGGTTTCACTGTGTTAGCCAGGCTTGTCTCGAACTCCTGACCTCAAGTGATCCACCCGCCTCGGCCTCCCAAAGTGCTGGGATTACAGGCGTGAGCCACTGCACCCGGCCTAAGCCATTTATTATTTAAGTGTTTCCTGGGAGGCTACTGACAGGCTAGGGATACAGCAGTGACTAAAATAAACAATATTCTTTCATGGACCTAGCATTTGAGTCTGGGTCTTTTATGGAATGTGTGTTATACCATATTTGAGTGGTGGGAACAATTTTCTTAGAAACATTTCTTCCTCTGTTCTGCAATTGTTTTCTTTGGAAATCATCAGTAATCTGCTAACTGGGCATCAGTGCAGGTAACATAAACATTGATCATCAGAAATATCAGATCTTATGGTTTCTTTTTTCTCTCCAAGGATAGTCAAGACCTAAAGTCCTATTTAGGCCAGAATGACAACTCCAGGTTAGAATTTCATCCACAACATTTATTATTATTTTATTTTTGAACTAAAAAGCTGGACTAAAGCTAATTTTGACAAAGGAAGAATATGGGCTTTTATTTTCATTCTGGCCACGAGACATCAACTTCTTTTCTGCCCAAAGCCATTTACTTACTTGATTTAGTAACCTCCTCACAATAACCAAAAACCAAAAATATTTCAAGGTTAAAGTTATGAATTATTTTATCAGATATTTAATAATCTGGTCAATAGGAGCTGGATCCACTTTAGCTGTGAAAACTGTTTTACATAATAGAAGGAGAGAGCTTTCCTCCTTCTGTTAATTTCCCTCCTATTTAAGTCATGTGTCACAGACATGAGTTAAAATACTGGCTTTGTCACCTGGCTGCCGTGTAGCCTTGGATAAAGGTCTCTTCTGCAATAAACTAAAATTTTCACATCTGTCAGATAAAAATGTTACCATACAGAATGTGTGAGAGGAAATGAATGCCACACACAAAACACCTAATACTGTGTCTAGAACATGGTAAATATTCAAGGAGTGGTAATTATTCTCACTATTATTATCTCATAATTATTTCAGAAATAAGAGGATCAGAATTTGGAAAAAATTAAGTGTGAGCAATGTTGTGGAAATTTAGCAAGAGATGTCGTATTTTTGGTGAACTTGAAAAACTGGATCTGGAAGGAGCCTTCAAAATATCCCTACTATTAGAATTTCCTTCTCTCTCAATCTGTCAGAGAATGTTGAGGACATCTTCATTGAAGAACTATAGTAGAGTATTCTCTACTTTTAATATGTATACCTACAATTATATCTATATATTTATATTTATACTTTTTTTTATATTTATAAAAATCACATTCAAACTTTTGAAATCACCAGTTGGCTAAAACTTTTTATATGCAAAAATTGGTGTAGATGAGAAAAAGTTATATAAATTAAGAGAAACAATAGTCTCAAAACATTACTATATCATGGATAAACTCCATCACTCACTTGTTGCAAAATATTGCAAGTGAGTAGTGGAGTTTTTCCGTGACATAGTAATGTTTTGAGAATATGTATGTTTACATTTATATTTTTATATTATACATCTTTATATTATACATTAAAATATATCTTAATATTACATTATATATTTATACTTTTATATATATATCTATATATATATCTATATATATATATCTATCTCACATTCAAACTTATGAAATCACCGCTTGGCTAACAATTTGTATATGCAAAAATTGGTGTAGATAAGAAAAAGTTATATAAAGTAAAGAGAAACAAAACATTACTTTCTTGTGGTTAAACTCTATTACTCACTTGCAAAATTTAATAAATTTTGCAAAATGCTAAATATGCACGTTTAAAATTAAACTGAATTTTTGGCTATTACTGTGTAAGAAAAAAGTAATACTGATTAAAATCTTTCTCTAAAGAGAAAATACTATAGCATTTTACCCTTAAAAAAAAAAAGCATGCCTTGAGACCTACCTGTTCTCATTTCATATTCTGCAAAGTCAGCTTCGAAATGCCCAATACAGCCTCCATAATTGAGAACAAATGGCATTTTAAAATATGGTACATGACAGCTGAATGAGAAAAAAAATCACACTTAGTAATCTTTAAGGATAATTTTTCTGTGTGAAAAGAGAAGGGTCTAATGAGAGTTCCTATTAACGACCAAGAGGTCCAACAAAGAAATGAACTTAATACCTTTCTCTGTTAACTCTACATTATTTTGACATTGGTTATGTAAGACAAGCTTTGCTTTGTATCATAACATTTTACTTCTCTCATTATCATTTAGTGCTTCAAGTCATTTATAAACTCATGGAGATAAGATGAAATATAATGCTTGAAGGGGATAGAGAAGACTTTTTTTTTCTAACGTAATCTTGTTTACTTTTTCCATTCTGTAGGAAGCCAAGTTTTACCTTTACCTTTGGGCAACTGGGAACTATGTTTAAGCCTCTAAATTTAAAAATATTTTGTTGGTTTTCTATCTGTGAAAATATTAAAAACTGTAAATGCTAAAGCCAGGGGGTAAAAAATGTTTTATTGAAATTCTTGTGGATCAAGGGCCAGTGGCTAAAGGAATCTCACTTTTCAAAAACTCTCTTATTGGTCAAAGGTTAGTCGGACTTCTCTGAATCCTCTTCTTGACTTAGCCTTACCTTGGCCCCAGTACTTGCTGGGCCCACATAGTTTAGTTTTAGTAAAAATCCTGCCGGGCCAGTGACATGGTTTGGCGATTTCCCCATCCAAATCTCACCTTCAATTGTAATAATCCCGATGTGTCAAGTGTGGGGCCAGGTGGAGATAATGGAATCATGGGGGCAGTTTCCACCATACTACTCTCTTGATAGTGAATAAGTCTCATGAGATCTGATGGTTTTATAAATGGGAGTTCCCCTGCACAAGCTCTCTTACCTGCTGCTATGTAAGAAGTCACTTTGCTCTTCCTTCCTCTTCCACCATGATTGTAAGGCCTCCCCAGCCATGCTGAAACATGAGTCAATTAAACCTCTTTCTTTTATAAATTACCTAGTATCTGGTACGTCTTTATCAGCAGCCTGAGAACAAACTAATACAGTAAATTGGTACTGGTAGGCTGGGGTGCTGCTGCAAAGATACCTGAAAATGTGGAAGTGACTTTAGAACTGGGTAACAGGCAGAGGTTGAAACAGTTTGGAGGGCTCAGAAGGCAGGACAATGTGGGAAAGTTTGGAAATTCCCAGAGACTTGTTGAATGGCTTTGACCAAAATGCTAATAGTGATTTGGACAATAAAATAAGGCTGAAGCTGTCTGAGATGGAGATAAGAAACTTGTTGGGAACTGGAGCAAAGGTGACTCTCTCTTGCTATGTTTTAGCAAAACGACTGGTGGCATATTGCCCCTGCCCTAGAGATCTGTGGAAATTTGAACTTGAGAGAGATGATTTAGGGCATCTGGTGGAAGAAATTTCTAAGCAGTGAAATGTTCAAGAGGTGACTTGGTGCTATTAAAAGCATTCTGTTTTATGTAGTCACAAAGATACGGTTTGAAACTGAAACTTAATGTTTAAAAGGGAAGCAGAGCATAAAACTTCAGAAAATTTGCAGCCTGATAATGTGATAGAAAAGAAAAACCCATTTTCTGAGGAGAAATTAAAGCCAGCTGCAGAAATCTCCATAAGTAACTTGGAACCAAATGTTAAAGATGAAGACAATGAGGAAAATGTCTGACAGCCTGTCAGAGGTCTTCATGGCATTCCCTCTCATCAAAGGCCTGGAGGCTTACATAGAAAAAATAGTTTTGTGGGTAGGGCCCAGGGCCTTGCTGCTTTGTGCAGTCTCAGAACTTGGTGCTCTGTGTCCCAGGCATGCTAAAAAGGTCCAATTTAGAGCTCAGGTCATTGTTTCAGAGGCTCCAAGCCCCATGCCTTGTGGTTTCCACATGGTATTGGGCCTGCAGGTGTATGGAAGTCAATAACTGAGGTATGGGAACCTCCGCTTAGCTTTCAGAGAATGTATGGAAACACCTGGGTGTCCAGGCCAAAGTTTGCTACAGGGGCAAAGGCCTTATGGAGAATCTTTGCTAGGGTTTGGAAGGGAAATATGGGATGAAAGCCCCCACACGGAGTCCTGACTGGGGCACAGCCTAGTGAAGATGTTGAGAAGAAGGACATCATTCTTCAGACCCTAGAATGGTAGATCCACCAATAGTTTGCACTGTGCACCCGGAAAAGCCACAGACGCTCAATGCCAGCCCATGAAAGCAGCCAGGAGGCAGCTGTACCCTGAAAAGCCACAGGGAAAGAGCTGCCCAAGACCATGGGAACCCACCTCTTGCATCAACATGATGGGAATGTGAGACATGGAGTCAAAGGAGATTATTTTGGAGCTTTAAGATTTGAGTGCCTTGCAGGATTTTAGACTTGTATGGGGTCTGTAGCCCCTTTGTTTTGGCCAGTTTCTCCCATTTGGAATTGGTGTATTTACCCATTGCCTGTACCCCCATTATATCTAGAAAGTAACTAACTTGTTTTTTGTTTCACTGGCTAATAGGTGGAAGAGATTTGCCTTTTCTCAGGTAAGACTTTGGACTGTGTACTTTTGAGTTAATGTTGAAATGACTTAAGACTTTGGGGGACTGTTGGGAAGGCATGATTAGTTTTGAAATGTGAGCACAAGAGATTTGGAAGGGGTCAGGGGCAGAATGATATAGTTTGGTTGTGTCCCCACCCAAATCCCACCTTGAATTGTATTAATCTCCACTTTTCAAGCGTGGAGTCAGGTGGAGATAATTGAATCATGGAGATAGTTTCCCCCATGCTGTTCTCGTAGTAGTGAATAAGACTCACTAGATCTGATGGCTTTATAAATGGGAGTTCCTGTGTACAAGTTCCCTTGCGCAGGAGAACTCTTCTTGCCCACTACCATGTAAAAAGTCTGTTTGTTCTCCCTTTATCTTTGCCATGATTGTGAGGCCTCCCCAGCCATGTGGAACTGTGATTAAATTAAACCTCTTTCCTTTGTAAATTTCCCAGTCTCAGGTACGTCTTTATTAGCAGCATGAGAACAGACTAATACAGCCAGTTTAGAGAGAATTTCTTCCCTCCATATCTGATTAAATTTCTCATTCTTCACCTTTGATGCATAAGTCCTAGGCCTGCCTTCAGCGTGAATCCTGTTCAGTCAGTTTAGCAAGAAGACTCCCTACCCTTGATGTCTTCTTTTAGTGATTTTCACCTGTTGACCCTTGAATCTGCTCTTTGGCTAAATGGCTATATAACTCCACTTTTTGTATTTGCATTTGGAGTTTATTAACAAAAGATCACAACATCTGCAGAGAAAAGGGGGAGAGCTTTATTTTCCATATAAAAAGACATCTGCAGATTGCGGAGACATGCTTTTGGTACAAGGCACTGTCTTGTACCAAAGTGTGTTCTCTGAAGAACACTGGGAGGGTCTGGTTTAAACAGGAAAAGTTCTTACCTTGGTTCTCAATCAAGTCCATTTGTGCAAATGAAGGACACAATCGTGTACAGTTATGATTGGGCAAAACACTCAAGCTCTCATTGGATAGTTTCCAAGTCCCAAAACAGAAGTCCCTGTCAGATATTTCTTTCAAACAACTGGTGGGGGTAGAAGTGGTGTTCCAGCTACAGTTTTACTTGGCATGGACAACAAGAACTGGTTTGGCTTGATTGTAGAAAGGGAGGTCCTGTGAAACTTTTACATTACAATGTCTGTCTGAGAACAAAGAGTAATTGATTGCTCTCTCACCCAGTCATGATCTCCTGGCTCTGTTTTAATATTTAGCATCTCTGTTGGCCACAGATGTCCATTTTTATCTATTGGTCAGGGCACTTTAACAAGGTGAGCCTGATCTGTCTGCCGTATTGTTAGAGGCTTGATACTTACGATAGCTCTGAGTAAAGTCTTTCTTGCTATTTCAAAGTGTCAAAATATTTTTTTCTGCAACAGTGGTAAAACCAAGTATGGAACCAGGTTTGCTGAACTCAAAATCCTTGTTCCTTCCCTTAGATTATTATATCTCATCATTTGATAATTTTATTCATTATTATTAAATTTATATTTTCTTAAACCAGACAAATTAAAATATCTTTAATAAAAAAGTAGCAGACAGATAATTCTATATTGGTTAGTAATGACCAAGAGGCATTCAACAGATTTTCAAAATAAAATTTTTCTTCGTGTAATAAAGTATTTATAATATGGCCTTTATATGTATCTATATAAAGAATATATATATAGATTCAATATATATTTAGATTCATAGATATATTCTTTATATATATTCTTTATATATATATTCTTTATATATATTCTTATATATATTCTTTATATATATCTATGAATCTATATATATATTCTTTATATAGATATATATACACATAAAGATTATTATATCTATAAAATAATTTGTGCAGTCTTGGAATATCACATATCGTCTGTGGACCCAGCAGCTGCTCTAAACCATTCAGTAAACTTACTTGTTTTCAAACATATTTAATATTAACAAATAATTAAAATTAACAGAGTTTTTTTTTTTTTTAATTCAGATGGGGTCTCATTCTGTCACCCAGGCTGGAGTGCAATGGTGCCATCTCAGCTCACTGCAGCCTCTGCCTCCCAGGCTTAAGCAATCCTCCCACATTAGCTTCCTGAGTAGTTGGAACCACAGATATGCGCCACCACACCTGGATAATTTTTCTGTATTTTTTGGTGGAAGCATGGTTTTGCCATGTTGTCCAGGCTGCTCTCGAACTCCTGGGCTCAAGTGATCCACCTGCCTTTGCATCCTAAAGTGCTGGGATTACAGGTGTGAACCATCGCAGTTGGCAAGCACAGTATTTTTTAATTGACTTAACTTTTTAGAACTTTTATAGTTAAGCCCGAACATTAGCTAATATGTTGCATGGGATTGGTTTGCAATATATTCATTAATTAAAGGTTCGTTAAATGTTGAACAGCTATATGAAAGTAAGCTTCCAAATAAAGTTTTCTATTGAATTATACCTTCATTTATTCATTAAGTAGTCATATCTGGTATTATTATTCTTATTGCTAACACAGAAAATGTAACAAAAATTCTTATTAGAAAATTTTTATTTTTTTGAGGTAGCTCCGATGTCTTGGTTTCATCACAAGTAAGTATACACAATTAGAGCTGGTTTTTAAAATCTGATGTCTTATATGTTGGCTGTTTTTAAAAAGGACTGTTGTTATTTATTACTTAAAAAGTGAGACAAGAATATTTTTCTTTTCCTTCATAGTTGATGCTTTCCTTCTACCTTATCAGAAACTTTAATTTGCCTAACATTATTGCTGCATCATGACTGGACTACACTGTCCTCTGCTCTTAATTGCTCATCTGCTTTTCATTACCTGTATAAAACCACACCAGAATCTGTTCTTTGCTATGTTACACGAACAATGAGTTTTTAAAGACTTTTTATTCAGTTTAATTTGTTTTTTGCTCAACTTAAGAAAAAAATTACATAAACAAACTAGCCATCTTCAGTCACAAATGTTTTACTTGTATTAATTTTGAAATCCTATGAAAAGTAACATTTATAATACCAAATAAAATAGTTACTAGTGTCCTAAGAAGATATTATCATTTTTACAGCCACTGCATGAAGTACTTAATTATTACAATGCTCAAATTTCAATTTGAAAAGTTTAATTTACTTCTCTGGATTGCCATAAACAGTAAATAACAATGCCTGGACCTGTATTTTTAACTCCAAACTTAGAGAATTTTCTACTCTTTCTTTACAAATTTACTCTGTAAGTCATAGATAGTGTTGGTGCTTTATTATGGTTTTTGTATCTATGAATCTATTTCTATGCACTTCAGAAATGTTCTTACTGTATCTCGAAGAATATTAAAACTGAAACTCGAGGGTTGCAATAGTAAATCCAAAAAATAGCTAGGTTTTATTTAAGGGTATCCATTTCAACATAGAGAAAAGGACATTTTTAATGTACACTTAAGCGTACATTAATGAAAGCTAGTCCAATATCAAAAATCTTCTGCCCGTATATACTCTATTAAAGAGTGTCATTAGCTTTAATTATTTTGAATATTTACTCTCTTTTGGTTATTAACATTGTGAGATAAATACTGTAGCTTTAAAATGATTCTTAAAAACACCAGGATATAATATGTATATTTGGTCTGCTAAAAATTCATTCAGCCCACCCCTGTTTATCAATAGCACCCCTTAATCCATACCTCTCACTGTTCCTTGTTCCAATAAGCTAAGGCAACACTAGCATCTGTCTGCAGCAAATATGCTCAGAATTTGCTAACAGATTCTGATGAAAACCAAATAAGCAAAGAATACAATGTGAAGATAGAAGTGGTTTAGATTTCTTTTTTGGCTTGCTACTTCATTCTTGTTAGGCCCCTGCCTGACTCCCATCAAGCTCAGCTCAATTTTATTTAAGCCTCTGGTGTATAGACTGCATTTGTCATCACAGCTGATAAAAGCAGAATTTATATAATTTTACTGATTTTTGCAACCTTTCTACTGAATTCAATTTGAAGTCAAATCTATTACAACATATAAAATATGCAAAGAAATATGGCCTCAAAATACAAATGTATAGCATTTGGTATTAAACATCTTGAGTGAGAATGAGCTGTCTTACTGTGTAGAAGTTGATATTAGTATTGCAAAAATTCATAAGGCATTTGGACTGGGCCAAAGTTATGCTCAACACTGCATTTGGGGCTGAAATCTCCCTTTCAGCCTAGAGCCAGCCTTACCTGTGTTTATCATTTGTTTTTTTAATTCTCACTGAAAACAACCGCAAGTTTCAAAGATTAGTCTTCCTGAAAATTTTCAAAGCAGATTTTATCATAAAATATTTATTTTTATTCACCGTTGAATGGAAAGCAAATAAACCACATAGTGCTTTTCAAGTAAATGACAAACATGCTGTATTCCAAGAATGCGCCATCTAGATTAGATCCACTGTGTAATCCAAACATTGGCTTACTAACGAGTGATCAAGCTGGTTTCTTTTATACTTCTTATTATTAATGGTTCAACAATGCTATGAAAAACAAAGTAGTAGAAAAATATATTAGATACTGCATTGTGAGTGAATGGTAGAAAACAGAAAAATATGTTGAACAGTTAATGTAGAAAAGAAAAATAATCTTGAAAAAACATATCAACACTTTTAAGTGGTTGATAATGAGAGTTCTTACATATTTAACTGCAAATTTTTTCGACTTTCTATTTTCCTAGGAAATATATTTGAGATACTAGAATTATTACTTCTCTAACAGACATTTTGAGCTGCTTCTGTAAAAATTGATGAGTATTAAAATCAAATTGGCTGGCAAACAAAATGTTAAATGTTGTGAAGGTGATCAAACTAACACTTGATTTTTATAATTAGTAAGGCTTGGATTCGAAACAACCCTATTGCCCAAACTACCAAACAATGAGAAATGCTGTTGAAATCCTTCGTGATTACTCTTGTTTAATTTTCATTTGTATCTCTAAAAACATCTGAAAAATTGTTGACAATCAAATTTTGAATGTGCCATAATGTTAAATAGTCAATGCCAATGATATGGTATTAAAAAATCCTATATAAATTTAAGTATTTGTTTTTACTCCTTCCCTTTCTCCCTTACTCTTGGTCTTTCTTTCGCCCTTCCTCTTTTCTCTCTCTCTCTTTCAACCTCTCTTCTTCCTTTCTTCCTTCCTTCGTTGTTCCTTTTCTTTCTTTCCACTTCTTGAAATATGAGATTAAAATGAATATACTCTATTAATATCAAATTATTTTATGCAATATAAGTTGCGTGGTTACAATCCTTAAGATAAAATCTGAAATAACATTTTTAACCTATCATTTTAATATTCATCTCTAAAAAATGTTCATATAAAAATAAATATAAATATATTTGATATACATAAAATATAGTTTTAAAATATATACCAATTCAGAAAGAAAATTTGTTATTTTTAAAGGAGGAAATATCTATAGTTTTATATCTATATAGATATTTGCAGATAAATATTGGGAAAAACTTGCAAACTAAGACTTTTTTTAAAACCTTGTTTTTATTGTCACTGCTTGATTTTCAGCTCTCCTGCTATCACCGTCCAAGGCCTATCTTCTTTCATCTTGAAGAGATTGCTGTTGCTATGCTCTGTTCTGCACCTCAGATTGAACTTCAGCTATCCCATATCATATTCCATGAGGTCACAACTTCTAGGTGATACATAAGGAATGTGTTGATAGCTAATGTCACATTGGGATAAGGGCAGAAAAATAAATCACTGAAGTGTTTGATAAAGATCACCTTTTAAAGGAGATTTTTCCCCTTCACTTCAGCAAGATCATTTATTTAGGATCGGTGTATTTTCTTCTCAAGGTTTCCAGAAAACCAGTCTCAGTCACCTTACCCCCGGTTTTTTCAGTATGTTGTAGACTGAACATCATGATCGTCTTCCTTATGCTCAGCTGAATCCTCTACTGGCTTTGTTTAAGTCAATTTCTTCAGTTGTTCCTCTGAAAAGAATGCAATAAATAGCAGCTTTCTGAAGCATGAAAAAGAAAGTCTTTATTTGTGAAAATTGACAAAATTACACAAATTCCCTTAGAAGAAAAAATGTGGGTCATAAGCACAGGAATGAATGCCACCGAATAGAAGAATACCAAGTTTTAATAGGTAAACTAGATTTTAGTACACAGATGTCTTTTCTTACACAAAACCAGACAATTGCAGGTTTGAGCAGCTTATTGTATAGTCATTGCTGCCTCTTCAATAACTCATTTTGATATTTTGTAATTTGCCAAAATGTGCCTTTGTGATCCCACAGGCTCTTAACTACTTTGTAATGAGTGTGTATGAACAGATGGAAAATGTTTTCAATTTCAGAGAAAACCACTAATGGATGTTACCAGCTATTAGAAAAGCTCAGGTGGCTCCGTTTTCCAAGGAAAGGTATTGTCATAAAACTCTTCATTTTTCAATGAAATGTTTGCTCATTTATATCTAGATGGTAATTTAAGACTTCAAAGTCTTAACAGATTAGAACGATAGTTGGAAATTATTCAGTGCTAAATAGCCTGGAAATCCAATCTCAAGAATCTCACCTGAAAACGGTAATGCCAATTCAGGTCATTTTATTAGAACAACATGAACTACTATAAAAACAATTTCCCTAAAGAAGTAGATAAAGCAATTTAACTAAAAAGTTAAATGTATGCTTGAGATTTGGTGATGATACCTTTCCTAAAGAAGAAAGAAGTATGTCTTCTGTCCTCAATTTGCATTCCAAACAAATGCATCTTCTCAAAGAAAAACACATCAAAAGAATGATTACAACAGAGGTTGTTTCCAAAACATAGTATATCTTACATTCAAAGATATTTACTAATTCTCCAAAATGCAAAGCCATTGGTCTTTTAATTCTCCCCTAAAAACTCATACCAGTTTCTTTTACAATGCTCTTAGTCTAATATCCTGCTAAAGAGACAGACATACTTCTGGCCTAATTAGTTTATTTTAGGTTATTGTTACTATCTTTTTTATCTAATAAAATTGTGGTCAAAAATAAATGCAACACCATCTGTACAATGATTGATCTAGCATGTGTTTATTTACTTGGGGCTCCAACAACAGGAATTATTTAAATGTAAGTTAGGAATAAAGGGAGTTAGTACTTACTTCCTAGCAAAAACAAATTCTGTTAATTTTAGGATGGCTATATCATTCCATTTCTTTCTTACTTGGATATGCGTGTTCAGTATGTATTTCGAATAAGCTCTATCCTCTTATCATAGAAAATAGGTAAGCAAACACTACCCAAAATGCTGACACTATAGATCACTTTTAGTGACATGCACATCATAATAGATATATTTTAATAAAAGTGCTTTAATACGGAAAAAACTATTAAAATCTATAGCTCTAAGGCATATGTTATGTGTACATTGAAGATTGTTTATTTTTTATTTCACTATGGAGATAAACACAGACAGTGGCACTTCTAGTGCTGAATTGCAGAGCAGTGGCAATGTAGCAATGTGGCAATAGAAATGTGCATAAAAGGAACCACTATTTTTAAAAACGAAATTACTCTAAGGCTATCTGTTTTGTTCTCAATGACCTTTATGCACAGATTCACATATTTAATATAATTCCTTAAACAAGACAAATTACATGTACCTCTTTTGGTTATTATTATTATTTTTTCTTATAGATGCCAGAAAGTTTTCACTTGGGGTTCCATTCTTAAACCACAGATTGTGGATCTAATTTTTTTATCTTCACTCTACACCTTTTATGATTTGGCTTTGATTTTTTTTATTATGTTCTAATAGATCTTAGTCATATAGTATTTAACATACTTTGTTTTAATGTCAAATGAAATCACCTCCCATCATTTGTTTATATAGATGTAGTTTTAAGTATAAATGAATTTATTATTCATAAGATGGCCTTACTCATCTCATAGTATTTTAAATTCATCAAAGAATAGAATATAAAAGGATAGAAAATATTGTCATGAAAAAGACTCAATATTAAACATAAAAGAAAAACTGTGGAAGCAACTTCAAGTTGTCTAATATATATGTAATTGGAGTCCTTGAAAAAGATGTGAGGCAAGAAGAGTAAAAATAGTGAAAGTAATAGGAGCTAGAATTTTCCCAAATAAAAATAAAACATCCACAGATAATCTCAGCAAACCGCAAGCAAAGAAACATGAAGAAAAACTTCAAGTCACTTTCTGAGTTATTATGTAAAGAGGAGCAAAAATACTAGGGTGCTAGCACATTTCTTGTGAGAAACAATGCAAGTGAGAAGACAATAGAGCTGTGTTCCTCAGCCTTTCCTTTGTTATCACCCTCATCCAGACATTTTAAATAATGTTTTCCTTAATCACTTTCACCTGATTAAATTTCAATACTGAAGATATACAAATACCAGTTTATGTACTGTGCCTCTTTTGAGGGCTAAAAACTACTGTAATGTGAATTTCATCCCCTCTTTCCGAAAATCTATTTTCACTTCCTTGATGATGATACTGCCCTTGAGGATGCATGCAGTAAGCATCTGAATAATGGAGGGAGCTATCCACCAGGAATTCTATACCCAGCAAAATTCTGTCACGAGCGTGCGTGTGAAGAGACCACCAAACAGGATTTGTGTGAGCAATAAAGCTTTTTAATCACCTGGGTGCAGGTGGGCTAAGTCTGAAAAGAGAGTCAGCGAAGGGAGATGGGGTGGTGCCATTTTATAGGATTTGGGTAGGCGATGGAAAATTACAGTCAAAGGGGATTGTTCTCTGGTGGGCAGGGGTGGGGGTCACAAGGTGCTCAGTGGGGGAGCTTCTGAGCCAGGAGAAGGAATTTCACAAGGTAATGTCATCAGGTAAGGCAGGAACTGACCATTTTCACTTCTTTTGTGATTCTTCAATTGCTTCAGGCCATCTGGATGTATATGTGCAGGTCACAGGGTATATGATGGCTTAGCTTGGGCTCAGAGGCCTGACATTCCTGTCTTCTTATATTAATAAGAAAAATAACATAAAATAGTGTTGAAATATTGGGGCAGTGCAAATTTTGGAGGGGGGTGGTATGGAAAGATAATGGGTGATGTTTCTCAGGGCTGCTTCAAGCGGGATTAGGGGTGGTTTGGGAACCTAGAATGGGAGAGATTAAGTTGAAGGAAGATTTTGTGATAAAGGGTGATATTGTGGGTTTGTTAGAAGGAGGATTTGTTGTACAGAATAGTTGGTGATGGACTGGATATGGTTTTGGATGAATTGAGAAACTAAACAGAAGACACAAGGTCCAAATAAGAGAAGGAGAAAAGCAGATATTAAAGGACTAAGAATTGGGAGGACCTAGAACATCTAATTAGAGAGTGCCCAAGGGGGTTCAGCATAATTACTTGCTGGGTTAGCAAGTTTTTTTGCTCTATCCTTGAGTTATTTATGTTGTCATATACCAGGCCAGATTGATTTAGGTAAAAACAACACTTTTGATTTAAAAATATACGGTCTCCTTTTTTTTTTTTTTTTTTTTTTAGAAGTGAGTAAGTTGAGACCTCTGCAATTTTGGAGGAAAGACAAATGCAAAGCCAGCAATTGTATTTTAAAGAAGGATTAGAAATGGCTAGGAGAGAGTGAGTGAGATTGATAGTGTGGTGGAGATAGCTGGGGAGAGGTAGAGGGTGGCATAAGAATGGGAAGGATAATAAGAGTGAGTATAAAAGTAAAGAATAGGACTTCATCAGGGTGAAAGTATTGGAGGGTGCCCTGCCAGCAAAGATTATTTATTCACTTTAAGAGGGAGTTAAGAGTGGTGGTTTGGGGATAGCACCAGGAGATATCAGCTGTGATGGCTTGGAGAAATGGTGTAAACTGGCAGTGTAAACAAGAGCAGGGCATTTATGAGTAGTTGAGAGTGGTGAATAGGAGTATGACTAGACAGAAGATAGTAGGGATGACAAGTTTTTGGGGTGCAGTCCAAGTTGGGCTGGTGTCTGGAATGAGACTGGAGCCTAATAAAAAGGAATGTCCATACAGGAGCTCAAAAGGACTGTACCTGTAACATCCTGAGGACAGGCCCAAATTCTGAAAAGGGCAAGTGGTAAAAGTATTGTCCAGTCCTTTTTAAGTTGCAGGCTGAGCTTGGTGAGGCGTGTTTTTAAAAGACCATTAGTCCATTTTACGTTTCCTGAAGATTGAGGACAGCAAGGGGTATGAAGTTTCCACTGAATACCAAGAGCCTGAGAAACTGCTTGGGTGATTTGACTAATAAAGGCTGGTCCGTTATAGAGGTGGGAAGGCCGAACTGAGGAATTATGTCTGACAGAAGGGAAGAAATGACCGCAGTGGCCTTTTCAGACCCTGTGGGAAAGGCCTCTACCCATCCAGTGAAAGTGTCTACTCAGACCATGAGGTGTTTTAGTTTCCTGACTTGGGGCATGTAAGTAAAGTCAATTTCAGTGGGGAAGTAAGTAGGAGTGACTGATGAGAAGGAGAAAAATTGGCCATGAGGGACAGAAGTTAGAACGCTAGCTGCTTCTTTAGCTACCTTATTAGCATAAGTGTTTCCCTGAGTGATGGGATCTGATGCCATTTGATGGCCTTTGAAGTGAATGACTCCAGCTTCCTTTGGAAGTAAAGCAGCCTTGAGAAGAGTTCTTATTAGAGGCATTAATGATAGAGGACCTTTGCATAGCGAGGAAATCTTTTTCAGCCCACATGACAGCACGGTGGTGCAGGATATGGGAGACATATTTAGAGTCAGTGTAAATATTGACACGTAGTCCCTTTGCAAGAGTGAGGGCTCAAGTTAAGGCAATGAGTTCAGCTTGCCCACAGGTAGTGGGTGGGGGGGCAGAGCAGTAGCCTCAATGATAGATGTGGAAGATACTATAGCATAGCCAGCCTTTGCTGGTGAGTGGCGATTAGGCCTGGTGGAACTGCCATCAATAAACCAAGTGTGAACAGGATGAGGAACCAGAAAAAAGGAAATATGGGGAAATGGAGTGAATGCCAGGTGGATCAGAGAGATACAGTCATGGGGGTCAGGTGTGGTATCAGGAATAATGTGGGGGCCAGCCTAAAACAGTAAGGTCAAGTTGTTTGCACAGAAAGGCTACAGGGCACGGTCCCAGCTCTTGTGTAAGAATTTTGACCACACAGCCCTGTACTTTGGCTGTGTGTAATAAAAAGGATTGGGATGAGTTAGGGAGAGCTAGTGTGGGAGCAGCTTCTAGGGTTGTTTTGTAAGGAATGGAAAGGGGAGTGGGGAAAGGATTTAGGGTCTATGGGGTCAGCTAGGTATCCTTTTGTGAGTTTATATAATGGTTTACTCAGGATCGTAAAACTAGGTATCCAAAGGCAGAAGTACCTAACCGTGCCTAGCAAGGAAATGAGTTGTTGTTCTGTAGAAGAGGTTGAAGTTTAGGAGATTAACCAGACATGATCAGCCGGGAGAGCACATGTGTTTTTATGAAGAATTATGCTGAGATAGGTAATGGATGAGGAAGAAATTTGGGCTTGACTGAAGTAATGGGGGCTGTCTGTGAAGCCTTGCAGCAGTACAGCCCAGGTAATTTGCTGAGCCTGATGGGTGTCAGGGTCAGTCCAAGTGAAAGCGAAGAGAGGCTGGGATGAAGGGTGCAAAGGCATAGTAAAGAAAGCATGTTTGAGTTCCAGAACAGAATAATGGGTTGTGGAGGGGTTGTGGAGGGAGGTATTGAGGATAGGAGAGTATATGGGTTTGGCACCACGGGGTGGATAGGCAAAATAATTTGGTTGATAAGGTGCAGATCCTGAACTAACCTGTAAGGCTTGTCCGGTTTTTGGACAGGTAAAATGAGGGAATTGTAAGGAGAGTTTATAGGCTTTAAAAGTCCATGCTGTAACAGGTGAGCGATAACAGGCTTTAATCCTTTTCAAGTGTGCTGTGGGATGGGATATAGGCATTGAGCAGGGTAAGGGTGATTAGGTTTTAGTGGGATGGTAAGGGGTGCATGGTCGGTCACCAAGGAGGGAGTAGAGGTGTCCCATACTTGTGGATTAAGGTGGGGAGATACAAGAAGAGGATGCAAAGGAGGCTTTGAACTGGGGAAAAGAGCAGCAATGAGGTGTGGCTATAGCCCAGGAATAGTCGGGGAAGCAGATAATTTAGTTAAAATGTCTTGGCCTAATAAGGGAACTGGGAAGGTGGGGATAAATAAAAAGGAGTGCATAAAAGAATATTGTCCAAGTTGGCACCAGAGTTGGGGAGTTTTAAGAGGTTTGGAAGCCTGGCCGTCAACACCCACAACAGTTATGGAGGCAAGGGCAACACAACTTTGAAAAGAAGGTAATGTAGAGTGGGTAGGCTCCATATTGACTAAGAAGGGGACGGACTTTTCACTGCAAGAGTTACCCAAAGCTTCTGTGATGGTCCAGGAGGCTTCTGAGGCGATTGGGCAGCATCAGTCTTCAGCTGCTAAGCTGAGAAGATCTGGGAGGGAGTCAGTCAGAGAGCCTTGGGCCAGAGTTCTAGGGGCTCTGGGAGTGGCTCCTGGGAGAGTTGCACAGTCCGATTTCCAGTGGGGTCCTGCAGAGATGGGACACGGCTTAGGAGGAATCCCAGAATGCAGGCATTCCTTGTCCCAGTGGCAAGATTTCTGGCATTTGAAGCAGGATCCTGAAGGAGGAAGTCCTGTGGGAACGCTTGACTGCTGTGGCTTAGGCATTTTGAATTTCTTGTGTGCTGGAGGTGTGGCTAGGGTTTCTCTCACAGTGGAGGCAAGGAATTTCAACTCAGAAATATGTTGCTACTTGGCAGCCTCTACTCTATTATTGTACAACTTGAAGGCGAGGTTAATTAAGTCCTGTTGTGGGGTTTGAGGGCCAGAATCTAATTTTTGGAACTTTATTTAATGTTGGGAGCAGATTGGGTAATAAAATGCATATTGAGAATAAGACAGCTTTCTGACACTTCAGGGCCTAGGGCTGTAAAGCATCATGAACTGGGCTGGGTTTTTATATTTGATGAAAAAGAGCCTAAATGCTAACTGAGTTGGGAGAGGTCAGATAAAGAAAAGGGAGCATTAACCTTGACTATACCTTTAGCTCTAGCCACCTCTTTAAGAGGAAATTGTTGGGCAGGTTGGGGAGGACTAGTCACAGAATGAAACAGTAAGCCAGACAGGGTGTGAGAAAGGAAGGTGATAGAAGGATTATAGGGTGGGGGAGCGGAGGCTGAGGAAGAACTGGAGCCTGATTCAGCCTGGCAGGGAGCGACCTGAGGAGGAGCAGTCTGGGGAAGAGGGGAGAGGTCAGATGGGTCAGTAGAAAAGGAAGATTGAAAAGACTCAGCGATGCTTGGGATTGGGACTGAGGGGACAGGTGGGAGGGAAAGAAGGAGGATTTGGGACAAGTTGCATTGGAAACAGAGCTATTCGGTAGGCTGAGGCAGGAGAATGGCGTGAACCCGGGAGGCGGAGCTTGCAGTGAGCAGATATCGCGCCACTGCACTCCAGCCTGGGTGGCAGAGCGAGACTTTGTCTCAAAAAAAAATAGATGGCAAACTGGAAAACAGGACTTACAATGAATGTTCCTTGGTGGTAATTATTCTTTCTTATGCCTATAAATGACTGCTCATGACCTTTAAATCCACTCTGGCTCTTGAACCACCTTTTGAGGCATATTCCCATTTTCATGAAATTTAGCACATGTTTACAGCTCAATAGTTTTCTCGACCTGCTTCCTTCCAGTTAATTTTGGATGTCTAAAGGACTCTTTTCACTTTGTGCTTTCTGTTTCTCTCAGTTCAAGCTGGCAGGCTGCTAAATATGGAAGTATTTTAAAACTGTTGGTCTCCTATGAATCTTACTTCTGTTCACTCCATTGTACAAATATTAAAAGATTTCTTTGAAACAAACTGTTTTCTAACTCATATTTCTCCTAAGGAACAATGCCCTTACACTTTTTAGAAACCCTGTTTTTTTAATTGAGAGAATCTGAGAGTCATAGTTTCTAACATCATTAAAAGATTTTTTTGTCTGACTAAAGAGTATTTTCAGGGACCACTTTTGATCTTTCACAGGGTTTTGTGGTCATACTATCGGCTTCAGCTTTAGATCATGTAATTGTATTACTTATCAATTGTTCTATAATGATCTAAAAACAGACACTTGTTATCCCACATAGTTTCTGAGACTCAGAAATCCAATTGTGGCTTAGTTGAGTGGTTTTGTCAGGGTGTCTTGTGAGGTTACAGTTAAGCTATTGGTAGAGTGGTAGTTATTTAAAAAGATGTGAACCATGTACAAGCTTACAACCATGGAATTTGGCAGGGGTTTGGTTTCTTTTAGGTCTCTTGCAGCTGGCTTCCCCAGAATGAGTGGTTAAGAGAAGGAGAGAAAATGAGAGAGAGAGAGAGAGAGAGAGCACAAGATGCCATACTGCCTTTTTATGGCCTAGACTTAGAGTCAGAATCCATCATTTATTCATCACACTACTATTTAGAAGTGAATCACTAAGTCCAGCAGACACTCAACACTAGGGCATGGATACCAGGAATTGGGGAACACTGGATGTCATCTTGGAGGCAAGCTATCACAATGAACTTTATCGATTTTGGATTGTTCTTGGGAAATACAACCTCAATATTACTTTCGTTTTATTTTTCTCTTCTCTTTCTGTAACTCCAATTACAGTTACTTTATACTTTTGAATCGTGTCCCATTTACTATCTCCACCCTTCCTCTATGTCCATCACCTTTTTTTGCCTTGTGCTTCAATCTGTATTAATTCTATTGGCTTATATTCTAGTTTAAAAATTTTCTTTCCTGCTATGTCTAATCAGATGCTAAATCTATTTGTCGAATGATAGTTTCAACTATTGCAGTTTCAACTATTGCATTATTAGTTTCAGAATTTACCTTTTGTATTTTTAATTTATTTCTGTTTTGTGTGAAACTCTTTTATCTTTTTTATTTCCTTTAATAAACATGTTAATCCTTGGTATTTAAAGGTTCAATATCCTAATTTTTGGTATTTTGATTCTGTTTCATTTTAGGACAGGTACATTTTATCTGCATGCTGGATATTGTATATAAATATATACCATATATATTGTATAGTTTTCCTCTCTGGAGAAAGATACCATCATCCAGAGGCTGTATGTTATATATTTATACAAATAATATAAATATATAAATATATATAAATAAATTTAATATATTCAATTTATTTTAATATTTATATTATTTATATAAATTTATATATTTATATGATTTATATATTATATTATATATACTATATCATATTCCACTAGAATACTGGAATTGTGGCCTAGTTACAAGTTGTAAGACATATTTGCCATTTAAATGCAAATTCTTCCATTTGCAGGAGGGGTGGTATTATTAAGAGGATACCTTAAATAGATGTCTTTTCTTCTTCCTTAAATAATTGAGAAAAATATTTAATAAAGGGTAATATATACTATTATATATAGTATAATATATACTATAGATAATATAGTATATATTATTTATATGTTTATATAAATATATAAACATATAAATAATTAAAATATAACCTCTGAATGACAGTATCTTTCTCCAGAGATGATTTAATTTTCTTCCAGTAGCTAGAGTATGGGCATACCATCTTGATCTAGGCAATGCTAGTCATTTTTCAGTTTTTCTTTTCTTCCAGAACACTCCTGTGTTTCAACTGAAATCATGGGCTATCTACTTCACTTCCTCATATTTGGAAGGCCCTAAACTCCAACTTTTATCTCTCCAGTATAATAAGGCTGCTAAAGTTTCTGCTTAGTTTTTAGAAGTTGCTGCAGATTTGATTTCTATAAATCCTGCCCCAAGAATGAGCAATCTTTGGAGTCAACAAATTAAAATAAATTGCATTCAAAATGTTGAACTTTCTTCTGTATAGTTTCTCTTCCTCTGCCTCTTGGTCCTCAAAGTCATAATTTATTTATTAGATCTCAATGCCAATTTTTATCTTCCCAATAGGGTGTGATTATCACAAGGTCTAGATCACTGCTGTATGGCTCTCTTCTTTGCCCATATGCCATAAATCCCTGGATGCCAAGACAGGGAATAAGGAGAAATTTAACACTCGTATTCAATGCATTTCCTTTCTGTTAGAACCTTTACTTAACCAATACTGACTACTGTGTTTAATTTCTGATGCCTTCAAAATACTGTTTTTGTCTTTTAACAAAATTTTATAGTTGTTGCTATTGGGAGATTTCATCTGATACCAGTTATTTCATCTTTGCCAGATTCAGAATTCACTTAGTTCAATGTATTACAATATATAGGTATACTTAATACAGAAATATGTAGTTTCCATTTTTTCTCAAATGCATAATCAGTGAAATGTTCAGAATATGGAAGCCCAGATATGATCATGGTTCTGTAGAATACTAGGAACCAGAGGACAGATGTACTTGCTGGGGAGAGCATCATGATACTATCTGGGTAAAGACAGAAGAAAGTTTTTCTGATAGTAGAAAATTAGTTTTGCTGGATCCTGCCACACTAGATGACCTCAAGTCCAACGTTTCTAATACAGTATAAGACCACAAAATAGCAGATTAAAATTTGTTTTATTTTTTAAAGAAGATTTTGCTTGAAACTACTAAAGCCCAGAGGAAAAATATATTTTATTGGGATTAATGGATAATGTCAATTGAATGCAGAGTGAAAACTATGTTACATTTACTGTTTGGAAAACTTTAGCCAAGAGAGGATGGGATGTGATTTTATTTATAGATTCTTGTTTTGTACTGCTCACAAGTTTCTCGTAAGTCTCTTTGGGCAATAAAATTGTCTGTGATTGCCTAAAAATAATTTTATTTTTCATTCTGACATTTTTAAGTAGAAGAAAAATAATAAAATAAATATATCATTTTATATTCTTTATATAACTTTAAAGAATTAAAGGTAGGATATGTTACAAAATGGAAAATACACTTTAAGAAAATGTCACATATTTATAACTTTTGCACTCAAGATCTGATTTTCTTTTGAAATAATTATTCTGTCAATTTATTTTTAATTGGTTATGAAACTTGGAATTTATTGGCACACTTAACTGAAGTTCTAGTCCTTTTCTACCAAATTTAGAACAAAATCTGAATATATTACCATATCCTACAAAGCCAGGTATTCTGACTTCTCATTACTCAGATGAAAGGATAAACTTTCCATCCTGATCTTCTAACTCTACTTTTGCTCACTTCTTCTGAACCACTGTAATTGTACTCTTCTTTCAAATTGTCAAGTTCTTCCCATCTAGTGGGGTTTGCCCTGGACCTCTGCAGTTGAAATGTTCTTCTCCCAGATTTTAAAATTGTTCTCTCTCATTTCACTTATGTCTTGTCTCAATTTGTATATTTTCAGAGTTGCCTTCCCTCATCATTCTACCCAAATAAATAGGATTACCATCTCTGGCCTTGTCATTGTTTATCCCCCCTCTCAGATGGCTATTTCTAATAGCCTCTGTTACTATAAATTTTAAATTTTACTTGTATAATATCAAGTTATCCCGCTGTAATGTAAATCCCATTAAGAGCTGCATTATTAGTGCAAATATTAGTGCCTAAAATACATTAAGTAGTTGATAGTTATTATTGAATAAAGGAATCCAAGCCCCTCTTGCACACATATATAAGCAGAAAAAGACACAAACATAACAAGTATATACTCAAGTATATAACAAGTATATATATTTATAGTTACAAATAATATTATTTATACAATAATCTGGCAAAGATTTCATGTTTCCATTGATTTTTTGCTCATACCTTTCTTGAGAAACAAACTGATTTTTAGAGATAGACACTCTGGCCTAAGAATTAAGTATAAGGAATCTAGCGAACCTACATAGCTCGTAGTCAGATATGTGTTCCCTGGAGGGTGAGAGACATGGATTCAAATCCTGGGTTTGCCTTTTATAACTCCTGTGCTATTGGACAAGTTCCTCTGTACACCTCAGTTTATCATGTATACAATTGAAATGATAATAATTGTACATACTTCATGGGATATGATAAACTATATACGTGGCCTGAAACAAAATAACTAACTAATAAAATTTGGCTCTTATTTCTAAGAGTTCTTGATTCATGAGATACAGGCTATGAATTACTTCTGAAGTCTCTGAAACTCACTTTCCTCATTTATAAAATTTACATTTTCATTTACATTTACAAGATTTTCAAATGTATTTCTCTTTGGTGGTAGAGAATAGTTAGTGGTTGCCTTCACCATGTAGAGTCTCCCAATACTGAAAAACAATTACTAGGATTCTACTCTGTCTTCTTTTTTCCCAAAGCAAGTAAACAATCTCAAGACTCCTTGTAACTTCAGGATTAACGTTTTTCATTTTATTCCCATGAGAGACCACCTCCTGAACAGCACAAGACCTGACTCTGCTGTTATTAATGAACATTTTCAAACACGCAACTCTAAGATTACCATATCTTTTCCTTGTCATGTCGATGCGCCAAGGTTAGTGGAAACCAGCTACTTTTTCATTGGTCTTATTCTACCACGGTGCATATGGAGCCAGCAAAGTTGGTATCTCTGAATTTTCATCATATTATCTATGTTCTTAGGTCAGACTGAAATCCAATAGGAGGTTTTCAAATTCAGAAAAAAAAAGAAAAAAATTAATTAGCAAACAAAACCAACTTAAACTAATTCAAATAAGAGATTTTTTTTGGCTCATCTGACAATAAAGCAGGCCGTACTGGATCCAGTAATTCGCACAATTCCTCCTAACTCTTTGTGTCTCTGTCTCTCTATTCTACTTTTAATGGTCTCATTTTCTATATTTCTATAGCAGAATTCCACATTCTCCCGTTAGAATAAAAAGCACTAGAGCAGATTCAGACCACATATTTTACACTTACAATCCAGGAGACATAGCATGTATCTCCTTCTATCCCTTTGTGTCTTGGGCTTTACTCTTTCTATTGACTTGAATCAATTTTCAGTGTCCAGGGAAGTTCACATCAGGCAATCAATCCCACTCAAGTCGTGGAGCCAAGAACGGGTTTGGAGTATACACATCAACATAAGACCAAAAAAAGTATTGATGTAAGAAAGAAAATTGGAATTGAGGAGACAATCAACAGCTGTTTACCACCTTGTTTCAAGTGCGTGCTTTTACCTTGAGAAAGCCTATCTGATAAATATCACCGGAATACACTTGTAGTAAAACAAAGTCAGGTTTATTTACTCTTTGCAGCAAGGAGGAACGCTCAAGGAAAAATGGAGGCAGATGACTGGAAGGGATTTGAAAGGGACTTTTAGCAGAACTGTGTTTGTGCCTAAGAACTGTTTCTAAGGAGAAACTTGGAGATGCAAGAACAGCTCTGGTTGTTTATCACAGTAGTCTTATTCAGAAGGCAGGAGAAACAAAGCAGGGCTGAGGAAATCATTGATAAGGAAGCAGTCATTGCTCAAACTATGTGGCCTTGGCAATGTCTCCTTGGAAACGTTATTTGTTTGTGTTAGGAATGTTCTTTGTTTTTGTTAGAAATGCCATTGTCTGATTGCTAGCAGCACTGAGCAGCAGAATTAGAATTGTGTTTCTTTAACTACAAAGTTAAGATAAATGAGAAGTTCTGTGGAAACAAACCAACACAATCCTTTTATATGAAGAACCTAGGTTGAGATAGTTAGGAAATTGAGGCTGCTCTGTATGTCACAGTGATTCAGATGGTTCAGATCCTTTAAGCAAGGGCAGAATATTCCATTCTCACTAGTATGACTTCAAACAGTGAAGTTTCTCATATCCTAGGATTTTAGTCAACAAAGTTTCTCAGCACTGTGTGTTTGAATTTAATTAATAAAAAAAGTGTTTACATATTCAAAATACATAACTGCTACACTTTTACTTGGGGATTTTATTTTAATTTTTATAAAGAAAAAAGTGACTTTTCTAGTAAGAAAAAAATTATTGTTAAATATTATATAGTTATTTTCATAATAAGCAAAGAAAAAATCATGCCAAAAATAAACAATGATGCTAGTCAATATTATTGAGTATCTGTCCTCTAAATTACCCATGTAGGCCCTTGAATAACTTCTTAGACATCTATGGCAAAAAAGTGGCTTATTATTTTTGTTCCATTTTGTTTTATTTATTTTTGTTTTTTTATAGTTTTAGATCCAAAAAATTACTTTAAGAAATTTTTTTGGTCCAATAATTTTTCAGGTAAGAAACTGGAGATGCATATTGCTAAAAAAAAAAAAAAAAAAAAAAAAAAAAAAACACCAAAAAAAAAACTTGCTTGTGTTCATAAGCCAGTTAGTGCTGATGCTGGCCATAAAACACCAATACTGCACCCTTTCTGCCACACTGCACTGTTACCATCTAAGTGCCAGCCACTAGAAAAGACCTGTGCAGAAAAGTGAATGCTGCATTGCTATAGTTGTAAGAACCTATCAAAAGTGAGTTCCTTCCTTTAAATAATCCATTGATAATCCAATACAAAAGGTCTTTCTCTTAAATAGTCCATCATCTTCTTCCACATGTCTGCTATTGTTGTGCCAGTTATCTAAACAATGTAACTATTGATAAAGTCATTTCAGGTGCCATTGGAAAACACACTCTTCATGATTTTAGTAGAAAAATATTAGCTATAGGTTTTGCTATCTGATAATTCTAAATTTTTTAGTTTAATATAGACAAATATGAAAATTTTTCCATTTTTGGGTACTTAAAATTCCTTTAGTATTTGAATTTGAGGAGATAAGCCTTGGGAAATCATTTTTATTGCAGAGGGTTGGGCTCTTTCTCTCTTTCTCCACATAAATGAGTAAATAAATGAATTAATTATATTTATTTATTAAGCAGACAGATACATAAAATTATATAAATACATTGTATATAATAAATTATATACAATGCATTTATATGATATTTATTTTGTAGATAAATTAAGCAGGTATATACACAGAATTGAGTTTCTGTGATAGATATTGAGTAAAGTCATATTTATTTTGAATTTTATAAAGCAGTGCATCTTGAGTAAGTCACATTAGTTGTCATAGTGACAATTCAGAATTAAATAAATATTTGATCCTTACCACTTCAGTCTCTTGCTAGAAAGTTCTTTTTATTTTAAATGTTATTATTATTATTATTATTTTGCCTGAGTTTGTCATTTTTTTTAAGTGATTAATGGGTATTTCTGTCTTTCTTTGATAGGTAACATGAAGTTTTTAGGACTTGAAATTATGTTTTTTAAAAAAGTCTTCATTCCATAGAATTGTCTTTGTCTTTTTAAATTTGCCCTGCTCTGTTTTTTAAATAATGATTCCGATCTTTGATTTAGATAGTCTGTAATATAATCAAAATAAACAAAACCTCTTTCTTCATAGATGTGAGGCTGACCTTTATTATAAAAATGCATAGTACAATCTATTAACTTACATCAGGAAATGAATATATATTATTTATTTTGGCCTAGTTGTCAGAAGTGTTTGAACCAGAATGACTCTTGAATAGGTGCTGGCTAAAATAAAGTTGAGACTTACGGGGCTGCATTCCCAGGAGGTTAGGCATTCTTAGGCACAGGATGAAATAGGAGGTTGGAACAAGATACAGGTCAAAAAGACCTTGCTCATAAAATAGGTTGTAGTAAAGAAGCTGGCCAAAACCTATCAAAACCAAGATGACCACAAAAGTGATCTCTGGTGGTCCTCACTGCTTATTATATGCTAATTATAATGCATCAGCAAGCTAAAAGACACTGCCACCCACCATTGCCATGAGAGTTAATAAATGCCATAGCAAGGTCAGGAAGTTACCTTATATGGTCTAAAAAGGAGAGGAACTCTCAGTTCTGGGGATAGCCCACCTCTTTTCTGGAAAACTCATGAATAATCCACTCTTTGTTTAGCATATAATCAAGAAGTAACAATAAGTATAAGCAGCTGAGCAGCCCATGCTGCTCTACCTATGGAGTAGTCATTCTTTATTCCTTTACTTTCTTAATAAACTTGAATTCACTTTTTGATTCACCCTGAATTCTTTCTTGTATGAGAATCAAGAACCCTCTCTAGGGGTCTGCATTGAGACCTCTTTCTGGTAATATAGTCACACTTATTGATAATAAGTATTTAAATGTGATAGTTCCCTTGACCCCTTCACAGAACTCGCAAAGGTGTTGGCTTGTTTACTCAACCCAAAGCTTTCGACCCCTCACAGGAGGGGAAGCATACAGATGAGTGGGTGCAGGGGCTGGAATGAGTGCTTCTGGGCACTGGCAGAAGTGGCCTGGCAGCAGCGTCTAGGGGGGTCCCACTGTGTCCAGAATTGGTGGGTGCTTGGTCTCACTGACTTCAAGAATGAAGCCATGGACACTCGCGGTGAGTGTTACAGTTCTTAAAGGCAGCGTGTCCGGAGTTTGTTCCTTCTGATGTTCAGATGTGTTCAGAGTTTCTTCCTTCTGGGGGGTTCGTGGTCTCACTGGCTCAGGAGTGAAGCTCCAGACGCGCCACCTTAAGAGCTGTAACACTCACTGCAAAGGTCTACAGCTTCACTTCTGAGCCAGCAAGACCACGAACCCCCCAGAAGAAAGAAACTCCGAACACATCCGAACATCCGGAGGAACAAACTCCGGACACGCCGCCTTTAAGAACTGTAACAATTACCACGAGGGTCCACGGCTTCATTCTTGAAGTCAATGAGACCAAGAACCCACCAATTCCAGACACATTTTGGCAACCCAGATGGGACAATCGCCTATCGCTGAGTGCTGAGACCATCACCCATAGCTGAGTGGCGAGACAATCACCTATCGCCAAGCAGTGAGTACCATCGGACCCCTTTCGCTTGCTACTCTGTCCTATTTTTCCTTAGAATTCGGGGGCTAAATACCGGGCACCTGTCGGCCAGTTAAAAGCAACTAGCGCAGTCGCTGGACTAAAGATACGGGTGTCAGGCTTTCTGGGAAAGGGCTCTCTAACAACCTCTGCCTCTTCAGAGTTGGGACCGTTGGTTTGCCTAGAACCAGCTTCCACTTTTCCTGTACTTCTGGGCTGAGCCAAGCATTGACAGAGAGGAAAGCCATGCAGCTCCGGGGTACCGACAACAAGTTGGTTGACCCTGCGGCCATGAGCGGAACTCTCAAAGTCATGTTGCCCAAGCGAGACTCGCCCCTCTATCCTATCTATCCTGACCCTTACCCCTGGGCCCTAATGCCTGCCAAACTTCCTCTCGCCTCTCTTCTCAGAGGTTAGTCCTGCTTCTAAAAATTGCTACCTGTGTCTGGTGCTTTTCTAGTTTCTCCTATAAGAATGATTTCTAGTATAAACTCCAGGACTCTGTTACCTTCTTTAGGCACCTGGGCTCACCAATCAGAATGACATAATTTTGGCCCAAAGTCCCACTGTAGTGGGTATTACATGGAATTTTAGGATCCCTCCTCAGACTAACAGGCCTAACAAAAGCTATTCGTGAAGCTAGGATATGGGGAGCCTCAGAAATTGTATCCTTCCTATTCATATAAGTGACGACAAAAGGTGTCACTCTTCCAACCCTGGAGATCCATTCCCTCCCTCAAGGTATGGCCCACCACTTCATTTTTGGGGCATATCATCTTTATAGGACAGGGGTAAAGTCCCAATACTAACAGGAGAACGCTTAGGACTCTAACAGGTTTTCAAGAATGCATTGGTAAGGGCCACTAAATCCGATTTTTCTTGATCAGTCCTCCTCATGGTCTAGGAGGACAGGCAAGGGTGCAGGTTTTCGAGAATGCATCGGTAAGGGCCACAAAATCCGACCTTCTTTGGTCCTCCATGTGGCCTGGGAGGAAAACTAGTGTTTCTGCTGCTGCATCAGTGAGCGCAACTATTCCTATCAGCAGGGTCCAGGGACCGTTGCAGGTTCTTGGGCAGGCGGAGAAACAAAGCAAACCAAAACCATGGGTGGTTTTGTCTTTCAGATGGGAAACACTCAGGCATCAACAGGCTTACTCTTGAAATGCATCCTAAGCCATTGGGAACAATTTGATCCAAAACCCTGAAAAAGAGGCAGCTCATTTTTTCTGCACTATGGCTTGGTGCTAATATTCTCTCTCTGATGGGGAAAAATGGCCACCTGAGGGAAGTACAAATTACAATACTGTCCTGCAGCTTGACCTTTTCTGTAAGAGGTAAGGCAAATGGAGTGAAATACCTTATGTCCAAGCTTTCTTTTCATTGAAGGAGAATACACAACTATGCAAAGCTTGCAATTTACATCCCACAGGAGGACCTCTCAGCTTACCCCCATATGGTAGCCTACCTATAGCTCCCCTTCCTATTAATGATAATCCTCTGCTAATCTCCCCTTCCCAGAAGGAAATAAGCAAAGAAATCTCCAAAGGACCACAAAACCCCCCGGGCTATCAGTTATGTCCCCTTGAAGCTGTAGGGGGAGGGGAATTTGGCCCAACCCGGGTACACGTTCCCTTGTCCCTCTCTGATTTAAAGCAGATCAAGGCAGACCTGGGGAAGTTTTCAGATTTTCCTGACAGGTTCATAGATGTCCTACAGGGTCTAGGGCAAACCTTTGACCTCGCTTGGGGAGATGTCTTGCTACTGTTAGATCAAACCCTGGCCTTTAATGAAAAGAATGTGGCTTTAACTGCAGCCCGAGAGTTTGGAGATACCTGGTATCTTAGTCAAGTAAATGACAGAATGACAGCCGAAGAAAGGAACAAATTCCCTACTGGTCAGCAAACCATCCCTAGTATGGATCCCCACAGGGACCTTGACTCAGATCATGGGGACTGGAGTCACAAACATCTGTTGACCTGTGTTCTAGAAGGACTAAGGAGAATTAAAAAAAGCCCATGAATTATTCAATGATTTCCACCATAACTCAGGGAAAGGAAGAAAATCCTGCCTTCCTCGAGTGGCTATGAGAGGCCTTAAGAAAATATACTCCCCTGTCACCCAAATCACTTGAGGGTCAATTGATTCTAAAACATGAGTTTATTACCCAATCCAGCCACAGATATCAGGAGAAAGCTCCAAAAGCAAGCCCTGGGCCCTGAACAAGATCTAGAGACATTACTAAACCTGGCAACCTTGGTGTTCTATCATAGGGACCAAGAGGAACAGGCCCAAAAGGAAAAGCGAGATCAGAGAAAGGCTGCAGCCTTAGTCATGGCCCTTGGACAAACAAACGTTGGTGGTTCAGAAAGGACAGAAAATGGAGCAGGCCAATCACCTGATAGGGCTTGTCATCAGTGTGGTTTACTAGGACACTTCAGAAAAGATTGTCCGATGAGAAACAAACTGCCCCCTTGTCCATGTCCACTATGCCGAGGCAATCACTGGAAGGTGCACTGCCCCAGAGGATGAAGATTCCCTGGGTCAGAAGCCCCCAACCAGATGATCCAACAACAAGACTGAGGGTGCCTGGGGCAAGTGCCAGGTCATGTCATCACCCTCACTGAGCCCCGGGTATGTTTAACTATTGAGGGCCAGGAAACTGACTTCCTCCTGGACACTGGTGCGGCCTTCTCGGTGTTAATCTCCTGTCCTGGAAGACTGTCCTCAAGGTCCGTTACCATCCAAGGAATCCTGGGACAGCTTGTAACCAGATATTTCTCCCATCTCCTCTGTTGTAACTGGGAGACTTTGCTCTTTTCACATGCCTTTCTTGTTATGCCTGAAAGTCCCACACCCTTATTAGGGAGGGATGTATTAGCCAAGGCTGGAGCTATTACCTACATGAATATGGGGAACAAGTTACCCATTTGTTGTCCCCTACTTGAGGAGGGAATCAACCCTGAAGTCTGGGCATTGGAAGGACAATTTGGAAGGGCAAAAAATGCCCACCCATTTCAAATCAGGTTAAAAGATCCCACCACTTTTCCTTTTCAAAGGCAATATCCCTTTAGGCCTGAAGCTCACAAAGGATTAAAGAATATTGTTAAACATTTAAAAGCTCAAGGCTTAGTAAGGAAATGCAGCAGTCCCTACAACACCTCAATTCTAGGAGTACAAAAACCAAACGGTCAGTGGAGGCTAGTGCAAGATCTTAGACTCATCAATGAGGCAGTAATTCCTCTATATCCAGTTGTACCCAACCCCTATACCCTGCTCTCTCAAATACCAGAGGAAGCAGAATGGTTCATGGCTCTGGACCTCAAGGATGCCTTCTTCTGTATTCCCCTGCATTCTGACTCCCAGTTCCTCTTTGCCTTTGAGGATCCCACAGACCACACGTCCCAACTTACAGGGACGGTCTTGCCCCAAGGGTTTAGGGATAGCCCTCATCTATTTGGTCAGGCACTGGCCCAAGATCTAGGCCACTTCTCAAATCCAGGCACTCTGGTCCTTCAATATGTGGATGATTTACTTTTGGCTACTAGTTCAGAAGCCTCGTGCGAGCAGGCTACTCCAGATCTCTTGAACTTTCTAACTAATCAAGGGTACAAGGTGTCTAGGTTGAAGGCCCAGCTTTGCCTACAGGAGGTCAAATATCTAGGCCTAATCTTAGCCAGAGGGACCAGGGCCCTCAGCAAGGAATGAAAACAGCCTATACTGGCTTACCCTCACCCTAAGACATTAAAACAGTTGTGGGGGTTCCTTGGAATTACCAGCTTTTGCCGACTATGGATCCCCAGATATAGCGAGATAGCCAGGCCCCTCTATACTCTAATTAAAGAAACCCAGAGGGCAAATAATCATCTAGTAGAATGGGAACCAGAGGCAGAAACAACCTTCAAAACCTTAAAGCAGGCCCTAGTGCAAGCTCCAGCTTTAAGCTTTCCCACAGGACAAAACTTCTCTTTATACATCACAGAGAGAGCTAGGACAGCTCTTGGAGTCCTTACTTAGACTCGTGGGACAACCCCACAATTGGTGGCATACCTAAGTAAGGAAATTGATGTAGTAGAAAAGGCAGTCCTCACTGTTTAAGGGTATTTGCAGCAGTGGCCGTCTTAGTGTCAGAGGCTATCAAAATAATACAAGGAAAGGATTTCACTGTCTGGACTACTCATGATGTAAATGGCATACTAGTTGCCAAAGGAAGTTTATGGCTATCAGACAACTGCCTACTTAGATACCAGGCGCTACCCCTTGAGGGACCGGTGCTTCAAATACACACATGCATGGCCCTCAACCCTGCCACTTTTCTCCCAGAGGATGGGGAACCAATCGAGCATGACTGCCAACAAATTATAGTCCAGACTTATGCCACCTGATATGATGTCTTAGAAGTCCCCTTAACTAATCCTGACCTTAACCTATATACCAATGGAAGTTCATTTGCAGAGAATGGGATACGAAGGGCAGGTTACGCCATAGTTAGTGACGTAACCATAGTTGAAAGTAAGCCTCTTCCCCCAGGGACCAGTGCCCAGTTAGCAGAACTAGTGGCACTTACCTGAGCCTTAGAACTGGGAAAGGGAGAAAGAATAAATGTGTACACAGATAGCAAGTATGCTTATCTAATCCTACATGCCCATGCTGCAATATGGAAAGAATGGGAGTTCCTAACCTCTGGGAACCCCCACTGGATGCCACAGGAAAGTTATGGAGTTATTGCACTTGGTGCAGGAACCCAAAGAGGTGGCAGTCTTGCACTGCCATAGCCATCAAAAATGGGAAGGAGAGGGGAGAACACCATGACCCCTGGAGCCACAGAAGGCGTGTGTTACAGTGTGCTCTTTTAGCTTTGCCATCCACAGACAGATTAAGCGCCTAACAGCTCAGTGGAGGGTCAGGGTGACAGCCTTTTGCACCCACCCTCTTGAAACCCAAGTTCTTGTCTGGTGTCCAGGAAGAATGAGGTTGTGTGAATGAATTGAAGGGTGGTGAATAAGGAGGATTTTCTTGAAGGGTGGATGTGGCTCTCAGTGGGAAAAGGAGATGGGAAGGGGATGTAGTGGGAAGATGGCCTTCCCCTGGAGTTCAGCCATCCCTGCAAAGTCCTGCCGTGAAGCTATTCCTGTAAAGTAAAGCTGCTTCTCTCCAAATCTGGTTGCATCTTCTCTTCACTCCTTCTCTGCTGCTCTGCCATGCTGCCACTCTGCTGCACTGCCAGTGGAGCCTGGGGTTTTTATGAGTACAGGATGGTGGGTCTGGTGGGCTAAAAACAACATCCAAGCAGGAAAACAAGAACGCATTTTCTCACTTTCGGCCGTGCGTCCAGGCTTGAGGATAAGGCTTCACCAGGGACCCCACCACTTTCTGCCTAGTATTTCCCCGCCTTCTGTCTGTATCAACATGGTGCTTAGGGCCCTTGTTCTTTCTTCCAATCACAAGTTTACCATAGAAATTTTGTTGAAGAACTTCAAGAATCCTTTCATAAGTATCTTCTTTGATATCTTTGATAATGATGAATGTTGTCTTTAAATAAGTTTTCTTTGTTCAAGGAACCAAAGGCTAGCATGAACTGGAACAGAGGTAGAGCAAAGTTGAGACAACTTTATTTATATTAAAATAATAATTTGGTAAACTCCAGGAGAAGTGCTCTAACTTTACTGACATTTATATTTTGACCCTTAAAATGGACAATATGGGGTAGGATGTTCAATTAGAGCACAGAAAAATTGGGGAAAAGACAAATCTCTGCTATCAAAAAGAAGATGCTGGAAGGCTACCTTCTTGAATAAGATTACTTGGGATATAAAATCTCACATGGAAAGAAAGAAAAAGAAGATTCTTTGCCTGGCTAACTGGAATTAATTCTTCACTCTCTAGTTGCTCTTAAAGCATCTACTTTCATTCATTCAGCAGACAATTTTGAGTATCACTTTGTGTCAGACACGATTCTTAACTTTAGAAATCTACAATAATAATGATTATGAGAGTAGACAAATTTCTTGCTTTTAGGGAACTTACTTTCTAGGGAAATAAGGCAGAAATAAACGAATAAGAAAATAAATATATAACATTCCAAACAAAATTTGGAATGAGTGTTAGGAACGTTCATTCAACATAATTATTTCACATTTATTATGTGCCACGTGCTATCTCAGATCTTGAAAATACAAAGAAGCAAAAAACGTTCTACCCTTGGGAATTTACAGTGGCAAACATACACAGGAAAGGTTAAAAAAAAAGTTTCGCAGAACAGATGTAAAATGCAGGAATTTATGACATTCTGGTTACTCAGATTCTATCCTAGTGTCATGATAATTCGGAAGAGACCATCAGGGTGAGCCATCTTTGATTCATCCTCAGAGCTGGGGGCAATGTTGTAGTCCAGTAAATACAGTACCTGATCAATTGGCAGCCACATGCTTGATGATATGACTTCTCATTACTGAATTTAGATATATTTTTATAATGTCAAAGCAACTGAGAAGTGAAAGAGCTATGGATATTCTATAGAGCAGCACTGTCCAATAGAAATATAAGCCACAGATAAAAGATACATATATAATATAAAATTATCCAGTTGCCTAATAAGAAGTGAAATACATTTTTATAATACATGTTTTAACTAAATATGTTCAATATATTATCATTTCAACATTTAATAGTGTAAAAACTATTAGTGAGATGTTACATTATTTTTTCACACTGAGTCTTCAAAATTGAGAATTTCCACTTAAGCATAATCCAATTTGGACTAGTGATATTTCAGTTACTCTGTAGCTCATGGTTACCATATTACACAGAAATATATTGATTTTTTCCTCACAGTGATCCTAGACATCTACCTCAGAGAAAAAAAAAATAGATAGATAGATAGGTAGATAGATTTCAATATAGTTATAGATCTTCCAGCTTATTTTTAATACTGCACCTGGCAATTTTGGGGACTTTTCTGCTAGTTATGTTAAATATTTGGTAAGTATCTTCAATGAGTTACAAGGTAGTAGACATGTGTATGTGGAAAATAATGGAGCCATAGCTAAATTAAAAGGTGAATTTCTGCGCATCTCTCATCCCTGCTAAATTATTGTGAATTTCTGAATTTCTGAGCATCTCTCATCCCCACTACATTATGGTAAACTATGAGTTATTTAATGAATCACACACAAAAAAAGGATTTTCTTTCTTTTTTTTTTTTTTTTGGTCCTATAGTAATGAGAGTATTAACGGTGAGGCTTACGTGTTCCAAGATTTTCTGAAATTGCAAAGTATAATGTAACAAACTAGAAACTGCATTTTTCCTGATTCCTCATTGAATTACATACTCACTAAGTGCTGCCAACTTGCTGACTACATATATTTTTAAGTCCAAGAGGCAAAAGGTGAGTATTCACCATTGACCTGCTTGTCAAAAACACTGAACAATTTTTCTATATGTTGACAGTTTATCTAATTTTTTCTTCCTGTGTTGGCCTTACGTCCTTCTCTCTCAGGTGTTTTCTATCTGTGCCTTTCAGAGTGTTTGTTCAGATGATGCCTGAATTTACAAAGTCACTAAAAAATAAGATTTAACTTTGTCAATCCAGAACTGAAAGCCTACTATCTGGAAAGTTAAATTGTGGGTGTTGCAGTCATTTATAACCAGTATGCAACATTAAAAAACAATATATGTTTGATATTCAATTAATATATTATTTATAGTTATTATCCTTATTTTATATTGAAAATACTAAGAATGAACTGTCCTCCAAATCTAATGCAATGATATTCATTCATATGGGATTCAGATTAAAAAGTTATTTTTCTATGTGTATAATTTGATTCGTTAAATGAAAAAAGTTAATTGCATTATTCTTCACATCAATAATTTATGACTAACTTCTATTTTTAATTATTTAACTGAATATTTCATTGATACCAATATAAAAATTTTTTCTTGCTGCTAACCGTACCTCTGCCTTTGTTTCAGGTCAATCAATATTGAAGCATTGATCTTATCTAGGTTACAACTTTCTCCTCATTAATACAACTTGAGTACACTCAATAAACAAACTGAAAATGCAGCCATTAAATACACACAACAGAATACATCATAAAACTTTCAACTTTTCTCTTTGTTGATTTACTGATGAAATGTTCAAACCCTTCAAAAGCTTTTAGTGTTACCTGAATATATTTACTTCTATTCACATCATATTGAAGCACTTTATTCAAGGTATTAACTTGAGAAGGAAAAGTTCTGCCAAATTCCTCTAAATATCGTCATTTGTTAGTTACTGTACACAATTTTAAGTGGATTTTCTTCTAAATACAATTTTATTTTTCTTTAAATTTTTTGATCATTATTTGAAATTTAGGGATTAACCAAGTTTACTAGCTGATATTTTAATGATTCTATTACCAAGCTCCTTAAACAAGTCTGTGAATGTCATTTTATTTTTTTTCCCTGAGACTATACATTCTTACTTATATCTCTATTCTATACTACTGAGCTGTACCTTTCTTTGAAATTATCATAATTAGTTATTTAAATGTATATACCTCTTTTGTTTTCCTTTGGTATTAGAATCCATAGGTTTAACAATGTTAGTATTTCTTTC
Source organism: Homo sapiens (assembly GCF_000001405.40). Lineage (NCBI taxonomy): Eukaryota > Metazoa > Chordata > Mammalia > Primates > Hominidae > Homo > Homo sapiens. Next base: position 58,313,563 of record NC_000004.12, read on the forward strand.
CCCGTATTTTATTTGTTACAGCATGCTATAAAAGCTTTGTGTAAACGTTTAAAATTTCATTAGATGTTTTATTAGTTATGCTTCATGCTATTTTATAAGGTAAGAGAAGCATTACTATTCTACGGCTAAAAAAATGACACAATAAAGAGTCAATTGTAGAAATTTCAAATGATCTATTCAAAATCTAGAGGCTTTTGCAGTGGACCATGTTGCCTCCAGAGATCCAGCGCCCCAGTTACCTAGATAGACAGATAGATTAATAAAAAGGAATTTCTTGGCATCATTTTAATCTACTTATTATAAACCTATTCATTAAGTAGTTAGACAATAAAACAAAAACTTGGTAAGGGGATGAGCACAATGAAAGTAGGATATCTTACTGTCAGCAGGCTAAAGTACAGAGCTTACATAGGTTCTCAGGATGTTTATTATGGCAAAGATTCACAACAAATAATTTTGACCAAATGAGAAATATTTAAAAGAAAGGCAAAGTAAGGTATAGAGAGTGGGCCAAATTATATGAAAGAGTTTTTATTTACATTGTCTTAACTTTTCATTTCAAAATTAGTTTAGATTCACACTACATTGAAAGAAAAAAAAAGGCACAGAGAGGTTCTGTGGATGCTCCACCGTTTCCCCAGTGGTAACCTCTTGAGTAAACTGTAGGACAGCATTAAAACCAGGAAATTTTCATCCACTAAATTTACTACATATGCTCGTTTGTGTATACATGAATGTGGCAAGGGATGGTATGCAGAGCTATAAATGCACATCACATGTATAGACTCATGTAACTACCACCACAATGAAAATACAGAGCTTTCTACCACCACAGGCTCCATCATGCTAAGTTTTTGTGGCCACACCCAACCTCTCTCTTACTCCTATCCCTAACCCCTCAAAACCACCAATATGTTGTTCATCTTCATAATGTTGCCATTTAACAATGTTAAATAAGTGAAAGACTATAGTATCTAGCCTTTTGAGGTTAGCTTTTTTTTCCCACTCAGCATAATGACCTTGACATTTATCCGGGTTATTCTATTAGCCCTATATTTTTTTCTATCTTTCTCCTCTCCTTCTGTAACTACAGTGATATGAATGCTAGATAACCCTGCTTTGGTCTACCAGTCCTTGAGGCTTTGTGTTTTTTCTTTGTTTATGTTCTCTCTGTTGTTCAGATTGAGTAATACCTGTTCATCTGTCTTTGAGTTCGCCAATTCTTTTCTCTGTCATCTCTACCCTGCTATTAAGCCTATCCATTTAAGTGATTTTTAGTTTTGTTTTTCTTCAGTTACTGTGTTTTTCAGATCTGTGATTTCTTTTTTAAATATCCTTTTTTCTTTTGAGGAGATTTTCTATTTTTTAAATTCATTTCAACAATGTTCATAATTGTTCACTTAATATTTTTATGATGGCTGCTTTAATATTCTTGTCAAGTTATCTTGTTGATTTCAAAGTTGGTATATCTTCATTGTATTTTTTAATACAAGCTGTGATTGTCCTGGTTATTGGTATGATTAGTGATTTTTTTATTGTATTGTAGACATTTTGGGTATTATGAGACGCTGGATCCTATACACTGTTTTTTTTCTTAACACGTAGTTTCCCTAATGCAGTGTGCAGGTTCCAGTGTGGGTGTGTGTTCAGATTCCTTTTGGGACTTGCTGATATCACCAGAGCAAAATTAGAGTATTAAATCATACTCCTCTATTCAAACAGGTGGGGAACAAGTTCAATTTTCCCTAGTTCCTACTCACACACTGTTGGTGAATGCTGAGCATGAATTTACACTACCTTGTTCTTCTAAAGTGGGATGTAATATCAGCTCACCCTTTAGCCACTGACATCATTAAGGGCAGAAGTAAAGGACCAACTTCTACCACCTCATTGCTGTGTAGTAGGAATGGTAGCTGAGCTTTCACTAGTCCCACTGATATCAAGGAGGTGTAGAAGTTGAATATAGACTAACCCCACACTTCACCATCTTGGTCTCTTTGTGATGTTGGGTGGGAGTGGAGGATCAGCTCCCAGCTGGATCCTACTGACAGCAGCTACATAGGAGAGCAGAGCCTTATGAGTCCCTGCCGGGTCTGACCCACAGATCCTGGCTGAACGACGGATAAACAAATGTACTCTGACATCGATATCCCAGTGAAAGAGCAGCCTAGGGGACCGGGCTGCCAACAGACACCAAGGAGGGTTCTGTGAAGAGTCAGCAGCTGCGGCCCTGACCAGATGGCACTACAGACATTTATTCAGTATAGATATAATGACAAAGGCCTTGAGCCAACACACTTGTGGATAATTAACATGGCCGTCCTCCGCAGAGAGAGCAGTCCTGTACGTGAATGATCAAAGGTCAGTCTTAGGAAAACATGAGTAAACAAGCTACTTAGATAAACTCCTCTGCATTCCCTTGTTATTTGCTTTTAACTATTAGGTCAAGGTAAGAGGATCAAGCTGCCTTCAGCCATAACCCTTTCCTAAAGTTTTTGCAGAACCTTCCGGCCTTCCAAGAAGGTTTGCAGTTTTCCCATAATTTTCTCTTGTAATTTCTCCCACCACGATGACCAAACTCTTACAAGCCCCACCTTACATTGTCTCACAATCTTGTGGCTTCTGGATGGGGATGGGGCCCACTTCTCCACCAGGCTCTGCTTTCACCAGGACAAGATAAGTGGAGTATGGACTAGCCACATTGTCAAGTCTCATTGATGCTGAATGGAGTTGGAAGCTCAGCTCCCTACTGGACCACCATGACACTATCCCTGCAGGTAAATTAGAGCACTCCCTGATTCTGTGGAGCAGAGGACTGAAATTCAGCTCTCTGGGACACAATGACACTACTCTGGCAATAACATTAGGGGATCTTTTTTTTTTTTTTTTTACATTAAATGGTGGATGGAAAAACAACTCTTGTGGCAGGCAAATTTAAAAATTGCCCCCTAAGATTTTCCTTCTTAATCCCTATGTCCATGATATAATGAGACATCTTGCCCATGATTATGTTATGTTACATGGCAATATAGATTTTGCAGATATAATTAAGGGTGCTAATCAGTTCACATTGAGTTAATCTAAAGGGAAATTATCTGAGTGGGCCTAATCTAATTACATGAGCTCTTTAAAAGTAGACACATTTATTCTATCTGGTAGCAGAATGGGAAAGTCAGAAATAGTCAAAGCAAAAGTAATGCATATATTTGTGCTGGCTTTAAAAATGGAAGTGCAATGTTCAAGGACAATGGTATCTAGGAGCTGAATGCAACCCCTAACCAACAGCCAGCATAAAAATGGGGACCTCATTTCTATAACCACACAGAAATTAACTCTATCAACATAAAGTACATTGTTTTCCAGCACCCAGCTTAGAACCTATTCCAGCCAACACCTTGATTTCAGCTTTGTGAGCTCCTTAGACCAGAACTTAGTTGAATCAAACAGACTCCTATACTCCAAACTGAGTTAATAAATGGATTTTTTTAATCTACCAAATTTGAGGCAATTTGTTATTCTGAAGTAAGAAGTGAATGCGAATGTGGTCCATGGAAGTTGCTGCTGCCATGACAAATATACAAAAATGTGGAATTGTCAATAAAAAGCCGATATACTTCTATATTCAGTACCAGAAACAACACCCATAGAGGGGAATCTGAGTGCTGCCTGTTTTTACTGAGTGAAAGATGTAAGATCAGCTTCCCTCTAGGCTCCACCAATATTAGTAAGTAGAAGAATCTAAATGCTACCTCTTGATCCTGAGTTGTGGGAGTAAGATGGAAGATTATTTCTCTCCTTAACCCTACTGAAACAAATAAGGGGGCAAAATCAGTTTCTGTATGATATTCTACTCTGTTAGGCCACTCTTTTGCTGGCTTCCTGAGTAGAAGGAACAGACTCATATTGATGTATGTGTGTGTGTGTGTGTGTGTGCTGACATTGCTACTGTGTGTTTGTGATTTGGTGATCTTTTATTTCTGTGTGTATGTGTGCTTTTCGGTGGTTCCAAGTTGCAGGCAACTCCAGCACTCTTGTAGGATATATGAAAAGCATAAAGGAAACCAGGGAACTCACCCTCAGGTTGTTCTTTAAGTCTAGAGGTCCCTGGGAAGTTTATCTTCTTATTTGCATGTGGTAATTGTTAATTTTATGTGTCAAGTTGATTGGGAAGTGGGGATTCCACATATTTGGTTAAACATTATTTGAGTGTTTCTAGATGGGATTAATATTTGCACTAGCAGACTGAGTAAAGCAGATTGTATTTCCAATGTGGGGCATTTTGTGCTTTGTTTTGCCTGATAGATACAGTGAGTCCTATCCAGAAATAGGACCAGAAGGACTGTGAAGTAAATCACATAATGTTTTTCACCATACATTCAATAATATTTTTTTAATCAAGCTAGCATAGATGACAAAGTTAGCTTTAAATAGAGAAAAAATTCCTAAGAGATGGTAGGAAATGGGGGAGTGGTATTGCCAGTGGCAATAATTAAAAGTAGAGTGAGAGCAATTGATTATATGAATAAGAGGTTCAGAGGTTTTTCTAAGACAGGTTTATTAAACTACATGATTATGTCCCTTGAGTGTCATCCCTGGATCACTACCAAAGCCATCCATAGTATAGCCCCTTACAATGTGTGAATCTCATGATGGTGACCTTAATTTAATAACTTAGGGATGGCCCAGGTCATCAAACAATTACTAGAATTTAGATTAGGACAATGCCCGATTTCTGATTTATCCTAATTCACAGTGGTATTTTGAAAGTAAAATCAATTTGTTTGCTCTAATTGAATGCTATAGTAGCAGAATATGAATGAACAAAATTGTAAATGAAGATGATCTGTGGAGATGGCTCTGGTTTTATGCTGGATATAGAGAATATGGATTAAAATAATTTGGCATTTTTAAAATTCACTGAATCTCTTTATTTATGATATGAATCACAGTTTGAAAGCTTTGTTACTGTGTGGATTTTGCAGCTATGATTCTTTGTTATCACAAAGACTCAATAATGGAGTGTGGGGGGAAGTATAAAAGAAAGCTCTAATGGATTTCCCTGCCTCCATATCTTTGATGGTAAGTAAGTGAGCAGCAGTATTAACAATACGTAGGTCAGGAAAAGGAGAGAGAACCTCCTTAGATAAATTTCACCTCAAACTTGATTTCATAGAAATGCAAAGAATGCCCACAGGGATCCTTAGGATTTCAGGGCTGCTCTTTCAAAGTTTTAAAACTTTTATAGTACAAAAATGAAATATAGACTTCAGTGGAGGAAGCAATACTTTCCTATATGTTAAAGGAAAACACTAAATGGTTATATAAAACTGGAAGTAAACTATGTTTACAAATGCAGCCATATTGTTCTCAAATTCAGTATCAAAATCAATCAAGACAGAAAAGGTAAAGTGTCATTTACGAGCTATTCCCTCATGGTTCCTTTTTATTCAAATCACATTTGGAACCTGAATTGTGTTCTGTGATAGACAGTAACATTTGTTGAATGTATTGGGTGGCATTTGCAATATGTCCTTACTGAAATCTCAAATCATATTTATAAAAAAAGTTCAATCAAAAAACATTTTCAACCCATTTGCTGATAATACTATATAATCTTCATTACTTTTCTTATTTCCAAATATATGAGTTTTTCTCCAACTGACTATGGTAAAAAGGAAAAAAAATAGTATTTTTATAGAGCAGGCACACAAGGTTTTAAGGTGTTTTTTACGTTGATGAATAATATATTGTTGGCTAGGTTTGCTGTAAGCATTGTCTAAAGTGAGCTCAAGACAGTTTTCAGGTATGAAACAAAAGAAACATATGTAAGAAAAGGGAGCCTGTATTTATATTTCAAATGAAGCTTTATTTCCTATATAGATTTTTACAAATAAAAAAGTGAAATTCTAAATAAAGTTAAAAAAGCAATATTTTCTGAACTGCTACAAAATTTAAGTTTGTCATTTCCTTTTCAACACCAGATGTTTGTTGTGCTGCCATAAAAACTGTTTATACATCAGCAAAGATTTTCAAATTGGGGAAAGATACAAGAGGTGGAGAAATGGATATATGTATTCAATACAATGACATACAGCTAATTATTTTTCAAAATAAACTCAGTTTTTTTTTTTGCCTGAAATGGCTTAAATTTTGCTACAATCTACAAAATAAAAAAGAATTTTGTAACCACAGATGGTGTTGACGTTGCAGTGAGTCCTGATGTTGCAACTGCTCTCCTCTCCAGCCTGGATGACCGAGCAAGACCCCATCTCAATAAAAAAAAAAGAAGGCTTTAAATGTAAATGATTTATATTTAATATATGATAAAAAATTTCAAATTAATAGAAAAAAGATGTCTTACTCAATACATGTTGTTAGGATGACTGGCTAGCCATTTGGAAAATACAGTGAAGGTGGATTTCTCACTCCCTACACCAAAAATAATTCCAGTTGAATTAATTTTTTTAAAGGCAAATAATAAATCATGGATGAGTATTCATATTATAAATGAATGACAAAATCCTAGAAGTTATGCAGCCTTATATTGAAATAAAATTATTATAAATAAATTCAAGAAGATAAATTCAAAAGCTAGTGCTATTTTTATATTTATTGAATAAGAGATAAAAAACAAATTATTTTTATTATGAAACATCAATAAATCAATCCATAAAAGAGAAACTTCTCAAATAAAAGGAGAGCAGAAAAATGAAAAACAAATTCTCAAATGATCAAACTTGCTAATAATACTATAAAAGAATATGTCTATCTATCTAATTTGTATATAGCAATAGATCTATATATTTATGTTAGATTGGCAAAAATAATTAAAATTATTGTTGGCATAAAGAAAAAAAGGTTCTGTCATATGATTTGTTATATCATTTAGGAGGACCATTTATTAATAGCCAGATGTTTTACAGTGTGCTTTGCTAAACCCTCAGCCTTAAGAATCAATATGATACAGTCACATGCATGGGGGATGGGACAACCGAAGCATATGTATAGAAAGGTTTCAGTGTTTTGAACAATTTTTTTGAAATTTTTTGCAATTTTCTTCTTTAGCAGACTAGTAATATTGGAAATATGAACTACCCATAAGACTGTACATGTTTGTGGCAACAGCAAGAAATATTCTAAATGAATATTTAGAATTTACTGTGAAACAACAAAAAAGTTGTAAAATATTAAACATATGATTCTGTTTATTAAAAATATAATAATATAATTTATCAAAAACATATAAACTATATAACAAAATAAATTGCCATGTTTAGTCATTTATTAAACAGATATTTTGAAAACCTACTCTGAGACAATTATGAGATGCTGTTTTTTATTCTGTAATTATTTTACAATAATTAAGTATTGATTATTATGTAATAATTGATATGCCAACAGTTGGCAAACAAATATCTACATAGTGAAAATAAACAATAAAATGAACACCTATAAATCCACAACCCAACTTAACTAGAATGTTGCCAATAGCATTACATCATCTTCTATGCTTCTCCATACTACCATCCAAAGCTGCCTTTCAAGTTTCTCACCCCCAAATTTGTGTTCATGATTCTCTTGCTTTTCACTTTTATATTTTATTGAAGAATAACATACATACAGAAAACAGTAAAGATTGATCTATGTTGTTCATGTTGTAATAGTTTACTTATTGTTTGATAGCATTCTATGATATGCATATACAGCAATTTACATATTACTTTGTACCTGATACATATAGTTATTATTTAATTATATATATATTTTGGTGAACACATATATATATGCATTTTGTTTCATGGATAATTAGAATTATTGGGCCAAAAAGTATAACTTGGTTCAACTTTTTCAGGCAGTGTCAAATAGTTATCAAAAGTGACTACATCAATTTACACTTTGACTATCATTGTGAAAGTTCCAGGTAATTCACATGCACACTAATATTAGATAGTGTCATCACCACTATAGATTAAATTATTAATAAAAATATCTACTCTATTTACCTCATGTCAATACATGGAGTATAATTATCCACAATTACATTCTATGCTTATTCATGTGAATTGCTTTGGTCAATCAAATGTCATTAGGTTAGTGCAAAAGTAATTGTGGGTTTTGCCATTAGTTTTGATGGTAAAAACCTCAATTACTTTTCCACTAACCTAATACCTTTGCCATGTAAGTAGATGAATGAGAAACACTTTCCTGGTTGGGTTCCCTATGTTGTGATTCAATAGTTTCCATAACAAGAATATGGCCAGGTTAGCCTTACTGTCTCAGAAGAATGAGAGACTTCTGGAGCAGAGCAGAAGTAGCCAATGGAGCCTGCCTTGGAATAGCCGACCTGAAATCTAGTGAGCTAAATAAATGCTTACTGTTTCCTCATGCTGATATTATGTGATTATTTCTTACATAGCACTATTTTTTATTTTGTTCTGAAAAAAGGCTTTGTTACGAACATAGCATTATTATGACCATATATAGCTAACTAATATATTAACCATTCTTTTGTGTGAAAAGTGATATTATATTGCGTTGGTTTTGGTTACTATTTTCCTGGTAACTAATGAAGTAGAACACATTTTCTTATCATGATTAGCCATTCGGACATCCTATTTTATGACGTGCCCATCTTTTCCTCACTTTTCCACTGAGTTATCTGTGTCTTTGTAGGAGTTTTATGTATAAACTAATAATATATACATATATACTATATTCATGAGTATTACATGTGTGTAGTATAGATAAATAGAAATACGTGATTATTCATATTCTGTAAATGAATTATATATTTGTATTATATATATTCTCTTACTCTATAGAATACCTTTTCACCTACATATTGTTATTTTTAATAGGTAGCTGTTAGTTACAATGTGGCTTAAATTATTATTTTTTTCATTTACCAAATGCTTTTGTGTTTTGTTTTCAAAATATTTTTATACCCTATGAATATGAAGACAGCATACACTTTATTTTTTTCTTGTTTACAGTTATTTAAATTTAAATCAATGTTCCATGTGGAATTACATTTTATGTATTCTATGAGTTAGCTTAGCAAGATTCATGGATTTTCATATTGAATAGACCAATTTTCCATATTGAAAAACTCACATTTTCATTACTACAGTCTCATGTCACTTTTAACAAAAATCAGTGTATATAATTACAGATCTGCTATGGTTGCATGATGTAGATCCATCCTCTTTTGCTGGCTGTTTTATTTTAAGGGAGAACTTTAAGTATTGATTAGTGATTATTTAATACTTATAAACTGTGTATTATTCTAGTTTTTGTATTAGGTTTGACAAGTTATTTTTCTAGTAAGTTGTACATTTTGTTTGTTTTCAAATTTCTACCATTCAGATTTTCATAACATCTTGTAATGATGATATTATAAAATGTATTGCTAATTTTATTTCTTCAGGCTCTTCTTTTATTCTTTGATTTGTGCTTCCAGAAGCATGCCACTTTATTAGCTTTATCAAGAAAACATCCTTTAGGCCTATATTTAATATTTCTTTGAGATTTTTGTTTTACTTATTTGTTTTTCTTCTTGGTTATTTAGAGTTATTTTCTTGTTAATCTAGATTTCAAACTGAATGTTAACTTCATTTATTCAAAAACTTTAGTGTTTTAATACACATTTAATGTTATCATATCCAAGTATTTATTTAGCAACATTCTATAGTTTTGAAATGTACAGTGATTATTTCAAATAATATGCAACTTATATTGTAATTTTTTTCACCCGTAAGTTATTTGTATACAAGTTGTGTATTCACTTTTGCTTGACTTTGGTTTCTGCATTTATGTATCTGATCCCTTTAAGTATATTTGTTAATGGACCTCATAAACTCTGGATTGTATTCCTGAATATTTGAATTTTGTATTGTAGATTTACCATCCATGGATCTTTATTGTGGTCATCGTTTGTGGCCTTGAAGAAGCTACTTGCTTTCTTTTACAAAATTTGCCAAGATGTTACTCTCATGGGGCCAATTTGATGATCTAGGATCATAAATTAAAGTTCAACAAACACACATTTCAATAAGTAGTGGTAAATACTCCATACAAAATTGATGAAAAGTTGGGGCAAGTTTGGCATTACACAGTTCTAGGCCAGTATATTGGTAGCAATTATACAGTAAGGGAAACTAGAAAAAAAGGGATGAAATAGGTAGTTAGAAAGGCAATCAACAGAACAAAGGAAGGAAGGCAACAGATACTGTTCTAGGAAAGTCTATCGGTTAGACATGAGATCACAATCTATTATAATGCTATTGAAATTAACTCTATGCTCCATCAAATTTTAGGTAGATGGGTGAAGGCCCTAGCTGGTTTGAGCTGAAAAAATAGATTTTCACAATATCTTGACCTCCAAGTAATAAATTCTCAGTGATAACAGTATGACTATTAAACAAACTGAGTCTGAACTTCAAATCAAACAATTATTTACCTTCATTATTACTTACTTCTTCCTTTATATGCCTCTCTTTACTCTTTTTCTCTAACTTCACCAACCTTCACTTCTTTCATTTTATAAATCACTCTTTCTCTAATATATTTTTCTTTCCTCTTTATTTTATCTGATTCATTACTTTATGCATCTTTTTCAGGGAATTATACATATTGGCTCTAGAAATATCCCAGGTCCTCCTAACCCCTACCACCTGCCACCAGTATCTTGTCTCTAGTCACACACAAATATTTCAAGGTTACTTCTAGCAGCCAACAATGAGAAGATTTCTCATAGAATGTCCATTCTAAGTAAAGGACAAATGAAATAATCTTCTGTAGTTTATAATTTCCATTTTGGAGTTCCTACATTTTCTTACAAGCTATCTGTTTTACTTGTAAATAGGCTTTCTTATTTAGGTGAAGAGATTGAGTGGTATGAGGCTGCCAGTGGCATAATTCATTGTTTGTAAGCATGCCCACAGATTTAAAAACTTTAGCAGTTTGAAAATTAGAGCAATTCAAAAACTAAAAATTATATATATATATATATATATATATATATATATATATATATATATATATACACACACACACATTTGATACAGTATGTTTCTTATATATTGTTATCTTTTCTGGGGCAATCCACAAATTAAATTATTTGAATCCAGAAGTGTATCTTTGTTTTGGATATTAAACTTTCATATCTTACAAACCCAAAGAAAATTCTCTAAATTCTCACTATCACTTTGCTGTTTGTCATTTCTCCAATCATCAAACACACACAAAGCCATCTGTGAAGACGATGGCAGAGACAAACAATATATTGGAAGACAGTGAAGCACTGTAGTCAACAGCGCTGTGCTGTTTTCACCAACCATGACACAATGTTCAGTACTTCAAATCTTTTGTCCTTTGATCTCATCAGAACTTTTCAAAATGTCTTTTGGTTATTTTTTCTAACCAACACCCTGGTGAGACAAAAAATCTGAAACCCTACTCACCTATAGTCTTACATTGTTTCTTGTAACCGTGTGTATTCCGCTATAATTCCATACATAGAAAGTACTAGGAATAAAATCAATACTGACATTTGTCTGCAAACTATGTAGAATGTCTGACAAGTCATGCGATTACTTTACAAAGTAAAAAAACAGACATTTTGATAACTGAAGTGATTACCTTCCAATCCTCTCTGCCATCAAAGCTGTTAGTTGCCAGCCTTCATCTTAAGGACGGAACTCAGCTGTTCATAGAAACCTCGCTTAATGAGGAATGGCTGGGCTGGTGACAAATGATCATTATGCTTCCTTCTTTGCAAAAAAATGCCATGACATGATGAAGTGCTCTAATCGATTCCAGCCTCTCTTTTGTTGTCAAAAAATCTATTAACCTGTAAGGAACTGTGGCCTTAAAGGCCAAAGAGTCTACATTGCTGATTGAGGAAGATCCATATTTTTTGTTTGTCAGTTTTGCCCAAATTAAAGGAATAAAAAAAGTGGGCTGTAATTTTTTTTTTTCATTTTACAAATGGCATGTTTTTATTTTTACCCTGTCTGATTACTTATCCTGAGGTGATAGGGTTTTTAGATAACTCGAAGTGTTCTGTCTGGACCCTTCCTATTCCAGAGATGCTTTTAGAATTTTACACTCAATGCAGCACAAGCTACCACTTACTTCTCCTTGACAATATCTCAAATATGTATCTGAGGAATGAAGGTTTAATATTTCCACCAGAATCCTTGATGGTATCAATCTTTGGGCCAATGAACCTTACTTTTCCAAAGAGTAAAAATTAGTTTAAATCAAGACTTATAATAGCAGGATTCTGAGGTATTACTGTAGAATGATTGAAGTATTGAAATTATTAAATGAATTCAATATTATTGACATCTTTGACGAATATTATCTTTTGAAGTTCTTATGATACTATCAAATAATAAAACGGTAAAGCTCATCTTGAGTAAATAAGTCATCACATATTTTGCAAGGACAAAATATGTTTATGTTAATTTTCTAATTGGATAGAAATTAGTGTCTTGAAAGATTTTTATATATTTATAGATATATATCTAAATTTATATATATCTGTTACATAAATATATACATATTTATATATGTAGTATGTATTATGCATTAAGAGATATGAGTCTGTACATAATTTATATAAGTATTATATAAATGTATTTACATATGTATTATATTAATATATGTATTATATAAATATATATTTGTATATGTATTTATTTTCATATGTGTCTATATATAACATATATTTTTATAGAGACATATATAAGCACATATATATAAATCTGGAAACATTTTATATATAAACACACACACATGCACTCACACACAACACATACACATATATATAGTATTTGAAAATTGTAGCTCTCGGCACTCTATCTCATGGGTAAGGGAGGATAAATATTTTAGTGTTGTGAGGTGAACCCTAACAGCCTACATATGGCCATGTGTCAGAAACTTCCTTGTTTTGGTGTTCTTCCCTTTGCGGAACATCTGAAGTATCTCTCTTAGCTCATGGATAAAGGCCTCTCTCATATGCTTTTCTAGAGTAACGATGGGAAGGGCATGCTAGGAAATGTAGATGTGAGCAAAAGCAAGTCCTAAGGAATATCTGTTGGTCACTGTTAACTTAGGTCTTTGTTTTCCATACTTTTGTAATCTACTTCTGGCCTTATAATCCATACTCTTTTAGATTTAAACATATTTGATGACTTTCTGCTCTCTTTTTTGTTCTTCATTAAACCTTACTTTCAGAAAATAACTGTTTATAACCAGAGAAAATCTTCAAAATATTAACAATAGTGGTAGAGCCTAGTGGTTTTCCAATCACAATGGATGGCAGCTATGGTGCTGGAACAGGGGTGTGGGGACCCTTGACTGAATAAGGCACTACCCGTTGAGGATTAAGTGTTGAGGAATGGGATTGCTCCCCAGCACCTTTAAAATCATATTACAGCTAAGCTGTTTTTCCTCAGGTCATTGATAAAATAATTTACAATTAGATTCATTTCATTAGCTAATTTGCCTCTGAACACTTTACAGATGTTTTATTTTGGAAATTTAGGGAATCTACATTTCTGTGGCTTGAAGTAAACTGGTCCTGGGGTTAGTGCTAAAGGAACCACTAAGCACAAAATCAATGAATTTTAAATTTATCTTGGTGATTGTTGAAATGCTATTGGTTACTGCAGTCTCAATAAAAGTGAGTGTCAAAATATTTTGTTATTGTAAATTAGTTTAAGATATATTGTAAAATAAGAAATTGTTAGATATAGTTTGCTAACATCATAAATGTGCTTTTTATTACTTGTGAAAATACATGTAAAATTCTGAATAAGATATTAGCAACATAGCTCAACAATATATCAAGAATAATACAATATGGCCAAATAGATTTAATTTTAGAAATGAAAGGGTGATTTCAATACAAGTATATCTGTCTATATAGTCAATTACAGCAGCATATAAAGGGAGAAAAAAGCATGTGAATAAACACATAAAAATATGGAACAAGGCTGGGAGCAGTGGCTCACGCCTATAATCCCAGCACTTTGGAAGGGTGAAGCATGCAAGCAGATCACCTGAGGTCAGGAGTTCGAGACCAGCCTGGTCAACGTGGCAAAACCCTATCTTTACTAAAATACAAAATTAGCTGGGTGTGGTGGCACATGCCTGTAATCTCAGCTACTCAGGAGGCTAGGACAGGAGAATCCCTTGAACCCAGGAGGTGGAGGTTGCAGTGAGCCAAGATCATGCCATTGCACTCAAGCCCGGGGGACAAGAGTGAAACTCCATCTCAAAAAAAAAATCTATATATATTATATTATATTATATTATATATATATATATATATATGGAACAGAACAGACATTTAATAACATCTAGTCACTATCATAAATAAGACACTAAACATAAATAATAGAAGAAAACTATAAAAAGGATTGTAAGCTATTTAAAATAAATTAATAAAGATATACCAAAGGCCGGGCGTGGTGGCTCACGCCTGTAATCCCAGCACTTTGGGAGGCCGAGACGGGCGGATCACGAGGTCAGGAGATCGAGACCATCCTGGCTAACACGGTGAAACCCCGTCTCTACTAAAAATACAAAAATTAGCCGGGCGTGGTGGCGCGCGCCTGTAGTCCCAGCTACACGGGAGGCTGAGGCAGGAGAATGGCGTGAACCCGGGAGGCGGAGCTTGCAGTGAGTCGAGATCGCGCCACTGCACTCCAGCCTGGGCGACAGGGCGAAACTCCGTCTCAAAAAAAAAAAAAAAAAAAAAAAAAAAAAAAAAAAGATATACCAAAGTAAAATCTTAAACATGTTTTAATTAAAATCATGGGCTAGCCAGGGATACCAGCTGTCACCTGTATTTGTTTAATAATGTCTTGGAAGCTCTAACAGATGCATTAAAAAAGAAAACTAAATAAGCAGCATAAACATTGGGGAAAAAGAAGCAAATCTGGCTGCTTTCTATTCTTTTTTTTTGAGACAGAGTCTCATTCTGTCCCCCAGGCTGGAGTGCAGTGGCGTGATCTCAGCTCACTGCAACCTCCACCTCCTGGGTTCAAGCAATCCTCATGCCTCAGCCTCCCGAGTAGCTGGGACTACAGGCTCACCTGGCTAATTTTTGTATTTTTAGTAGACATGGGGTTTCACCATATTGGCCAGGCCGGTCTCAACCTCCTGACCTCAAGTGATCCACCCAACTCGGCCTCCCAAAGTGCTGGGATTACAGGCGTGTGCTACAATGCCTGGCCTGTTTTCTTACTATTGAATTCTTTTATGTTTGAATTCTTATAAAACCTCACAGATTCCAGCAAAAAGCTTTCAGAAAATATTTTAAAATTATGTTGATAGTTTGGTTGCATACAACATTAACATACAAAGTCAATTATTATTATATCATCAATACACTCCCAGTAATAAAAATTAGAAAAAATTCCATTCACAATATCTCATAAACTCTAAAGTCTTAGAAATGTATGATAAGATGAAAGAAATAGGAATCTTATTTAAAATCTTAGTGAAACATATAAAAGGGTTCTAAACAAATGGCAAGACATATATCCTTATATATGAAGCCAGTGGCCTACAGATATAAATTCTTCAATTACATTTAGGTCTTTAAAATAATTCATCCACCCTGGATAAGATAACTTTCACATTCAGATGGCAAAGTAATGCATTATAATATCTAAGAAGGCATTTTTTAAAAAAAGAAGACTGATAAGTTGTCATTATGATGTTACACTATTAATATAATCATAATGAGATCCATGTGGCACTGGCATTGAAATAGATGAGTGGAGCAGAGCCACAGAATACAACATACAGAAATAGATCTTGAATGTATTATATGAAAAGTGATAGTTTAATTCAGTGAAAAACAGTGTGTCAAATAGTTGGGCCCAAATGACTATACATCAAGAAGAAAATGAAGTTTTGTCCCTCTATTACACTATAAATGAAAGATATTAAGGATGATAAAATGCACATCATTAAAAAATCTAAATCAATACTCACAAGGTCTTGGATGTAGAAAACATTACTAACCAAAACTAGACTACTAGAAACAAAAATGTATATAAGCATACCTATATAGGAAAATCATATACACATTTGCATATGTGTGTGTATTTCAATATAGAAATTATTTAAATGGTAAGAGCCTAAATTCTAGAATAAACGAAGAGCTCTTAGATCATACAGATTGACAAGGAAAAGAAAAGCAACAAGCACACAAATAGACCAAGATTTTAAAGAAGAAATTGTGAGAATAGTTAGAAAATGTGAAAAAATAGTTTAATTCACTAATAATAAAATGAATGCCAAATCAGGTAACATGGCATAGTTTTACATCCATCAGACTGGAAAATATTAAAAAGAGGCAAACAACTTTTGCCAGCTGGCAGAGCAGGAAAACAGTATTTTCATACATAGAGTGTTGTAGAGTGTGAAATTACAAATACTTTGAAAATCAAGCTGGAAAAAGTATATTAAAGTTTCAAATTATTTTACCTACATCTTGGCAAACTGAACTCTAGAAATCTATCTAGTCAAACCCTAGAACACAAAGACAAACATAAAAGGAAGTTTACTACAACATTTTTGTAGGAGTAATATACTAGCTTATCATTCTTTGAGATGGTTTATCAAATTATGTGATATTCACACCATCGGATAATATGCAGCTATTAGAATTATTTAAGCTCAAACAGTAGACCTTTAGGGTATTATCAAAAGTATTGTGGAGAGAGAAATGTAAGATGTATAAGAATGTATCAAACATATTTTTGGCAAAATTGTGACAAATATTTTTAAAATCTATAGATTTATGTAGAAGCATAGAAAAACATGGGAATATGGATATTATGAATTTGGTTTACACAGAGGGGCAGAAGGAGGTGAGAATAATGAGAAGGATAAGACAGATAGTTTAAAAACCACTCTATAAGGTCATCCTAGACGTGTGTAAAATTTAGTATGTGTGCACGAATGACTTTAAATTTATGAATAATAGGAAACTATTGAAAAAACCTAAGGAAGAAGTTTAAAGAAGATATCCCAGACTAAGGAAAAAGTTTAAAGAAGATATCCCAGACTAAGTATGAGTAGTTAAAAAAAGTAAAACCCCTTATACTTTATCTTTTTCTTCAATATACTAATCAAGCTTATTCAAATGCAGTAAGGAAGTCTCACTTTATAATGTTAACAAAATCACTTTATTGCTTAACTTTGTATGTAATGAATATGCCAAGTGAATTTCTTGAAGGATAATAACTAAGAAAAAGAAATACTAAATTGCGAAGTGGATGTCATTTATAGTTTGGATACATGATGTCACTTCATTTTTGCTACAATAGCTGTTATGTTCCTGTCTACCTGAGAAATTTCACTTCATCTGCGATAGACTGATAAATTGCAGGTGTATTTCTATTTTCTCTATGAATTTTCACTTTAGGGTAAATTATCAATAAACATATTATTATCAGAAAACTTGGAAGATATTATATAATACACAAGGGTATTTAGTTTATGCATGTTAATAAATGCTTCACCTTTGGACAAAGCTAAAAGGAATACTGTACTACGATCATCTCTTCCTTGCAACTGATTCTTTTATGTATTTATTTTTTTGAGATGGAGTTTTGCTCTTGTTGCCCAGGCTGGAGTGCAATGGCACAACCTCAGCTCACTGCAACCTCCACCAACCAGGTTCAAGCCATTCTTCTGCCTCAGCCTCCTGAGTAGCTGGGATTACAGGCATGTGCCACCACGCCTGGCTAATTTTGTATTTTTAGTAGAGATGGGGTTTCTCTGTATTGGTCAGGCTGGTCTTGAACTCCCAATCTCAGGTGATCCACCTGCCAAAGTGCTGGAATTACAGGCATGAGCCACTGTACCCAGTGCAACTGATTCATCAAGAACTCAATTGACAGAGAGATACAATAAGAATCATTACTACTCAAAGAAAGAAAATATTTCCACCTGACATAACAGTAAAACTATTAGTGT
This sequence comes from Homo sapiens, assembly GCF_000001405.40. Classification (NCBI taxonomy): domain Eukaryota; kingdom Metazoa; phylum Chordata; class Mammalia; order Primates; family Hominidae; genus Homo; species Homo sapiens. Next base: position 58,331,569 of record NC_000004.12, read on the forward strand.
GTTATAGGAATAATAAAGATGATAAAAACTGAGAACATCCATTGAAATTGTCAGCCTTCATTCTCTTATAATTTAGATCCAGTAGAAAAGAATATAATTATGTTCATGTGATACACAAGTATGCCACGCTGGAAGCAAAATTAAGATTACATTGAATCTTTAGTATTGCCTTTGTATTATCAGGATAGTTGTAATTGCTGAGAGAACTTTTGAAGACGGGCTTTTTTAATTTTAGTAATTTACATTTTCAAAGTTTAAGTAAGAAACACATGGCTATTAAACATATAAGGAGCATAAATTAATCTCAAATTGGAATCTACATGTTGAATGTGTAAGAAAAATATTTCATTTTTTTTAAATGATCAGTCATTCCAACTATATAATGCTATGAAAAAGTATACCTTTATAGTAAAGACAAATTTTGTACAGATTATGGAGTATTGAAAAGGTCAGTAAAACCAGAAAACCTATTTTATTTAGTTTTTGATAGAAAAGAGGCGTATGGCTTTGGGAAAATTACTCTCCATTTCTTATCTGTGTCCTATAGCCATGGCCCAGCTTTATGCTGGATAGTGCTAGTTTGTGCCTATGTCTTAGCAAAATATTAATCATGTACTTTTCACTGTTAAGAGTGCCTTGCTTTGGATAATACATTGTCACCTTGTTTATGTACATTAGCTTTTCTAAAGCCTAGCCATAGAAACCCATAGTGAACTGTATTCCAGGATGGTCGAATAGGAACAACTCTGGTCTGCAACTCCCAGCTTGATTGACGCAGAAGATGAGTGATTTCTCCATTTCCAACTGAGGTACCTGGTTCATCTCATTGGCAATGGTTGGACAGTGGGTGCAGTTCATGGAGGGTAAGCCAAAGCAGGGCGAGGCATTGCCTCACCCTGGAAGCACAAGGGGTTAGGATTTTTCCCTTTCCTAGCCAAGGGAAGCCGTGACAGACTGCACCTGGAAAAAGGGTACACTTCTGCCCAAATACTGTACTTTTCCCATGGTCTTAGGAACCGGCAGACCAGGAGATTCCCTCTCATGCGGGGCTCAGTGGGTCCCATGCCTATGGAGCTGTGCTCACTGCTAGCGCAACAGTCTGAGATCGACCTGCAAGGCTGCAGCCTGGATGGGGGAGGGGAGTTGGCCATTCCTGAAGATTGAGTAGGTAAACAAAGTGGCTGGGAAGCTCCAACTGGGCGAGGCCCACCACAGCTCAGCCTATATCCTTCATATACAGCCAAACCAAGCTTCACCAGTGAAGGAGAAATAAAATCCTTTACAGAGAAGCAAATGCTGAGAGATTTTGTCACCACCAGGCCTGCCTTACAAGAGCTCCTGAAGGAAGCACTAAACATGGAAAGGAACAACGAGTGCCAACCAATGCAAAAACATGCCAAATTGTAAAGACCATTAATGCTATGAAGAAACCTGCATCAATTAATGGGCAAAATAAGCAGCTAACATCGTAATGACAGGATTGATTACACACATAACAATATTAACCTTAAATTGAAATGGGCTAAATGCCCCAATTAAAAGACACAGACTGGCAAATTGGATAAAGAGTCAAGACCCATCATCAGTGTGCTGTATTCAGAAGAGCCATCTCACATGCAAAGACACATATAGGCTCAAAATAAAGGGATAGAGGAAGAGCTACCAAGCAAATGGAAAGCAAAAAAAAAAAAAAAAAAAAAAAAAAAAAAAAAAAAAAGCCGGGGTTGCAATCCTAGTCTCTGATAAAACAGATGTTAAACCAACAAAGCTCAAAACAGATCAAGAAGGGGGAGAGGTTCCAAGATGGCCCAATAGGAACAGCTCCAGTCTGCAGCTCCCAGTGTGAGCAACACAGAAAATGGGTGATTTCTGCATTTCCAACTGAGGTACCAAATTCATCTCACTGGAGGTTATCAGACAGTGGGTGCAGCCCACAGAGCTGGGCAGGGCATTGCCTCACCCGGGAAGTGCAAGGGATTGGGGAATTCCCTTTGCTAGCAAAGGGAAGCCATGACAGACAGTACCTGGAAAATCAGGACACTCCCACCCTAATACTGCGTATTTACAAAGGCCTTAGCAAACGGGACACCAGGAGATTATATCCCACACCTGGCTCAGAGGGTCCCATGCCCATGGAGCCTCGCTCATTGCTAGCACACCAGTCTGAGATAGAACTGTAAGGCAGCAGAGAGGCTGGGAGAGGGACATCGGCCATTGCTGAGGCTTGAGAAGGTAAACAAAGTGGCTGGGAAGCTTAAACTGGGTGGAGCCCACCTCAGCTAAAGGAAGTCTGCCTGCTTCTGTAGACTCCACCTCTGGGGGCAGGGCATAGCTGAACAAAAGGCAGCAGAAACTTCTGCAGACTTAAACATCCCTGTCTGACAGCTTTGAAAAGAGTAGTGGTTCTCCCAGTATGGAGTTTGAGATCTAAGAACAGACAGACTGCCTCCTCAAGTGGGTCTCTGACCCCCAAGTAGCCTAACTGGGAGGCACCTCCCAGTAGGGGCCAACTGACACCTCATACAGCTGGGTGCCCCTTTGAGATGAAGTTCCAGAGGAAGGATCAGACAGCAACATCTGCTGTTCTGCAATATTTGCTGTTCTTCAGCATCTTCTGGTGATACCCAGGCAAACAGGGTCTGGAGTGGACTTCCAGCAAACTCCAACAGACCTGCAGTTAACGGTCCTGACTGTTAGAAGGAAAACTAACAAACAGAAAGGACATCCACACCAAAACCCCATCTGTAAGTCACCATGATCAGAGACCATAGGTAGATAAAACCACAAAGATGGGGAGAAACCAGAGCAGAAAAGGTGAAAATTCTAAAAATCAGAGCATCTCTTCTCCAAAGGAACAAAGCTCCTCACCAGCAATGGAACAAAGCTGGATGGAGAATGACTTTGATGAGTTGAGAGAAGAAGGCTTCAGACGATTGGTAATAACAAACTTCTCCAAGCTAAAGGAGGATGTTCAAACCCACTGCAAAGAAGCTAAAAACCTTGAAAAAAGATTAAACAAATGGCTCACTAGAATAAACAGTGTAGCGAAGTCTTTAAATGACCTGATGGAGCTGAAAACCATGGCATGAGAACTATGTGATGCATGCACAAGCTTCAGTAGCCAATTTGATCAAGTGAAAGAAAGAGTATCAGTAATTGAAGATCAAATGAATGAAATAAAGCAAGAATTTAGAGAAAAAAGAGTACAAAGAAATGAACAAATCCTCCAAGAAATATGGGACTATGTGAAAAGACAAAATATACGTCTGATTGGTGTACCTGAAAGTGACAGGGAGAATGGAACCAAGTGGAAAGCACTCTTCAGGATATTACCCAGGAGAACGTCCCCAACCTAGTGAGCCAGGTCAACATTCAAATTCAGGAAATATAGAGAATGCAACAAAGATACTCCTTGAGAAGAGCAACTCCAAAACACATAATTGTCAGATTCGCCAAAGTTGAAATGAAGGAAAAAATGTTAAGGGCAGCCAGAGAGAAAGGTTGGGTTACCCACAAAGGGAAACCCATCAGACTAACAGCGGATCTCTCAGCAGAAACTCTACCAACCAGAAGAGAGAGGAGGCCAATATTCAACATTCTTAAAGAAAAGAATTTTCAACCCAGAATCTCATATCCAGCCAAACTAAGCTTCATAAGTGAAGGCGAAATAAAATCCTTTACAGACAAGCAAATGCTAAGAGATTTTGTCACCACCAGGCCTGCCTTACAAGAGCTCCTGAAGGAAGCGTTAAACATGGAAAAGAACAACTGGTACCAGCCACTGCAAAAACATGCCAAATTGTAAAGACCATCAATGCAAGGAAGAAACTGGGTCAACTAACGAGCAAAATAACCAGCTAACATCATAATGACAGGATCAAATTCACACAGAACAGTATTAACCTTAAATGTAAATGGGCTAAATGCTCCAATTAAAAGACACAGACTCGTAAATTGGATAGAGTCAAGACCCATCAGTGTGCTGTATTCAGGAGACCCATCTCACATGCAGAGACACACAAAAGCTCCAAAAAAAGGGATGCAGGAAGATCTACCAAGCAAATAGAAAGCAAAAAAAGGCAGGGGTTGCAATCCTAGTGTCTGATAAAACAGACTTTAAACCAACAAAGATCAAAAGAGACAAAGAAAGCCATTACATAATGTTAAAAGGATCAATTCAATAAGAAGAGCTAACTGTTTTAAATATATATATCCACCTAATACATGAGCACCCAGATTCATAAAGCAAGTCCTCAGAGACCTACAAAGAGACTTAGACTCCCACACAATAATAATGGGAGACTTTAACACCCCACTGTCAACATTAGACAGATAAACGAGACAGAAGGTTAACAAGGATATCCAGGAATTGAAGTTAGCACTGCACCAAGCAGACCTAATAGACATTTAAAGAACTCTCCACCCAAAATCAACAGAATATACATTCTTAGCACCACATCACACTTATTCCGAAATTGACCACATAGTTGGGAGTAAAGCACTCCTCAGCAAATGTAAAAGGACAGAAATTATAACAAACTGTCTCTCAGACCACAGTGCAATCAAACTAGAACTCAGGATTAAGAAACTCACTCAAAACCACACAACTACATGGAAACTGAACAACCTGCTCCCGAATGACTACTGGATAAATAATGAAATGAAGGCAGAATAAAGATGTTCTTTGAAACCAGTGAGAACAAAGACACAACATACCAGAATCTCTGGGACACATTTAAAGCAGTGTGTAGAGGGAAATTTATAGCAGTAAATACCCACAAGAGAAAGCAAGAAAGATCTAAAATTGACACCCTAACATCACAATTAAAAGAACTAGAGAAGCAAGAGCAAACACATTCAAAAGCTAGCAGAAGGCAAGAAATAAGTAAAATCAGAGCAGAACTGAAGGAGATAGAGAAACAAAAACCCTTCAAGAAATCAATGAATCCAGGATCTGTTTTTTTGAGAAGATCAACAAAATTGATAGACTGCTAGCAAGACTAATAAAGAAGAAAAGAGAGAAGAATCAAATAGATGCAATAAAAAATGATAAAGAGGCTATTATCACTGATCCCACAGAAATATAAACTACCTTCAGAGAATACTATAAATACTCCGATGCAAATAAACTAGAAAATCTAGATGAAATGGATAAACTCCTGGACTCATACACCCTCTCAACACTAAACCAGGAAGAAGTTGAATCCCTGAATAGACCAATAATGGCTTCTGAAATTGAAGCAATAATTCATAGTCTACCAATCAAAAAAAGTCCAGGACCAGATGGATTCATAGCCAAATTCTACCAGAGGTACAAAGACGAGCTGGCACCATTCTTTCTGAAATTATTCCAATGAATAGAAAAAGAGGGAATCCTCCCTAATTCATTTTATGAGGCCTACATTATCCTGATACCAAAGCCTCGCAGATATACAACAAAAAAAGAGAATTTAAGACCAATATCCCTGATGAATATCGATGAGAAAATCCTCAATAAATTACTGGCAAACCAAACCCAGCAGCACATCAAAAAGCTTATCCACCATGATCAAGTTGGCTTCCTCCCCGGGATGCAAGGCTGATTCAACATATGCAAATCAATAAACATAATCCAGCATATAAACAGAACCAAAGACAAAAACCACATGATTATCTCAATAGATGCAGCAACGACCTTTGAGAAAATTTAACAGCCTTCTTGCTAAAAACTCTCAATAAACTAGGTATTGTTCGAACATATCTCAAAATAATAAGAGTTATTTATGACAAACCCACAGCCAATATCATACTGAATGGACAAAAACTGGAAGCATTCTCTTTGAAAACTGCTACAAGACAGGGATGCCCTTTCTCACCACTACTATTCAACATAGTGTTGGAAATTCTGGCCAGGGCAGTCAGGCAAGAGAAAGAAATAAAGGGTACTCAATTAGGAAAAGAGGAAGTCAAATTGTCCCTGTTTGCAGATGACATGATTGTATATTTAGAAAACCCCATCATCTCAGCCCAAAATCTCCTTAAGCTGATAAGCAACTTGGGCAAAGTCTTAGGATAAAAAATCAATGTGCAAAAATCACCAGCATTCCTATACACCAATAACAGACAAACAGAGAGCCAAATCAAGAGTGAACTCCCATTCACAATTGCCTCAAAGAGAATAAAATACCTAGGAATCCAACTTACAAGGGATGTGAAGGACCTCTTCAAGGAGAACTACAAACCAATGCTCAATGAAATAAAGAGGACACAGACAAATGGAAGAACATTCCGTGCTCATGGATAGGAAGAATAAATATAGTGAAAATGGCCATACTGCCCAAGGTAATTTACAGATTCAATGCCATCCCCATCAAGCTACCAATGACTTTCTTCACAGAATTGGAAAAAAACTACTTTAAAGTTCACATGGAACCAAAAAAGAGCCCGCATTGCCAGGACAATCATAAGCCAAAAGAAAAAAGTTGGAGGCATCATGCTACCGGACCTCAAACTATAGTACAAGGCTACAGTAACCAAAACAGCTTGGTACTGGTATCAAAACAGAGATACAGACCAATGGAACAGAATAAAGTCCTCAGAAATAATATCACACATCTACAACATCTACAACCATCTGATCTTTGACAAACCTGACAAAAACAAGAAAAGGGGAAAGGATTCCCTATTTAATAAATGGTGCTGGGAAAACTGGCTAGCCATATGTAGAAAGCTGAAACTGGATCCCTTCCTTACACCTTAGACAAAAATTAACTCAAGATGGCGTAAAGACTTAAATGTTAGACTAAAACCATAAAAAGCCTAGAAGAAAACCTAGGCAATACCATTCAGGACATAGGCATGGGCAAGGACTTCATTTCTAAAACAACAAAATCAATGGCAACAAAAGCCAAAATTGACAAATGGGACCTAATTAAACTAAAGAGCTTCTGCACAGCAAAAGAAACTACCATCAGAGTGAACAGGCAACCTACAAAATAGGAGAAAATTTTTACAATCTGCCCATCTGACAAATGGCTAATATCCAGAATCTACAAAGAACTTAAACAAATTTACAAGAAAAAATCAAACAACCCCATCAAAAAGTGGGCCAAGGATATGAACAGACACTTCTCAAAAGAAGACATTTATGCAGCCAACAGACACGTGAAAAAATGTTCATCATCACAGGCCATCAGAGAAAATGCAAATCAAAAGCACAATGAAATACTGTCTCATACCAGTTAGAATGGCAATCTTTAAAAAGTCAGGAAACAACAGGTGCTGGAGAGGATGTGGAGAAATAGGAATGCTTTTACACTGTTGGTGGGACTGTAAACTAGTTCAACCATTGTGGAAGACAGTGTAGTGACTCCTCAAGGATCTAGAACTAGAAATACCATTTGACCCAGCCATCCCATTACTGGGCATATACCGAAAGGATTTTAAATTATGCTGCTATAAAGACACATGCACTTGTATGTTTGTTGCATCACTATTCACAATAGCAAAGACTTGGAGTCAACCCAAATGTCCATCAATGATAGACTGGATTAAGAAAATGTGGCACATGTACACCATGGAATACTATGCAGCTATAAAAAGGATGAGTTCATGTCCTTTGTAGGGACATGGATGAAGCTGGAAACCATCATTCTGAGCAAACTATCGCAAGGACAGAAAACCAAAGACTGCATGTTCTCACTCATACGTGGTAATATGAGAACACTTGGGCATAGGGTGGGGAACATCACACACTGGGGCCTGTCGTGGGGTTGGGGGAGGAGGAAGGGATAGCATTAGGAGTTATACCTAATGAAAATCATGAGTTAATGGGTGCAGCACACCAACATGGCACATGTATACATATGTAACAAACCTGCACGTTGTGCACAAGTACCCTAGAACTTAAAGTATAAAAAAAAAGAGACACAAGAAGGCCATTACATAATGATAAAGGCATCAATCCATAAAGAAGAGCTAACTATCCTAATTATATATGCACCCAAAACAGGAACACCCAGATTCATAAAGCAAGTCCTTAGAGACATACAAAGAGACTTAGACTCCCACACAATAATGGGAGATTTTAACACCCCACTGTCAATATTAGACAGATCAATGAGACAGAAGGTTAACAAGGATATCCAGGACTTGAACTCAGCTCTGCACCAAGCGGGCCTAATAGACATCTACAGAACTCTCCTCACCAAAACAACAGAATATACATTATTCTCAGCACCAAATCGCACTTATTCTAAAACTGACCGCATAATTGGAAGTAAAGCACTCCTCAGCAAATGTAAAAGAACAGAAATCACAAGAAACAGTGTCTCAGACCACACTGCAATCAAATTAGAACTCAGGATTAAGAAACTCACTCAAAACCACACAACTACATGGAAACCGAACAACCTGCTCCTGAATGACTACTGGGTAAATAACGAAATGAAGTCAGAAATAAAGATGTTCTTTGAAACCAATGAGAACAAAGACACAACGTGCCAGAATCTCTAGGACATATTTAAAGCAGTGTGTAGAGGGAAATTTATAGCACTAAATGCTCACAAGAGAAAGCAGGAAAGATCTAAAATCGACACCCTAACATCACAATTAAAAAAACTAGAGAAGCAAGAGTAAACAAATTCAAAAGCTAGCAGAAGGCAAGACATAACTAAGATCAAAGAAGAACTGAAGGAGATGGAGACACAAAAATCCCTTCAAAAAATCAATGAATCCAGGAGCTGGTTTTTTGAAAAGATCAACAAAATGATAGACTGCTAGCAAGACTAATAAAGAAGAAAAGAAAGAAGAATCAAATAGATTCAATAAAAAATGATAAAGGGGCTATCACCACAGATCCCATAAAAATACAAACTACCATCAGAGAATACTATAAACATCTCTATTCAAATAAACTAGAAAATCTAGAAGAAATGGATAAATTCCTGGTCACACACACCCTCCCAAGACTAAACCAGGAAGAAGTTGAACTTCTGAATAGACCAATAACAGACTCTAAAATTGAGGCAATAATTAATGGCTTTCCAACCAAAAAAAGTCCAGGACCAGATGGATTCACAGACAAATTCTACCAGAGGTACAAAGAGGAGTTTCCTTGTGAAACTATTCCAATCAATAGAAAAAGAGGGAATCCTCCTAACTCATTTTATGAGGCCAGCATCATCCTGATACCGAAGCCTGGCAGAGACACAACAACAACAAAAAAAAGAGAATTTAAGACCAATATCCCTGATGAACATCAATGAGAAAATCCTCAATAAAATACTGGCAAATCAAATCCAGCAGCACATCAAAAAGCTTATCCACCATGATCAAGTTGTCTTCCTCCCTGGGTTGCAAGGCTGGTTCAACATACACAAATCAATAAACGTAACCCATCACATAAACAGAACCAACAACAAAAACTACATGATTAACTCAATAGATGCAGAAAAGGCCTTCGACAAAACTCAACAGCCCTTCATGCTAAAAACTCTCAATAAACTAGTATTGATGGAACGTATCTCAAAATAATAAGAGCTATTTATGACAAACCCACAGCAAATATCATACTGAATGGACAAAAACTGGAAGCATTCCCTTTGAAAACCGGCGCAAGAGAAGGATACCCTCTCTCACCACTCTTATACAACATAGGTTGGAAGTTCTCACCAAGGTAATCAGGCAACAGAAAGAAATAAAGAGTATTCAATTAGGAAAGAGGAAGTCAAACTGTCCCTGTTTGCAGATGACATGATTGTGTATTTAGAAAACCCCATCGTTGCAGCCCAAAATCTCCCTAAGCTGATAAGCAACTTCAGCAAAGTCTCAGGATACAAATAAATGTGCAAAAATCACAAGCATTCCTATACACCAATAACAGACAAAGAGCCAAATCATGAGTGAACTCACATTCACAATTGCTACAAAGAGAATAAAATACCTAGGAATCCAACTTACAAGGGATGTGAAGGACCTCTTCAAGGAGAACTACAAACCACTGCTCAATGAAATAAAAGAGGACACAAACAAATGGAAGAACATTCCATGCTCATGGACAGGAAGAATAAATATAGTGAAAATGGCCATACTGCCCAAGGTAATTTACAGATTCAATGCCATCCCCATCAAGCTACCAATGACTTTCTTCACAGAATTGGAAAAAGCTACTTTAAAGTTCATATGGAACCAAAAAAGAGCCTGCATTGCCAAGACAATCCTAAGCCAAAAGAACAAAGCTGGAGGCATCACACTACCTGACTTCAAACTATACTACAAGGTGTAGTACACCGGTCTCACTAGTTGTACTTGTTACACATCACATGTGGATTACTGAAGCTCACTCCCAAGGTTTCTTGTTCAGAAGCTCTATTATAATCTAGAAAATCTTTTTACTTAGGTCGCGATCTTTAATGCTATTCACTGTTATGTTGTTCTGTGATTTCAGGCAAATGGGGGAACTGATCTTTGTAGGTCCCTTGTAGCTGGGTGGGGCATGTGACTAATTCTGGCCATTGAGTTGAAGCAGAAATAATGTTTGTGGCTTCTGGGATAAGACTTTTCATTGTTCTTTTTTTGTTTTGTTTTGTTTTGTTTGTTTTTGGAATAGTGACAGGCAACATTTGAGATGGCAGCTCTTCTGCCATCCTGATTCTTTGAGTGACTTCTACAAGCAGAGCTTCCTTCCTTCCCTGCTAACACTTAATGATGATCATGAACTATAAAGGATAAATAAATATGTAAATTTTTTAAAAAAATTTTTAGCCAGGTCTATCCTATCTTGATTGATATGTGATGTTTTAGTCCACATTTGAGAACACTAGATAGAATGTTTACCAATCCAAAAGTAATAATTTCTATACTAGAAGAATTACAATAAATTATGAGCTTAAATACATAACCATTTATATACATGAAACAAGAATAAAAGAGTTATAAAACTGTCTCAAAAATGGTAAGTGAAACCAGATGAGAGAAAAATTAAGATAAAAGAGTGTTTTGAAAATATCGAATTGTCACGTGTCAAATGCTGAGGAGTTAAATAAAATAAGGACTGAAGGTGTGTGTTGGATTTAGTTAAATGCCGGCAATTTTGGGCTTGGCAAGGAGTGTGGATTAGTCAGTGATGAAGATTGACATTTAATCAGTGTAAATCACTCTTTGAGATATTCTGCTGTGAAGAGAAGAATAGAGATATTGTAGAATCTGGAGGAGATGGGTGGTCCTGGGATAAACACTTTTAATTACGTGAGAGAACAAAGCAAATTTTTCAACCCTATACATTAGAATCATCTCAGGTATATATTTTTTAAATGTTCAAAACCTATGGCTAGCCAATTAAACCAGAACATCTGGGTATAGAGCCAGAGCACTGACATTTTTTAAAAAGTATTTTACATTATTATAATGTAATGTCATATCATGAGAAATCTTAAAAAAATTTAAATTCTAATGGGAAGAATCTGGTAGGCTGCAGATGTTTCTGAGAGACAGAAAAGATAATCAATAGCAATGAGTCCTAAGAATTCTGAAAGAATATGGCACCAAAGCTGATGCAGAGACATAAACTTTAAATAAACGAAGGCATTTTTCCCTCAGATTATAATATCAGAACAAAAGAAGAATATTTACAGTACATATACTTCTGTTTACTGGAGAGACAAAGGTGACAGCATTTGCATCTGATAAAAACTTCTATTTTCATCAGTGAAGCAGAGGAAAAGTAATATTCTGAGCATAAACAGATGTAAGGAGGTCAGAGGTTTACAGCAAGCTAACTTATTGGAGAAACATTGTGATCTTTCTGGGAAATATTGAGGTTCCTTATGAGACTAAAAACCAGAAATTATTAAAAACTTCTCAGACATGTGGGGTTTTTTTTCCACCAGAAATGTTCATCTACCTGAGTGTAGTCATGGACAAAGCTTTTGATTGGGTTCACTGTGGATATAGATTTGCCATAAAGTTGCAATGGGAAGGAAGTGGTGCAGAGCAATCTGGGTATTTATAAGATTGTGATTGAAATGAGAGTCTTATTGTTTAGAATTAATGCTGGATATAGAAGGAATATAGAGAAGACAACGCATACTTTATATCATATACTAGTGGCTTGATGATGTCTAAGAGCAGGAAAATGGAAACAGCAGAGACCGTAGCTAGAAAATGACGTGTTGAAATTAACAATTTTGGACACAAACTCTATTTGACTTATTGGGAGAATATAAGGCCAGGTGGCAGAGAAATATTGGAAGATAAGTGATACGGTAGGCTTTGAGTCCTCACCCAAATCTCAACCCAAATTTCATCTTGAATTGTAATCCCAGGTGTTTAGACAAATGATTGGATTATGGGGGTGATTTCCCTCAAGCTGTTCTCATGACAGTGAGTGAGTTCTCATGAGATCTCATGGTTTTATAAGCATCTGGCATTTCCCCTGCTTGCACTCCTTCTCTCTCTTGCCATGTGAGAAGGTTCAAGCTTGCTTCCCCTTCACTGTCTGCCATGATTGTAAGTTTCTTGAGGCCTCCCCAGCCATGCAGAACTGTGTGTCAATTAAACCTCTTTCCTTTATATATTACCCAGTCTCAGGTAGTATCTTTATAGCAGTGTGAAAATGGACTAATACAGAACATTGATACCAGTAGAGTGGGGTATTGCTATAAAGATACCCCAAAATGAGGAAGCAACATTGGAACTAGATAGCAGGCAGAGGTTGGAACAGTTTGGAGGGCTCAGAAGAAGACAAGAAGATGTAGGAAAGTTTGCAACTTCCTAGAGACTTGTTGAATGGTTTTGACCAAAATGCTGATAGTGATATCGACAATGAAGTCCAGGCTGATGTGGTCTCATATGGAGATGAGAAACATTGGGAAATGGAGTAAAGGTCTCTCTCATTATGCTTTAGCAAAGAGACTGGTGTCATTTTGCCCTTGCCTTAGAGATCTGTATAGCTTTGAGAGAGATGTTCTGATATTGGAACTTAGCTTTAAAAAGGAAGCAGACCATAAAAGTTTGGAAAATATGCAGCCTGACCATGCGATAGAAAAGGAAAACACATTTTCTGGGGAGAAGTTTGAGCTGGCTATAGAAATTTGAATAAGTAAGGAGGAGCCAAATGTTAATTGTCAAGATAATGGGGAAATGTTTCCAGGCCATGTCAGAGACTTTCATGGCAGCCCCTCCCATCATAGACTCAGAGGCGTAGGAGGGAAAATTAGTTTGCCAGGCCCAGGGCCCCACTCATGCTCTGTGCAGCCTCAGGACTTGGTGCCCTGCATTTTAGCCATGGCTAAAAGGGGCCAATATACAGTTCAGGTTGTTGCTTGAGAGGGTGCAAGACACAAGCCTTGGTGGCTTCCACATGGTGTTGGGCCTGCAGGTACACAGAAGTCAAGAACTGAGGTTTGAAATCCTCTGTCAGGATTTTGGAGGTTGTATGGAAATGCCTGGATGTTTAGGCAGAAGTCTGCCACACAGGGAAAGCCCTCTTGAAGAACCTCTGCTAGCGCAGTGCAATGGGGAAATGTGGGGTTGGAGCCCCCATACAGATTCCTCACTGGGGCACTGCCTAGTAGAGCTGTGAGAAGAGGGCCACCATCCTCCAGACCCCAGAATGGTAGATCCACTGACAGCTTGCATTGTTTGCCTGGAAACACTGCAGTCACTCAACACCAGCTGTGAAAGCAGGCAGAGCAGGGGGCTGTACACTGCAAAGCTACAGGGGCAGAGCTTCCCAAGGCCACAGGAGCCCACCTTTTGCATCAGTGTGCCCTAGATGTGAGACATGGAGTCAAAGGAGATTATTTCATAGCTTTAAGATTTAATAACTACCCCATTGGATTTTGGACTTGCATGGGGTCTGTAGATCCTTTGTTTGGGCCAATTTCTTCCATTTGGAATGGGAGCATTTATCCGTTGCCTGTATGCCCATTGTATCTTGGAAGTAACTAACTTTCTTTTGATTTTACAGACTCCTATGCAGAAGGGACTTGCTTTGTCTCAGATGAGACTTTGGACTTGGACATTTGAGTTAATGCTGAAATAAGTTAAGACTTTGGGGGAATGTGGGGAACACATGATTGGTTGTGAAATGTAAGGACATGAAATTTGGGAGGGGTCAGGGCGGAATGATATGTTTAGGCTTTGTGTCCCCACCAAAATCTCGTCTTGAATTGTAATCCCCAGGGGTTTAGGCAGGACCTGGTGGGAAGTGATTGGATTATGGGGGCAGTTCCCCTCATGCTTTTCTTATGATACTGAGTTCTCACGAGATCTGATGGTTTATTAAGTGTCTGTCATTTCCCCTGTTTGCACTCCTTCTCTCTCCTGCTGCCATGTGAGATGTTCCAAGCTTGCTTCTCCTTCACCTTTGGCCAGGATTGTAAGTTTCCTGAGGGCTCCCAAGCCATGTGGATCTGTGAGTCAATTTAACCTCTTTCCTTTCAAAATTACTCAGTCTCAGGTAGTATCTTTGTAGCAGTGTGAAAACAGAGTAATACTATAAGCTTCTGGTGATAAAGAGCTATAAAGTCTGATTTGCTAGTATGTTTTGGAATGATCCTTTTGATGGGAATTAATATGTTAGAATAATAAGGTTTAGGTTGAGAAGTATAGATGTAGAAAGCTTCATTGATTAATGACTAATGGTTTGGAAATTTGGAGACTGCTACACTAAGGAGAAGGAGTAGTATAGTATATGTGGTTAACTCATAGGAGCAGGATTTATCAAGCTGGGAGAGTAACTACGTGGAAAAAAACATTGGAGAGTTACGAGGACACCACTTCTACCATTTGATCTTGAGGTACATAGGGTATAAGAGAGACAGCTGTGGTGGACCATCATAGATTACAGTTACAATATGGGTGGTAGAAATTCTGATATATGATAGGTTAGTACACAGTACAGGGAGCTAAGAGGAGTTGGGATGATGTTTGGAGGAGAGATATCCTGAGAACTCTCCTTTCTTAATGTCAACATTAGGATTTCTACTGATTTGTTATAGGTGATTTGAGTGTCTTCTGCTTTTGGGAAGGAAGATGGGTTTTATCAGACAAGCTCTACATGTCTTTTCCAGTGCTTTCAGGCTTGGCATGCTCTATAGTTCACATAAAACCATCAGTGCTTTAAAGTTGCCTAAAGTAATTGTAAAATACAGTACTGATCTGTGAAGTGATATAACTCAAACCCAAAATATAAAAGAATTAGGAGTGCCTAATAGGATATAGGATACTTTCCTGAGAGCTAGAGCTCTGTCCGCATGGCAACACCATACCTTTAACTGTTGTAAGCTGCTTTGGTTACTGTTATCTCATTTATTAGAGCTGAATATAGAAATAGTGAAAATGAATTTCACTGTGACATAGACTTCTTTCTAGAGTCACATAAACTTTCCCAAAGTTCTCCAACACTGATGAAACACATACGGACCAAATGTTTCTCTATTGAGTCAACTAATAGTACAATAGTTTAGTACTATTATTAGTACACATTCATTTATCATGTTTAATACCATTATTACTATTACTATGCTTAGTACTATTATTTCTGTTAGTTTATAATAGTTTAATACTATTATTAGTACGCATGCCAATTGCTGTCTTTTCCTTTCTGTGATGTTATCTGAGACCTAAAACACAAATATTTATTAAAACACGTAAACCTCACTTAATTGAATTGGTATTTTGAACACTGGTTCTTTGAGATCTAGTGGTAATTTCTTGTAAAAGATTCACAACTGATGTAATTTAAGCTTTTAAATGTGACCTTTAAAATATCAACATGTATTTCTATCAGTCACAAAGCATATCAGTAATGTGAACATGGTGATGTAATATAAATCATGATTTAAAGTAAAAATGATAACCATTAAAAGGAGTAAAATAGGACTCTAGGAATGCAGAAGTAGTAAATGCAAGGACCCACCACCTCTGAGACTGAGAAAGGTACTAAGAATTTGGGAGAACACCATCTGTTCCTACCTCTATCCATCTAAGGCTGAGATTCTGAACTTGTTTGGGTAGTGTGTGGCTACCACAGGAATACACAGCCTACCAGAGGCAGAGACTTTGCCAGAAGGAAGAGGTGAGGACTATAAGGGTAAATTATTAGGAGACAAACATTTCATAAGCAGATGAAGACAAGGTAAAGCGAGTTTACAATAATGGTCCAGTAGATGACCAAGAAGCTTGCTGGAGGAGCAGGCAAGCTGGAGCTGGTCTCTGAGATTCACTGAGATGAACACCGTGGGCCTCTACAGGCATACCTTCTAGCAGACATGCAGACAACAAAACAATAACACATCAAAACCAGGGAGAAAGACATTTTACATTTGCTTTAGCCTTATAATGACCCTCCACTATCCCTACAAAATGGCCAAGCATTTCATTAGCTGGCAAAGGATAAATGTTTACAGAGTTCAGTCCTGGAATCATGAGGCCTCATGAAAGCATGATTTGGAACGGAGGGGCAATACACTGATAACTGTCCCAGCTTCCACATAGAAAAATTAGAAAATACTTCCTCATTCTGGGGTCTCAGTGGCAGAAGAGCAAACGTGACTGCCACGTACACACAATTTACCAATATCACTTTAGGCTTAAACATATTCAGTTCTCAAGGA
This sequence comes from Homo sapiens, assembly GCF_000001405.40. Lineage (NCBI taxonomy): Eukaryota > Metazoa > Chordata > Mammalia > Primates > Hominidae > Homo > Homo sapiens. Next base: position 58,348,167 of record NC_000004.12, read on the forward strand.
ACAATTACTGAGTAATTAAGCAATATGAAGTAATTAATTGATTTTTCTATTGAAATGTCAATTTAGACATCACCGAACAATTATAAACCTCAGTACATAAAGATTGTTCTTATATAAGATATAAAAAAGCATTTATAAGTCAGGAATTTTATTTTTTAAGCATTTTAAATATGATATGCTAGTTTTGCATGTGGATATAAATACAGGTGTGAACTGGAGCAACTCGTGTTTCTAAACATTCCATCTCTGCCCATCATCACATACCAACCCCAGATAGTACTTAGAGCCTTTAGTTAACTCTCTTCTTCAACTTCCTCTTCGGAAATGAAAATTTTCCTAAGAGGATTATCTTATTTAACTGTTGTTAGTTCCCTCTAGAGTCAAATATATATGCAGTTTTTTAAAAGGCATTATTACTGTGCAGAGAAGAAAAGTGCATTACCATTGGTTCTCAAACTTCAGTCTTATCAGAAGCCAGATGTTACATCTGAATCATGGTCTAAAACCCATATGTATTTTTTAAAATATTCTCAGATTTTTATATCTTGACATGGATTTGAAGGTTATCTTGCCCAATTATTCCAATTATTCATATTTACACTTGAGGGGAGGTCAAGGGCATGTAACTCATGATCAAGTTTACTTACTGAGTATACAATACTTACTGAGAATACAATTAGACCCATGTCATCTGAATGTTCAGTCTAATTCGACTTCCTCTTACAACTGCAGAGGTCAAACCAATTATAAAAAAAGACAATGGACAAAAGAAGAAGAGCTTAAAAGGATGGACAGAGATTCATGAAAGCGAAAGTGGGAAAATTGTGATAGACATCTAAGCATTTTCACTGGGACATGGCCTGATTCTAACTATAATTGCCTCAGCATCAAGCCAGCTCATCGATTAAAAAAATATTTGGCCATCTCATCAGCTGATTTTTGTGGCTGTTGTTGTTTTTATTGGTCTCTCTATATAACAGCCTAGGGTTGGCTTGGCTGCCTTTGCATTTCTCATTGCATTGACCCTGTAAGCTAACTAAATAATTAGGTCTTTTTTCTATGCTTCCAGAATAAATGGAATCCTGCCTGTGAAAGATAAATAGCATTGTTAATCAGCATCTATAAACCATGCTTAACAAATGGCAATACAAAATGCCCAACAAGAAAATTTAGTTGCTTTTTTTCAATTTGCCTTTACTCAGTATAACTCATGTAGAATAGCAAAATATTTCCAAGTGGTGTTCAGGCTGTGGGGAAAAGTGAGGTCACTATGTGCAGCATGGTCATAGGGCATATATTGAAGAGAATCTTAGATTGCCAATAATTTCTGGAAAGTAGAGGCCAACCCACTGGGTATTTAGCCTCAAGAATAATACAAGATGATAACAATACATTGAGCACATTTTTCAATTTCACAATGATCTCTTATTCCTGAGAATTGCCTCCTTAACCCCCAGGGATTAATAACTGTTGTATTATGTGACACTGTCATTTTGGCCACAATTAATCAGACAAGAGATAAGGTGCTGCCTCATGCTGAGCCAATCATAGTGTGTTTCTTGAGAGTTCTGGATTGGGACTCACAGACACTGTATGAGTCTCTTTGTCTATAGCTAGAATTGTAAATTATAAACTCAGAAACTGCGGGGTGCCCATCCTCAAGCATGAGAGTGGACAGAGATGGGGACTATGGCATTTAAAAGCTGACACAGATATTTGAGACAGAGAAAACTATAAGCCATAAAATTCATCTTGGATTTTTCATTCCTGGTTCCAAAACCTTGGAAATAACAATTGTCTTTTTGATCCTTTTATTAATTTCTTCACTTTTTGCTAAAGCTAGCTCCAGGATAATTTTTTAAATCACACTGAATTTTTTTCATTTAATGTATGCCATTTTTCCTTTCATCAGACCATCAACATTTATTTAACACATGTGGCCAAATGCTTTACAAAGAAAGAATAAATGAACAAATTAAACCATATGAGAAGGTCATGAAATTAATGACTCTGGTTTATGTTGATGCTGTCAACAACAGATATTCTGTCCAGCTTTTTAAAGCTCGTTTTTAATCCCAATGAATCATTCACACAGTTTATTTTTCCCTTTAATATTTATTGACTGTTTCTATATAAACCAATACCAGCTTCAGAAAAAGCACTTTGACAGATGATTTCTTTGTATGTTTTATTTTTAAAGAATTAAAGAAATAAAAAAATAAAGAAATGATTGACACATGTCTTCTAACATTTAGCAGTTTGATAGCATTTCCTAGGAGATTTCTGTGATACAGGATATTGCAGCAAATTTAAGGAAAAACAAGGATAAATAGTTTAAAATATCTGCCATTTATTTAGGCTCTTATGATCAAGTTATCAAGCAAATGGGAGGTTGTGTTAATAGAATATATAAAAACTGTCAGTACACATAAAAAATTATTATTATTAATATTAATATTGGTAAGCATAGAATAATTGTGGCAGTTGTTGAAGTACTAGTAGCAGAGTAGCTGACATTTAACAAATACCTATTCTGAGCCTGGAACTCTACTACAACTTGTATGATTTTTCTCATTAATCTTCAAAGCAGCTATAATAACAGTTATTATCATTTTAAAGATGAGGAAACAGAAAATTTGTGGTGTTAATAGTCATTTAAAAAGGTGTTTCAGATTCAACTGAGTATTTTAATTTTATATTTTGAGAAAATAAATTTTAATATATGAGAATTATACTTTAAATTTGAAACATACTCATTATAATTTTCCTTTTAAGGTTTTCCCTCCTGTCACGTTCATCCTTATTAAAGCAGGTCTTCTCCATATCTTTAAGTGTTTAATAAGGAATATGAAAAATAATTATTGCATCTTTCAACCAAAAGATTAAACCCAAAATGTCTTGTCTCAGTGTCAGAGAGCTAAACATTATTGTCTGGGGGACAGAAGCACTTACATCTTTTGTTGTCCTTTCTTCATTATTTCATAACTTTTTCTCCTTCTTTCTGCTGTTAATTTTCCCCTCAAGGTATGACATCCTCTGATATTTGAAAATGAATGACGGTTTCCTCCAAGTTTAGTGTGACTAGGTTGTTAAGATTATAAATGTGTATTCTCAGACACTTGAACATTGTTCACAAATTGTATTTTTGAAGTGTTAGCAATGTCCTCTTTGAGGGATTAATCTCTCCTTCAATAGAGATGGGGAGGAGGAGGAGCAACGCAAGTGCAATATTTGACAGACTTTATCGCACTCAGTTTTTAAAGCTTGAGACCCCGAGTTATCTCTTGAGCAATTTTTCTTCTTTTTATCTCATGTTTCTGCTTTGCCAGCTAGATCACACATTTTTAGTGCATCGCCAGAGTTTTCTGTATGCATCCTCAATGTATTTTCATCCCTATTTTCATGTCAGTTCATCTTATTTCAAGGATTTAAAGGCAAGAGCCTCAGTAAAAACATTTTACTTCACATATCTTCACCTTGTAAAATCCAGAGGAATAAATGGAACAAAAGGTGTGAGTTTGAAAGCATCTTAATCAAAGACAGGGCTGCCCCTTTATTCTTCAAGGAAAGCTTCACCTTTACCAAAGGAGGCAACTCTACTGTGGAAATTTTCATTCTAGGGAAGAAGTCTAAGAGCACATTTTGTCCTTTCTTCACTCCTAGATACCAACTAGAACTTTCAGGAAAATGTTTTGAAAAATCCAGTATATATAACCCCCTCTCTGATGTAAGAGGATTGCTTCTGGTGGGTAGAAACTTGTCAGGGATGCCAAATCTTGCAAGTAATTGGCAGGGAACTCCATGGTCTCTTTCCATAAACATCTGAGAGTCCTGTTCAAATAGAGTTTTCACTACAATTGTGTTTCTTTAGGGCATTTGCAAACTAACCATTATTCAATTTTGTTGCCGCATGCTGAAGACTAGCTCAATTAAATTATCAGAAATAGGGAGTCAAAGTATTGCAGACTACAGGGACAGAGAAATTATGACAGGTGCAGATTTCACAGGAGTAATTTTTCAGTTACTGGAAAATATTGTATGTATTATTATTTCATTAAATAAATACAAAAATTTAAAGATTCTTCTAAAGAGATGAAGAAAAAGGAAAGGAAGAGCAATAGCAAGATAATGTGCACACACACTCATGAAAAAGAGAGAAAAACGGAATTGCAGCAAATTGATCCCTTGTTTTGATAAAATATTTTCTCTGTTATAAACCAAACTTTGATTATTAGATGACTAATAAAGTTTTTTAGCAGAAACAAATAAAAGCATAATATTCTTTGTTCTGTGCAGGAAATTCTTCTAAGAGACGTCTTCCAAATGTTGATTCCTTTAATTCTTATACCTGCAGGTAAATGCTGTTGGTATACCTCAGTTTGAAACTGAGGTGTGAAGAGGTTAAATAAATTGCCCAAAGTTAACATAGTTTGTAAGTAACGTAACAGGATTACAAGACAAGCTATTGGTTGCAGAGTCTGATCTTAACTGTGTGATGCTACTTCTCAATAAGAATGGAGGCCATACAAATCTGAACATGTAAAACTATACCTTCAATAACAGGTTCACTAATAACCCTCAGGATGTATGTAAATCCTATGTGTGTGTGTGTGTGTGTGTGTGTGTGTATGTGTGTGTGTGAAGACAGAGAGAGTGCAATCCTATCTTTTATTAATTTACAATCAGTATGACTCCCAAAAGTTTAAAATGTTTGGTTCTAGTTTATTTTTGGATGGCCGTGGAATGTGTATGCCTGCACCTGTGTGCTTTGTGTGCCTATTTATTTAAAAAATAAGAGATATATTTGCTAATTTGAAAAATGTTGTGGGGGAAGGAAAGATTAGTACAAAATTCTGGGTTCAAAAGAAGCAAGAAAGAGAAGTCAATCTTCAGAAAGTGAAACTGGCCCTGTTTCAGAAGTATCCTTATTTGGAAGTTTCTGAAAACATAATTTGTTTATGCATTATTCATGCACTTGCATGTACATGTACACGCCTACAGATTCACATTATACTGAAAGAGAACTAGGGAGGAACTTAAGCCTTGTGAAACAAAACACGCTTATTTCTGCAGTGTTATTCCACTTCTGACAGATCACGTTTCTGAATGCTTGATGCTGAGTTTCTATAGCTGGCTCAAACCTGCTGTTAAATTAAGATATAAATGGTGAATTTGAATTCTACCACTGCCGTTTATCTAGAGGCAGGCTTTCTTAAGATCCAAAACTCTTGTTCTCCCAAAACAGAACAGTTATTTCCAGTTACTATTTTAATGACCTAAGGAAGCTAAAGATGGGAAAGCAAACACTATAATGGCAAAATTTGTGTTTATGAGGTCATGGTTACTACTGTAGTCAAGGGCAACTGCTAGTAACTTTTGATTTTCATCCCCATAATCCGCTAAAAGAGATATTGAAATAATAAGATGGGGGAAGATTAATTTTGGCTTCTTTCTTCAAATAGTATTTAACTAACAAATATTGTATACATGGTGATTTAAAAATAATTACAGTATGATTAATGTAAATAATATATTTTAATATTTCATATTTTATAATGTTTTCAGGATATAGGGTTCTTTTTTAATAGTCTTTCAGGAAAGGCATGGAGGATATTTATTTTTTATTTTGTTAAAAGGTATTGGAATGATACATAGAGTTTAGTCATTTGTATAAGGACACGTAGTGATAAATGAATTCCAATTTGAAGTCACCTGTGTGGTATAGGGCAGTACTTTTGAAAACTGTAGTATATGTAAGAATCACCTAGAGAGCAAGCTAAAACAGATTCCTGAGTCTCACCCCTATAGATTGTGATTTAGTAGATCAGAAATAGGACCAATATAGGCATTTTCAAAGCTCCCCGGCAATGCTCACACTGCTGCTCCACAGATCATGCTTTGAGCAGCTGGTTCAGGCAAATCTGCAATCTAATCCTAGTTGAACTAATTTTAATTGTCTTTTTCTGTAAGTTATTTAAGCTCCTTAAGCCACATTCTCCTCACTTTTACATTAAGGAAAATTATACTTACTTTTGTTATGAGAACTAAATTAAAAAAATATATGTTTAAAATGTCTAGTCTGTCATAAGAGCTCATAATAAGTGCCCTAACTCCACTCTGCTCTCTGTGGAGCCATCCTGTGGAGTTTATTGATCTCTCCAGTTCTTTTTTCTCAAGATTGCCCCTCTATTCCCATTCTGATGGAATGGAGCAAACTTTAATGCTTCATTCTGACATCTTCCTGAGAAGGTATTGAACCGAAAATTCAGCAGTTGAGAGAATTATTTATTATTAGAAATAAGTATTAAGTTCTTTTTATGACACTAGCTCCCTCCCAAGTTTGTAATACATTAATCTTTTTAATGTGCTTTTCAGAGTTATACCACAAAAAATAACTCATTAATTCAGACCATTCTGAAAAACTGAATGTGAGAATTTCAGAAAAGTCAAGGCTGAAGTTGGGCTTTTCACTATTTGTGGAAACAAATTTAGTTTAGTGAATATATTGATATATGAGTATAAAATAATTTTAAGAAATTTATTTAAGTTAATTGACATAGTGAACTAAACCAAAGCACTTTAATATGAAGTTATTTGAATTCTACACATTTTATTTGGTTTGCTGTATTATAACTATGAGCTTAGATTTTCAAATCATCACTAAACAAAACTTTATGTTTCCATCAATACAGTTACAGTTTTAAAAAGTCATCAAACTACTTTCATAGAGCATTTAAAATAATTGTTTTTTAAATATAGCATTTTAAATTTTGGTGTTACCACATATTTTGAATTTACTTTATTGAGATGTCTATAAGAAAATGTGTGGTAATGTAGAACCAAATATTCAAATTAATGCATATTAATTATATCTTCAAAAAAGTGAGGTTAGAGATGAGTTCTCACACTTCTTTTAATTTGGTAAAAAGCGGAGTACATTATTTTTAAAATAGTGTTACTTAAATTAACAATTTCTACAGCTTTGTTCTAGAAAGAAAAAGAAGGATGGTACAATACAATGAAAACATTTTGGATTTCACATGATTTAAACCCAAATAATACTTTTCAACATTTTCTCAGATACAGGACATATAAACACATCATTTCAACTAGTATTTAATGTGGATCACATTCTAGTAAATCCTTATTGATCTGTGTTGATGAATGTGTTAGGGGATAAACGAAGGTGGAAAATACTTGGATAGCTTTTTCAATTCTATCACTGGAGAAGCACCTGACTGAATTAACTCTCCTCTTTCTAATTTGCTCTTATCTCATCATAGGTTTTAGATGTCATAGGTTTTACCTAGTATCTAACTTACAATTTATCATTTTATTTTTTATCTCTGAATGCTTCTTATACAGCCTGGATGATGCTGAAAACTAACTATCCAGTGTTTTAATTTCCCTGACTTGCCCTTGGGAAGCTCCTCAAATTTGTTCTCATATTAGTTCCATTTAGCACAGCCCTGTGTTTTCAGGACAAGAAATATCTTTTTGTTATGTCCTGCTCATGAAGGCAGGTGCTGGATATTTGGAACTTAACAGTGTGAATATTTCTTAATGGTAATGGAACAAAGTGAAATTCTGCATAACTAATGTTTTTGAAGCTTCATGAAATATCTCTTATTGAAATGAAAAGTGTCTAGAAATTCTCTGAAATCACTTCAATAAAGACATAATTATAATTAGGAGATTGATTACCATCTAGACAAATGAAATAAAAAACATAAAAATGCAAACAGACCTCATTCACATATGATACTTAACCTAGATATCATCCAGTCCTTTCAGACCTGGGAGATCTTGATAGCACCATTGTAAAATTCTGATTTCAGATCCTGGGACAGTTCCTTTCCTGATTTTTTGTTCATTGCCAGGTTACTTAATGTCTTTACAGCCTCTATTGCTTCCTGGAATTCTATGTTCATGTGACTTGTCTTTTTGCATTGCAATCTCTTGAATATGAAATTCACCACATGCTATACTACAAAATTATTGCAATTTAAACAAAATATTTGTGATGCATTTGGAATTCATGGAAAGGTTGAGGTTCATGAGAAGTAACATTTCATGCAATTTAAGTCAGGTAGAATCAGTTTTCAATGCTTGTGACTAAAATAACTACAGATAATTTTTTAAAGCTACATATTAAAACCAATTCCAAATTTATGTGTTTCTAAGATACAATATAAAATTTTAAAGTTTGCATATGTCAAGTTCCAATTACATGGAATAAACAAATATTCTTTTTTATTCTTAGGTAGAGGTCCCTAAAAAGGGAGAAATTACAAACATTTTTTCCTAGAAATGGAGAGGACATAATATTTAATGCTATTCTGATGGCTTTGCATTGAAATTGGTCAAGCTAACTAGGCTGAGATTATTTTCCAAAATTTTCTTTCAAGTTACAGTGGGACACAAGAGAAATTCTTGTGTGAGTTTTGGAGGGCAGAGGTGATACTCATACTACAAAGGTTGAAGGCACAAAGTTTCAATTGGTCCTCATGGGTTCCAGGACATGCTTGTGGGTTCTAGTATGTTCTTGCTTTCCCCTACTTTAATCTTTCTTTCTTTCCAAACTGCCTGATTGTAGACTTCAGTTCCACATCATACTCAGAGTCAGTGGCTTTATAGAGACCTCTTAACTAACTCCCAATATTGCATGCAGAAAAAAACATCATAACAGGTCTCTTAATATATTTATATGTGCTCAAACGTGCTTAGGTTTAAGGCATTAATGTTAATGTTTGCAGCAGTAAAGTGGTTACTGGTAGTCCATGGCATGCATGGCCAGTAGTTTATCCAACTATCACCGGTAAATACCTGTAATGAATTGCCTATAATAAGGCAATGGGTGATATATTCTGATAAGGTTTGGCTGTGTCTCCACCAAAATCTCATCTTGAATTGTAGCTCCCATAATTCCCACATGTCATGGGAGGAATCTGGTGGGAGATAATTGAATCATGGGGGTGGGGTTTTCCCATGCTGCTCTCTTGATAGTGAATAAGTCTCACGAAATCTAATGGTTTTATAAAGGGGGGTTTTCCTGCACACTCTCTTTGTGCCTGCCACCTTGTAAGATGTGACTTTGCTCCTCCTTCACCTTCCACCACGATTCTGAGGCTTCATCTGTTTGGAACTCAATTAAACCTCTTTCCTTTTTAAATTACCCAGTCCTTGATTTATCTTTATTACCATCATGAGAATGGATTAATACAGTAAATTGGTACCAGTAGAATGTGGCGTTGCTGTAAAGATACCTGAAAATGTGGAAGTGACTTTAGAACTGGGTAACTGGCAGAGGTGGAAGACTGTGGAAACCTCAGAAGAAGATAGGAAAATGTGGAAAAGTTTGGAACTTTCTAGAGACTTGGAGGGCTCAGAAAACAGAAAAATATGGGAGATTTTGGAATTTCCTAGAGACTTGTTGAATAGGTTTACCCAAAATGCTGATAGTGATATGGACAATAAGGTCCAGGCTGAGTTGGTCTCAGATGGTGTATTAGTACATTTTCACACTACTAATAAAGACACATTTGAAACTGAGAACAAAAAGAGGTTCAATTGGACTTACAGTTCCACATGGCTGGGGAGGCCTCAGAATCATGGCAGGAGGTGAAAAGCACTTCTTACATGGTCATTGAAAGAGAAAATGAGGAAGAAGCAAAAGTGGAAACCCCTAATAAACCCCATCAGATTTCATGATACTTATTCACTATTACGAGAGTAGCACGGGAAAGACTGGCCCCCATGATTCAATTATCTCCCTTGGGTCCCTCCCACAACACATGGGAATAGTGGGAGATACAATTCAAGTTGAGATTTGGGTGGGGACACAGCCAAACCATATCAGATGGAGATAAGGAACTTGTTGAGAACTGGAGTAAAGGTCACTCTTGTTATGCAAAGAGACTGGCAGCATTTTGCCTCTCCCCTAGAGATCTGTGGAACTTTGAACATCACAGGCCTGAAGGCCTAGGAGGCAAAAATGGTTTTGTGGGCTGGGTCCACAAAATCCTACTGTATTCAGCCTCAGAACATGGTGTCCCACATCCCAACTGTTTCAGCTCCAGCTGTGGCTAAAAGGGGCCAAAATACATCTCAGGCTGTTGCTTCATGTGGTTCAAGTTCCAGCCTTGGTGGCTTACACATGATGTTAGAACTGTGGGTACACAGAAGTTAAGAATTGAGGTTTGGGAACCACTGCCTAGATTTCAGAGGATGTATGAAAATGCCTGGATATCCAGGCAAAAGTTTGCTGCAAAGGTGGGGCCATGATGGAGAACATCTGATAAGGCAGTATGGAAGAGAAATGTGATGTTTGAGCCCACACACAGAGTCCCCACTGAGGCACTTCCTAGTGGAGCTGTAAGAAGAGGGTCATGATCCTCCAAAACCCAGAATTGTAGATCCATCAACACGTTGTATCATGTGTCTGGAAAAGCCACAGACATTCAATGCCAGTCTGTGAAAGCAGCCAGGAGGAGAGTTGTACTCTGCAAAGCCACAAGGGCAGAGCGCCCAAGGCTGTGGGAGTCTACCTCTTGCATCAGTGTGACCTGGATGTGAGACATGGAGTCAAAGGAGATCATCTTGGAACCTTAAGGTTTAATGACTGCCCTATTGGATTTTGGACTTGTGTGGGGCCTGTAGCCCCTTTGTTTTGGCAAATTTCTCTCATTTGGAGTGGGTATATTTAACCAATGTCTTTATCTCCATTGTATCTGGGAAGTAATTAACTTGATTTTGATTTTACAGGCTCATGCGCAGAAGGGACTTGCCTTCTCTCAGATGAGACTTTGGACTGTAGACTTTTGGGTTAATGCTGAAATGAGTTAAGACTTTGGGGAACTGTTGGGAATGCATGACTGGTTTTGAAATGTGAAGTCATTAGATTTGGCAGGGGCCAGGGTGAAGTGATATGATTTGTCTGTGTCCCCACCTAAATCTCATCTTGAATTGTAGCTCCTATAATTCCCATGTGTCATGGGAGGGACCCACTGGGTGGTAATTGAATAATGGGGGTGGTCTTTTCCATACTGTTCGTGTGATAGTGAGTAAGTATCACAAGATCGGATGGGTTTTATAAAGCAGGGTTCTCCTGCACATGCTCTTTTTGCCTGCCAGCACATAAGACATGACTTTGTTCCTCCTCACCTCCCACTATAATTGTGAAGACTCCCTGCAATATGGAACTTCGAGTAAATTAAACATCTTTCCTTTATAAATTACCCAATAATTTACCCAATTATAAATTATCCAATCTTGGGTATGTCTTTATGTATTAGCAGAATGAGAAAGGACTAATACATATTCTCTACCATAGAACACATAAGTGGAAAGTAAGAGAGATGTGGAGTTATCACAGGATCCAGCTGGAAGCCTCTGTGGCTGGTGGCACCTTCTACCTGAGTATTGCTCATGCCCAGTGGGCTCATTCCACTTATTCTGCCCAGCAGGCTGTTCTCAGCTCATGCTTCTGTCCTGGATCTCACACCTGTCAATTGTGAGCCAGGCATGGAGAGGCAAAGTGTGTATGAGTGAGTGAGCCTAGGGTCCAGCCACCACACACAGTCAGGCACGCTGGTTCTTGCAATGAGGCAGGCAGCTCCAAATGCCAGCACAGGTGCTAGCTCTGTGCAACGCTGCAGCTGGACAAGATGTACTGCACGTGGCTTCTGCTACAGGTACTTGCATCTGGATAAGGGGAGTGTGGTAGCACCCAGAAGCTTGAAGACACCAGGAACTTCAGAAGTCCAAAGAGAGTATCACAGTCCTGGCTCAGGGGGCCCTTAGATCTGGGCTCCCCAAAGAGCTGCAGCTCTTCTCTTCTTCTCGTTGCTCATATCTGCAATGTGGTGAGTAGTGTAGGGGAGGGGGTGGCATGTTTTAATCCTGTTTGTGTTATAGCTCTTTTAGTCCTGCCATTTAGTGGGTCCTGAGTTCTTGTCCCACATCTAGAAAGAATGAGGTATGCAGACAACTGGTGGGTGAACAAGGCAGAGAGGAGCTTCATTGAGCAGCATAACAGTTCTCAGGAGACCTGAAGTGGCTAGCTCCCTTCCACAGGGAATCCTGACATCTGTGCAGCCCTCATTGGAAAGGAGACCTGGAGTTGGTAGCTCCTATCCGCAGGCAGGCTGTCCCATCATCTACCCAGAGTCTGACTGAGTCTAGGGTTTTTATGCACTTCAGAGGAGAGGAAGTACATGCTCATTGATTCATGGGTGGCCCTGGGTGGGCCCACAAAATGCACCATAAGTTCTAGTCTGTGGAACTGGAAGCCCAGCCCCCAGGCTTCAGGCCATCACTGGCTTGAAGGTGAGGCTTCATGGGCACCAATCCCTTTCCACTCAGGAGCCTGTCTGCCTCCTGCCCCCATCAACCTGCAGTCCTTGGTGCCCACAGTACCTAGGCTGTTCATGCCAAGTGGAACCTGCAGGCCCACACCAAACTGCCTTTAGCCCCACCTCAGTCTCCCTCCCATGTTCGTGGGTGTCTAAAGTCTGGAGAGGGCTGAGGTTGCAGGGGGCTGGTGTGTCAACACTGCCCCGAATGTGTGCACACCCAGCGAAGTCATGACAGTGCCTGGGCTTGGCCTCAACTTTGCTCCAAAATCAGAGCAGGCATCAAGAGCAGGGAGAGGCCAGGCAGTGGGAGTAGGTACTTCTGAGACTGCAGGGGCAGGGAGCTTTCCATGTCACCAAGAGCACAGGGATGCCCGGGTCCACAGCCACAGCTGGGCAGCTGCAGCTGTGCCTGGGAGGGCAGCCCTGCCCCTCCAACTCAGAAGGGGGCAAGGCTCCGGCCAGCTCTGTGAGTGCACAGCCCTGACTGCACCTCACCTATTGTAGCTGACATCATGGCAGTGGCCACTCCAGACAGACTACTGCTGCCATCAAATTTAATTGGTTGTTTCTGCCCTGGAGAATTTAAGGAAATAAAATGTGAAAACCAGGGCTTTCAGATTTCAATTTAAGGAGACTGAAAGCTTCTATGAGTGCCCTGAAGCTAACTCTTATCTCCTGTGTCAGTAGAGGTGATATTTCTGAGAAGAAAACTCAGTGTCTAGTCCTGCAGATTAGAATAATACTGCAAATTAAATTCACAATTTTTAATAAAGCTAGAGAAATGATTAGAAAGAAATCCAAAAGTGAAATTTGGGATGGGGACATCTGAACAGATTCCAGTGAAGCTGGGGACCTTGAACACCAAATTTTTTCTGTGTCTTCTTTGCCTGTAGAACCAGCCCTTCCACCTTGCCTGAGGAGAATAGTCTGCCCTTGACAGAAAAAAAACTGTAATTTATTCCTGTGAGACAATTACCTTGCAAGATATTGCTGATTTCTCTTCAAGGTATTTTGTTACCATCCTCTTGGTGTCTAGATCCATAATCAGATTCAACTTTTATCAGGCCCCAAAAGATCTAAGGTACAACTTGGGATCCATGAGGAAATATACTCCACACTAAAATAAGTTCACAGTTTTTCAAATACATATCAACTGAAGGCTGGGGAATATGTGTGGGAATATATGATAAGAAAAAGGGATTAAGATTGAAAGAGCATATAGTTGAATTCCAGAATGAGTCTTGTAGCTTGAGAAGCTAATAATGGTTCAAATAGTTTGCTTGGTTGGTTGACTGCAGTAAGTATCCACAAGTGGCCTATACTCAATTAATTTAAATGCCAAAACTTCTTTGTTATACTATAGATCAATTAAGGTATTCAGAGGTTTATGGAGATTGCAATGCCAGAGAAGATTTATCACATGAGACTTGCTAATTGTGAAATACAATATATAAAATGGCATCACTCTGATTCAGAGCTCTAAAATGGAGCCAGGAAGCCATTCTAAGAAGATCTACCTGCACAGCTTATAATCTTGCAAAACAGAAACTTGACATGAACTTCTGAACTGGGCCAAACCACCACTTCCACAGCATTCTGGAAAACAGCTGAATTTAGCAGTGCTGCAACCCCTGAACAGCAACAAACAATACTATGGGCTCATATACTAAGCCAGACATCTCCACCAATAATTTTTTTTTTTGGGGCGGGGGTGGGGGAATGGAGTCTTGCTCTGGAATGAATGCAGTGGTGCGATCTCGGATCACTGCAACCTCCACCTCCCAGATTCAAGTGATTTTCATGCCTCAACCTCCCGAGTACCTGGGATTACAGGGGTATGCCACTACAGCCAGCTAATTTTTGTATATTTAGTAGAGATGGGGTTTCACAAAGTTAGCCAGGCTAGACTCGAATTCCTGACCTCCAGTGATCCTCCCTTCTCAGCTTCCCAAATTGCTGGGATTACAGGCATGAGCCACCATGCCCAGCTCTACCAACAATTCTTTCAAAATAAATTCTGTAATTACCTTCAGTGTCCTTTTAGAAACTCCCCTCTGTGGAACACAATTTGGCTAGAAGCCGAATGTCTTCAGAATTTGTGATTGCTAAGACCCCAGTAAGCACTTTGTCTTACTTCTTTGTAGCTGGTCTTTCACCTCTTCTTTCTTGACATAATCTACCCCTGTGAGAGTCTAGAGAATGTGTTCTTCACTACAGCCATAATAAATAAATTCCTGAGAAAAGTCTTATCTTCCTTCAACAGCTCTGAGGTCACTCTTCTCTGTAGAAACTACTACCATTAAACTGGGATACCTATATGCATTGGGGATAATAGAATCCCAGTGTGCTGGGGCCAAATGGCAGCAGTTAATCACCACAGACAGGATGATTATAGTTATTGTAGTGGACAGTGGAATAAAAGCAGTGATCAGAATAGTCTGACCTGTGGAGACATTTCGTGTTGGCTAGTTGATCATGGTATTTCTAGAGTAAAACAGATGGGCAGGAAATTAAAGTGTTTCTTGATCTATATAAATGGGAAACCTCTAGGTCTAGTGAACAGAATTCTGACCTGATTAACCAAAACAAAGAGCCATGATTCCTTATTCATTCAACTCTCTTATCTGAACCAACTCATGGACCCAGAGTTCCATCAATCAAGTGATTGGCAGGCTTCTTCAGGAAGAATCCTCATGCACTGCCAAATATTTATAGTGTTCATCTTCCTCCTTGCCTTTCCTAAAGAGGACTGCAGCCGTTTTGCAGAATGACAGTGAATTAAGGAAGGGGGAATAACAAGACATTTTAACCAGACACTGGATCTGAACTGAAACTAAGTTATATAGTCACCTAGTCACTGTAGTTAAATATAGTCAACGTAGAAGGTAATGGTCATGTGATTGAGGAAGTTCTGATCCCAATAGCTCCTTAAACCCACTCTATGGTTATTTCTCCAGTTCTAAAATGTATAATTGAACTAGATATAGTTGACAGCTTGTCCACTCTCTACACTGGTTCCCTATTTATAAAGTAACAGCTATTTGATAGCAAAGACCAAGTAGAAACCACTAGAATAAACTCTATATACAAATATGATAAACCAAAATAAAAGCAATATCTCATTTCTAGGGGTGGTGATTTGTAAAGACTGATGACATGATCAAAAATTTGGGAAAGGTAGGGTGGTGATTTATTTTATAGTTCTGAAGGTCAAAAGTCTGAAAGATTTTGAGTAGATTCCATAATAAGCCTTTTGGGAGGTCCTTTTTAGGATATGTGTTGTAATATTGTGAAATATATATTTGATCTTTGTCTCAGTTTCCTGGCATTCAACTCCTGAAATTCTTGGAATTTTCTAAGTGATAAGTGTCTTTTTGTATGCTAATGGGTTGACTAATGATGGGCAGCCTCTAGGTAGCTTCAGGTTGGGGTCTGGTCACTGGAAACACCAAGGCAGGATTAGAGGATTGGGACTTGCAGCCCAACTCCAACCTCTGGGGAGGGGATAGAGCCTGAAGGTTAAACTGACTACCAAGGGTCAATGATTTCATCAATTATGCCTACATAATGAAGCCTTCATAAAAGCCCAAAAGGACAGAGTTCAGATGAGCATCAAAACAGCTGAACACTTTTGGAGGTTCCTGAAGATGGCATGAATTTACCCCATCTCCCATTTGTTGCCCTATGCAGCTCTTCATCTGTATCCTTGGTAATATCCTTTATAATAAACTAGTAAGTGTTAGCAAAGCTTGCTTAAGTGTTGTGAACCAATCTAGCAAATTAATTGAACCTGAGGAAGGAGTTGTGGGAACCTCAATTTATAGTCAGTAGGTCAGAAGCACAGGTAAAACAACTGGGGCTTGCAATTCACATTAGAAGTGGGGCACAGTCTTGTTACTGGAAAGAAGTCCCGATCCAGACCCCAAGAGAGGGTTCTTGGATCTCACACAAGAAAGAATTCAGGGCAAGTCCATAAAGTGAAAGCAAGTTTGTTAAGAAAGTAAGGGAATAAGAGAATGGCTACTTCACAGACAGAGTAGCCCCAAAAGCTGCTGGCTGCCCATTTTTATGATTATTTCTTGATGATATGCTAAACAAGGGGTAGATTTTTCATGCTTCCCCTTTTAGATCACATAGGGTAACTTCCTCATGCTGGTGGGAGTGTAGCAGTGAGGACAACCAGAAGTCATTCTCATAGATATCTTTGGCCAGCTTCTTTACTGAAACTTGTTTTATCAGCAAGGTCTTCATGACCTGTATCTTGTGCTGACCTCCTATCTCATTCTGTGATTTAGAATGCCTT
The DNA here is from genome assembly GCF_000001405.40 of Homo sapiens. NCBI lineage: Eukaryota > Metazoa > Chordata > Mammalia > Primates > Hominidae > Homo > Homo sapiens. The sequence continues at coordinate 58,364,826 of NC_000004.12, forward strand.
AACCCACTGGAAATGCAGCTCAGTAGGTCATAGCCTCATTTTACCCAGTCCCTATTCAAGATGGAGTTGCTCTGGTTCAAAAGCCTCTGACATTATGAAACTGAGTCCTCAACATGTGGGATCTGATGCTATCCCCAGGTAGATAGTGTCAGGTAAATTAGAGCATACCTAGCTGGTGTCCTCTGAAGAACTGATTATTTGTTGCTGGGTAGAAACCCCTGCAAAATTCTTGGAGATCAGAAGTCACAGAAGTCTTCTGTGTTGATTGTTCTGCTAACAGAGGAAAAACCATTTTGGTTTTTTTTTTCCTACTGATGTATATTTTACATATGAAAGGAAGTAAATGATTAGAGACTAGAGATGGAACTTTAGTCAACAGCCTCCTAGGTGGCCCCTAGTGATCCCTAACCCTTGATATTTATGTCTTTAATAACCTCTACTTGAGAGTTGATTTTATGATGTTTTTCTAATGAATATAATATGGCATAAGTAATATCACTTTTGAGATTAGGTTATAAAAAGATGACTTTTAAAATCTTGGGTGTTCTCTCTGTCCACCTCACCCAGGTCACTCATTCTAGGGAAAGCCAGGTAACTTGTCCTGAAGGCACTTGGGCAGCCCAGGGAGAGGCCTGTGTGGCAAGAGATTGAAGTCTTTGGCTGACAGCAGTGAGGAACTGAGGTTTGTCCACAACCATATTGATGAAAGTGAAAGCAAATACTCCCAATCAAGCATTCAGATAAGTCTATAATTCTAGCCTACATTTTAAAGAGATTTTGAGCCAGAACTGATCAGCCACACTACTCTCACATTCCTGACCCAGAGAACCCATGAGGCTATAAATATTTGTTTTTGTAAACTGCTATGTTTTGGGGTAATTTGTCATATGGCAATAGATAACTAATATAGTTCCTCTGACAAATCAGCAACATTTTCATTCTATCTATATAGATCCTGTGCAGTAACAGTGGAGTGGAAGCAATCTCAAATGTGGCAATCAAATAAAAAATAACCAAAGGAAACAGTAGATGATAACTTTTGGATCATGTTAAGAAGACAGAAACTCAATCAGTTATTCCTTTTAACTACATTAGGTCAAAACCATTTTTTTTCTGAATGAATTGCTATTCAGGTTTAACTACAATGTCTTTTCCATCCATAACTTATTGCTTACAGCATATAAAAAATTTCATGTGAAAAAATATATTAGGATAATGACTAAATATGACAATTTTGCATCATTTTCTTTATGGAAATAATTTTGAGAACCTAGTTTTATTTTAATAATATTGTTTTTCCTCTATATCTTTCTTTTCAGTCCTAGATGCCACCACTTCCTCCTATTTTACAAGCACTTATTTCTTTTGAAAATATACTTACTATTACTTAGTTATTATTTAAAATAATTCTTCCAACTAAATGATATGAGATGGGTTTTGCACACATTAGGATTTGGTTCTGTAAATAACTATGTGCACTGGTCATAGGGCAATTTTGATTTACTCAAGTTAGTGGCACAACAAATAATTTGATTTTAAAGTACTGGGATAAAAGAACACAATACACACATATATGCATTGCATATATATTATATATGTAGTTGTATATTATATATATTAGATATATATATTACATATATGGAAATGTAGAGAAAACAATTTCCATGTCAGTCTAAAAGGATAACTTATCAATCTAAAGAGATAAGTTTCTTTAGAAAACTATTATTTAACACATTGTAGAGGGTCTGTTACGTGCAGACACTGTAGGCGATTGCTATGCAACAACGAACAAAGCAGTATTTCAGTCTCTCATGGAGTCTACATTTTAACAAAGAAAGATTAGACTAAATAATAATCAGAGTAATCAAGTGAAAATAGTATGAGTTATGGAAAAAAATGAAACCAGAAAAGTGAGGTCGAATAGTGACAAGCTATAATTTTTAAATAGGCCATTGGGAAAGGGGACATTGCATAAAGATGGAAAGGGTTTGAAGAGGAGAGCTATCTAGATATTAGGAGAAGGAGCATTGCAGGCAAAGGGAGTGGCCATTGCAAATGCTCTAAAGCTGGAGCAGTCCTGGGATATTCATGGAACTGTGAGGCAGGAAACCTCATAAATGTTGGCCAGATCCTGCAGGCCTTGAGAGCCCATTTTGAGGATTTTGGCTTTTATTCTATGTAAACGAGACTTTATGCATAACAGTTATATTATCTGATAGTTGTTTCCAAAGGAGTATACCTTCTGCCACTTTGAGAATAAACTGAGAGGGGAATGGTACATTTGAAGCAAGGACACATCTCAGAATTATTATATCTTGCAGTAATTCTGCTAAAGTAATATTAACTCTGACTATGGAAATAGAATTGAAAGCAGTAAGAAGGAGGTGAATCCTGGATAGATTTGAAGATAAAGTTTTTTAGAAAGATGTTGGGTGTAAGAGAGAGGAAAAATTCAATATAACTTTAAGATTTGGAGACAGAGCAAGTGAAGGATGAAATTACTATCAGGTGAGATGTGTTTATCAGGGTAGTTTTAGAAGGGAAATGAGGAATTCAGTTCCAGACATGTTGAGATTAAAATATTTTTAGACAAATGAAATTGACAATTTGTCATGTCAATTTGGATATGAGTCAAGAATTTGACAAACAATCCAGAATAAACTGATAAACTCAGGATTTTTGGACACTTGAATAATATTCAAAATTGTGAAACTACAGAACAATATCACTGAGAAAATGAGTTCAGATATGGAGAAGATAAGATAACCAAGGAATAAGCCTAGGAACTTCTAACATCAAAGTAGAGAAAATAAAGGATATTCTAAAACATAAATAGAAAGTAGTAAGTGGTAAAATAGATCAGTGAGAAGCCGTTGAGTTGTGATCAATAAAGTAAACTTGAAAGACAAGAAGATCAGAGTATTAGAAAGCTCAAATACTCAAATAATGCAGAAATTCTAGAATAAAAACAAATCTTCTGGGTTTTTTTTTCAGGGACTAGTTGTCTTTTATTTTTTGGAAAGTTCGTCTGCTGGATTAACAAAATCACACCTGCTGGTGTGGGTGACGCCTTTGGCCACCATGCACTTGGCCCCAAGAAGGGACCACCTTAAGCTGTCACCCAGCTGTCAAGCAAGGGACAAAAGGGACAGTTACCCGGACTCAGGGCCCATTAACAGTATGAAACAGAGCAAACTGAATTCAAGGCTTCTCTTACTTCTGTAACACTTTAACTTTTCAGAGACATTCACATTCATTTCCATTGTGTGCTTAAATGACCCTTGATGTTTCCGTCATCATACACTACTCTGTGATGAAAAACCTATGAATAAAATGTTAGGCCACTTGCCAAAAGTCAAAGCTCATGTGGCAGAGTTGAAAAGAAACTCAAGCAGTGGTATTTGACTCTACTTCTAAGATTTTGTTTTCTTGTTTCTGTCCTATTTTCAAACTACATAGAAGTTCATTTGTTGGGTTTCTGTAGCCAACTCTAATTTTCCAGTCTTTGGTTGATATTCTTTCTGTCCCAGAAAAGCAAAGTTGCTCTTTCTTCTGACAAGATGGCATACTGCCATTACAGCATCCTTTAATAAGCAAACACATCTATTCAATGTCACAGCAAATTAGAAAGTACTTATTTCTGTTCAGTGAGCTAGATGAAATCAATAATCACTGGGGAGTTGCCACTATAATTCATTAGAGGCATTCACTGGCCCTCAGTAATCAGCTCAGAGAATGGAGCCAAAGTCTGACTTATCTGGGGAGAGGAAGTTAGGATCAAATGTCTCAGCTCAAGTGAAAATAGTATCTGATAATCATTACATTATACACTTTTAGACTTCAAAATAAAGTTCTTTCTAAATAATGGAAGAAATGACTTTGGAATCACCTACCAATTTTCAGAATGCAATTTATCATTTAAAAACTAAATCACAAGCCATAATCTAAAAGAAATTGTAGCAATTTTTTTTTTTTTTTGTAAATTATATTCTGATACTCTGATCTTCTTGGTCCCCCAAGTTTGCTTTATTGATCACAACTTAGCAGCTTCTTACTACTTATTACTTTCTATTTATGTTTTAGAATATTCATTTTTTTCCTCTACTTCAATGTTAGAAGTTCCTGGGCTCATTTTTTGGTAATCTTACCTTCTCTATATCTAAATTTATTTTCTCAGTGATATTATTCTGTAGCTTCACAATTTTAAATATTATTCAACTGTGAAAAAGTCCTGAATTTATAAGTCTATCCTGGATTGTTTGCTGAACTCTTGGCTCATACCCAAATTGACATGACCAGTTGGCAATTTCATTTATATGTCTATAAATATTCTAAATTGACATGTCTGGACTCTTATCTTACACTGTACACAAAAATCAACTCTGTATTAAAGACCTAAACATAAGCCATGATACCGTAAAACTTCTAGAAGAAAATATAGGGGGGAAGTTCCTTATTATTGATCTTGTCAGTATTTTTTTTGGATATCACACCAAAACTCAGGCAATAAAAGCACAAATAAGCAAGTGGGAATATATCAAATTAAAAAGCTTCTGCACAGCAAAGGAAACAATTAACAAAATTAAAAGGCAACATACAGATTGAGAAAAATACTGGCAAATCATATATCTGATGAATGTTTAATATCCTAAATTCATAAGAAACTCATACAATGCAACAGCAAGAAAAACTCAAATAATCAGATTTTTTTTTAATTGATCAAAGGACCTAAGTAAACAATTCTCTGAAGAAGACATAAAAATGGCCAACAGGTATGTGAAAAGATGTTCAACATCACTAATAATCAGGAAAATGCAAATCAAATCATAATAAAATATTACCTCACACCTGTTTATGATGGATATTATACAAAGGATAAGAGTTAACAAGTGTTGGTGAGGATGTGGAGAAAAAAGAACCCCTGTATACTGCTGTTGAGAATGTACATTGTAAATTGTTACAGCCATTATAAAAACAGTATGAAAGTTTCTCCAAAAATGTAATAGATTTTTTAACTTAACATTTATTGTAACAACAACAAAAGTATATAAACATGAATAATCATATACCTTCTTTAACTCAAACCAAAATTTCCAATTTATATTCCTTGAGAAAGCCAATGTTACTTAATTATAAATTATAGTATTGTCTTAAACATTTTTAATATCTCTAAAGTGTACATATATGCACACATACACATATACAGGAAATCTATTGTTGAATGAAAATTAGTTTGTTTCAGAATTCGAAGAGTCAACAGTTTTTGTTTAAAGAAATAGGATCATAACATTTAAGTATAATATACTCTCAAATTATAGGTCTTCTGGTATAGTCTAGCAAAATATCACAGAGAAAATTGAAATGTGTTATGTGATTACCTATCGATCCAGGGGAGTGAGAAAAGTGTCTGTATTATGCATCCAAATATGCAGGTATTTGCCACTGGGTGTATAAACATTTGAACAATGGGAAAACAGTACATAAACCAAGAAAGAACCTATGTGAAGGCAATGTTGAATGATTAATTAAACTTTGACTTTTCCTTAAAATTGTCCAGACCATTTTATAAACCAATAATTGATTTATTCCTGATTTGCCCTATTTTCCTCTTTCATGTATTGTCATAATAGTATATAAAATCTATTTAAAAATCTTCAGGGACATTTTGAGATATATATACATTTAAAAGAAATTCCATTTAATTTTAAATTTAGGGGGTACATGTGCCTGTTTCTAATAAAGGTATACTGAATGGTGCTGAGGTTTGGGCTTAAACTGATCCCATCACCAAGATAGTGAACATGGTACCCGATAGGAAGTTTTTCAGCCCTTCCTCTCTCTATTCCTCCACTCTTTGGGAGTACCCAGTGTCTTTTGTTCCCATCTTTATGTCCATGCATACTGAAGATTTAGCTCCTACTAACAAGTAAAAAAGTAATACATGGTTTTCTGTTTCCGCATTAGTTTGCTTAGAATAATGGCCTCCAGCTGCATCCGCATTGCTGGAAAAGGTGACTTCTGTTTTATGGCAGCATAGCACTCCAAAATGTACATGTACCATATTTTCTTTATGCAATCCACCATTATTGGACTCCCAGATTGATTCTATGTATTTGCTATTGTGAATAGCGCTACAATGAACATATAGCTGCATGTGTCTTTTTGGTAGAATGGTTGCATTTTACTTTGGGTATATATCCAGTAATAGGGTTGCTGGGTCAGAGGGTAGTTCTATTTTTAGTGCGTTGAAAAATCTCCAAACTGATTGTGATCGTTAATATTGAGTGTCAACTTGATTGGATCGAAGGATGTAAAGTATTGTTCCTGGGTGTGATTGTGAGGGTGTTGCCAAAAGAGACTAACATTTGTGTCAGTGGACTAGGAAAGGCAGACCCTCCAGCAGTCTGGGTGAGCACAATCTAATCAGCTGCCAGAGTGGCCAGAAAATAAAAGCAGGCAGAAGAACACGGAAAGACGAGACTGGCCTAGTCTTCCGACCTACCTCTTTGTCCCATACTGGATGCTTCCTACCCTCAAATATTGGACTCTAAGTTCTTCAGCTTTGGGACTGTTGGACCTTCAACCACACACTGAAGGCTTCACTGTCAGCTTTCCTATTTTTGAGGTTTTGGAACTCATACTGGCTTCCTTGTTCCTCAGCTTGCAGGCAGCCTATGGTGGGATCTCACCTTGTGATCCTGTGAGTCAACACTCCTTAATAAACTTCCCTTTACACATACATTTATCTTATTAGTTCTGTCCCTTTAGAAAACCCTGACTAACATACTGATTTTCACATGGGCTGAACTAATTTACATTCCCATGAACGTGTATAAGCATTCCCTTTTCTCTGCAACATTACCAACATCTACTATTTCTTGACTTTTTAATAATAACTATTTTAGCCAATGTGAGATGGTATCTCTTTGTGAATTTATTTGCATTTCTCTGATAATTAGTGATGTTGAGCAATTTTTTATGTTTTTTGGCCACTTGTATGTCTTCTTTTGAAAAGTGTCCACATCAGCCAGGGGCAGTGGCTCACGCCTGTAGTCCCAGCATTTTGGGAGGCCGAGGCGGGTGGATCATGAGGTCAAGATATCGAGACCGTCCTGGCTAACACGGTGAAACCCCGTCTCTACTAAAAAAATACAAAAAATTAGCTGGGCGTGGTGGCGGGTGCCTGTAGTCCCAGTTACTCAGGAGGCTGAGGCAGGAAAATGGCGTGAACCCAGGAGTTGGAGCTTGCAGTGAGCGGAGATCCTGCCACTGCACTCCAGCCTGGGCGACAGAGTGAGACTCCATCTCAGAAAAATAATAATAATAAAAATAAAAATAAAAAAAGAAAAGTGTCCATGTCTTTTGCCCACTTTTTAATGGTTTTTTTCTTGTCGATTCACTTAAGTTTCTTATTAATTCTAGATATTAGTCCTTTGTCAGATGCATAGATAGCAAATACTTTATTCCATTCTTTAGGTTGTCTGCTTATTGAGAGTTTCTTTTGCTGTGCAGAAGATCTTTAGTTTAATTAAGTCCAGTTTGCTTATTTTCATTCTGTTGCATTTTTTTGGGGGGTGAGGTTTCATCATAAGTTCTTTACTGGACCATTATCCAGAAGAGTACCTCCTAGATTTACATCTAGAATTTTTATAGTTCGAGGTCTTACGTTTAAGTCTTTAAACTATTGTGAGTTGATTTTTGTATGTAGTACGAGGTACAAGGTCCAGTTTCATTCTTGTGCATATGGCTAGCCAGTTTTCCCAGTACTATTTATTGAATAGGGCGACCTTTCCCCATTGTTTATTTTTTTCAGTGTTGTCAAAGATCAGTTGGTTGTAGGTGTGTTGCTTTATTTTAGGGGTCTTTATTCTGTTTCATTGGTCTATGTGTCTAATATTGTGCCAGTTTTTGGTATTGTAGCCTTGTAGTAGAGCTTAAAGTCAGATAATGTGATGCCTCTAGATTTGTTCTGTTTGCTGAGGATTGCTTTATCTCTTCAAGCTCTTTGGTGGTTCCAATTAATTTTAGAACTTTTTTTTTCTATTTCTCTGAAAAATGATGTTGGTGATTTCATAAGAATGGCATTGGATCTGCAGATTGTTTTAGGCAAAATGGCCATCTTAACAATGTTGATTCTTCCAATCCATGAGCATAGACTACTTGTTTGTGTTGTCTCTGATTTCTTTCAGCAGTATTTTGTAGTTCTCCTTGCAGAGATCTTCAACCTCCTTGGTTAGGTATATGCCTGGTGTGCAGGCATGCATGTGTGGGTGTGTGTGTGTGTGTGTATGTTTATTATAAATGGAATTGTGCTCTTGATTTGATTCTAAACTTGAATACTGTTGGTGTATAGAAATGCTACAAATTTCTGTGTCTTAATTTTGTATCCTGAGACTTTATTTAAGTAGTTGATAAGGTCTAGGAGTCTTTTTATTTATTTATTTTTATTTTTATTTTATTTTATTATTATTATACTTTAAGTTTTAGGGTACATGTGCACAATGTGCAGGTTAGTTACATATGTATACATGTGCCATGCTGGTGCGCTGCACCCATTAACTCGTCATGTAGCATTAGGTATATCTCCTAATGCTATCCCTCCCCCCTCCCCCCACCCCACAACAGTCCCCAGAGTGATATTCCCCTTCCTGTGTCCATGTGTTCTCATTGTTCAATTCCCACCTATGAGTGAGAACATGCGGTGTTTGGTTTTTTGTCTTTGCGATAGTTTACTGAGCATGATGATTTCCAATTTCATCCATGTTCCTACAAAGGACATAAACTCATCCTTTTTTATGGCTGCATAGTATTCCATGGTGTATATGTGCCACATTTTCTTAATCCAGTCTATCATTGTTGGACGTTTGGGTTGGTTCCAAGTCTTTGCTATTGTGAATAGTGCCGCAATAAACATAAGTGCGCATGTGTCTTTATAGCAGCATGATTTATAGTCCTTTGGGTATATACTCACTAATGGGATGGCTGGGTCAAATGGTATTTCTAGTTCTAGATCCCTGAGGAATTGCCACACTGACTTCCACAATGGTTGAACTAGTTGATAGTCCCACCAACAGTGTAAAAGTGTTCCTATTTCTCCACATCCTCTCCAGCACCTGTTGTTTCCTGACTTTTTAATGATTGCCATTCTAACTGGTGTGAGATGGTATCTCATTGTGGTTTTGATTTGCATTTCTCTGATGGCCAGTGATGGTGAGCATTTTTTCATGTGTTTTTTGGCTGCATAAATGTCTTCTTTTGAGAAGTGTCTGTTCATGTCCTTCACCCACTTTTTGATGGGTTGTTTGTTTTTTCCTTGTAAATTTGTTTGAGTTCATTGTAGATTCTGGATAGTAGCCCTTTGTGATGGTAGTTTCTTTTGCTGTGCAGAAGCTCTTTAGTTTAATTAGATCCCATTTGTCAATTTTAGCTTTTGTTGCCATTGCTTTTCGTGTTTTAGACATGAAGTCCTTGCCTATGCCTATGTCCTGAATGGTAATGTCTAGGTTTTCTTCTAGGGTTTTTATGGTTTTAGGTCTAATGTTTAAGTCTTTAATCCATCTTGAATTAATTTTTGTATAAGGTGTAATCAAACTAGAACTCAGGGTTAAGAAACTCACTCAAAACTGCTCAACTACATGGAAACTGAACAACCTACTCCTGAATGACTACTGGGTACATAACGAAATGAAGGCAGAAATAAAGGTGTTCTTTGAAACCAACGAGAACAAAGACACAACATACCAGAATCTCTGGGACACATTCAAAGCAGTGTGTAGAGGGAAATTTATAGCACTAAATGCCCACAAGAGAAAGCAGGAAAGATCCAAAACTGACACCCTAACATCACAATTAAAGGAACTAGAAAAGCAAGAGCAAACACATTCAAAAGCTAGCAGAAGGCAAGAAATAACTAAAATCAGAGCAGAAATGAAGGAGATAGAGACACAAAAAACCCTTCAAAAAATTAATGAATCCAGGAGCTGGTTTTTTGAAAGGATCAACAAAATTGATAGACTGCTAGCAAGACTAATAAAGAAAAAAAAGAAAGAAGAATCAAATAGATGCAATAAAAAATGATAAAGGATCCCACAGAAATACAAACTACTATCAGAGAATACTACAAACACCTCTATGCAAATAAACTAGAAAATCTAGAAGAAATGGATAAATTCCTTGACACATACACCCTCCCAAGACTAAACCAGGAAGAAGTTGAATCTCTGAATAGACCAATAACAGGCTCTGAAATTGTGGCAATAATCAATAGCTTACCAACCAAAAAGAGTCCAGGACCAGATGGATTCACAGCCGAACTCTACCAGAGGTACAAGGAGGAACTGGTACCATTCCTTCTGAAACTATTCCAATCAATAGAAAAAGAGGGAATCCTCCCTAACTCATTTCATGAGGCCAGCATTATCCTAATACCAAAGCCTGGCAGAGACACAACCGAAAAAGAGAATTTTAGACCAATATCCTTGATGAACATTGATGCAAAAATCTTCAATAAAATACTGGCAAACTGATCCAGAAGCACATCAAAAATCTTATCCATTATGATCAAGTGGGCTTCATCCCTGGGATGCAAGGCTGGTTCAATATATGCAAATCAATAAATGTAATCCAGCATATAAACAGAACCAAAGACAAAAACCACATGATTATCTTAATAGATGAAGAAAAGGCCTTTGACAAAATTCAACAACCCTTCATGCTAAAAACTCTCAATAAATTAGGTATTGATGGGACATATCTCAAAATAATAAGAGCTATCTATGAGAAACCCACAGCCAATATCATACTGAATGGGCAAAAACTGGAAGCATTCCCTTTGAAAGGTCTAGGAGTCTTTTGGTGAAATCTTTAGGGTTTTCTAGATGTGAAATCACATTGTCAGTGAAGAGAGATAACTTGACCTCATCTTTTCCTGTTTAGATGCCTTTTGTTTCTTTCTCTTGTCTGATTGATCTGGCTAGAACTTTTATGTTAAACAGAAGTGATGAGAGAGAACATCCTTATCTTTTCCAGTTTCTAAGGGGAATGTTTCCAGTTTTTGCCTGTTCTTTATGATGTTGGCTATGGGCTTGTCACAGATGGCTCTTATTATTTTGATGTATATTCTTTCGATGTCTAGTTTGTGAAGGATTTTTATCATAAAGGTATGTTAGATTTTATTGAATGTTTTTTCTGTCTATTGAGATGATCATACATTTTGGTTTTTAATGTTGTTTATGTGGTGAATCATATTTATTGATTTGCACATGTTGAACCATCTTTGCATTCCAAAAATAAAGCTCATTTGATGATGGTGAATTATGTTTTTGATGTGCTGCTGGATTCAGCTTGCTGGTATTTTCTTGAAGATTTTTGTGTCTATTTTCATCAGGAATATTGGGCTCTAGTTTTCTTTTTTCTTGTGTCTTTGCTACATTTTGGTATTAGGGTGATGCTGGTTTCACAGAATGAATTAGGAAGAAGTCCTTCCTCCTTGATTTTTTGGGAATAATTTCTGTAGGATTGGTACCAGTTCTTCTTTGTACATCTGGTCAAATTCAGCCATTAATTAATCTGGTCCAGGACTTTCATGGTTGATAGGTTTTTTATTATTGATTCAATTTCATTAGTCATTATTAGTCAGTTCAGGATTTCTATTTCTTCCTGGTTCAATCTTGGGAGGTTGTGTGTTTCCAGGAATTTATTCGTTTCTTCTAAATTTTATAATTTTTGTGCATAGAGATGTTCATATTAGTCTCTGAGGCCATTCTGTATTTCTGTGGAATTGGATGTGACATCACCTTTGTTATTTCCATCTTTGCTTATTTGGATTTTCTCTTTTTATTTTTCTCTGTTAACCTAGATTGCTGACTGTTAATGTTGTTTATCCTTTCAGATAAGCAAGTTTTAATTCAGCATATCATTTATATATATATATATTTTTTTTTGGTTAGCAATTTCACTTAGTTCTGACCTGATTTCAGTTATTTCTTTTCTTTTGCAAGCTTTAGCTTTAGTTTGTTCTTGCTTTTCTAGTTCCATTAGGTGTGAGGTTAGGTTGTTTATCTGAGATATTTCTATCTTCTTGATGTAGATGTTTCATGCTGTAAACTTGTCTCTTAACACTGCTTTTGTGATATCCTGGAGGTTTTGTATGGTATATCTCTATTCCATTTGTATCAATTAACTTTTTTATTTCTGTCTAGATTTTGCTTACACAAAAGTCATTCAGGAGTAAGTTGTTTAGCTTCCATGGATTTGTGTAGTTTCAAGAGTTTCTCTTGGTATTATTTTCTATTTTTATTCCATTGTGGTCCAAGGAGATACTTGATATTATTTTGAATGTTTTTAATTTATTGAGACTTGCTTTATGAACAATCAAGTAGTCAGTATTCAAGTACACTTATGTGCAGATGAAAAGACTGAATATTCTGAGGTTTTGGGGTACGGTATTCTGTAGATGTCTATTACATCCAATTGTTAATGTCAAATTTAAGTCTAGAATTTTTTTTTGTTAGTTTTCCTTCTCAATGTTTTGTCCCAGAATGTCAGTGGTGTATTAAAGTCTGCCACTGTTATTTTGCAGCTGTCAAATTTTTTTTTTTAGATCGAGAAGTAGTATTTTTTAAATCTGGGTGCACCAATGTTGGTGTGTATATATTTAGAATAGTCAAATGTTCTTCTTGAATTGAATCCTTCATCATTATGCAATGCCTTTCTTTCTCCTTTGTTACCATTGTTGGATTAAAGTCTATTTTATCTGATACCTGCTCTTTTTTGCTTTCCGTTTGTTTGATAGTTCTTTCTCCATCCTTTTACTCTGAGCATATGTGTGTCATTACAAGTTAGATCATCTCTTGCATGCAGCAGAAAAATAAGTCTTGATTTTTAATCCAATTTGTCACTCTATGTCTTTTAAGTGGATTATTTAGACTGTTTATATTCAAGGTTAATATTGATATAGAAATTTTATTCTTGTCATAGTGTTGTTAGCTAATTGCTTTGTAGTCTCATTTGTGTAATTCATTTATAGGATCTGTGGGCTATGTACTCGTGTGCTTTTGTGGTAGCAAGTATTTTTCTTTCATTTCCATGTTTAGAACTTCCTTAAGTCTCTCCTGTAGGTTTGGCCTGGTGGTGGCAAATTCTCCTAGCAATTGTTTGTCTTGGATAGACTTGATATCTTCTTCATTTATGAAGCCTACTTTGGCAGGATATAAAATTCTTGGCTGGCATTTCTCTTTTTTAAGAATGCTAAAAATGCGCCCCCCTGCCCCCCCAACTTACCATCTTTTCTGGCTTTTAATGTTTCTGCTGAGAAGTCAACAGTTAGACTGACGGGTTCCCATCTATAGGTTATGTGATCTTTTCTCTAGCTGCCTTTAAGATTTTTTTCTTTTGCTTTGACCTTGGATATTCTGATGGCTGTATGTCTTGGGGATGGTCATCTTTTATAGTATCTCAGAGGAGTTCTCTGGATCTCTTGTATCTGCGTGTGGAACTCTCTAACAAGATTAGGGAAATTTTCTTGAATTATATCCTGCAATATGTTTTCAAAGTTGCTTGCTTTCTCTTCTTGTCTCACAGGAATGGCTACGATTTGAATATTTGGTCACTTTACATAATCTCATGTTTCTTGAAGGCTTAATTCATTTCTTAAAATTCTTTTTTCTTTTTTTTTAATTAAATAGGTCAATTTGAAGGGCTTGTCTTCAGACCTTGAAATTCTTTCTTTTGCTTGATCTAGTCAATTGTTAAGGCTTCCTACTGTATTTTGAAATTCCTGTAGTGATTTTTTATTCAAATTCCAGGAGATCTATGTGGTTCTTTCTTACTTTAGCTATGTCATCTTTCAATTCTCAAATCAATTTCATTTATTCTTTATAGTGGATTTCAACTTTCTCTTGGATCTCATAGAGTTTCTTTGCCATCCATATTCTGAATTCTGTATGTGTCATTTCAGACATTTTATTCTGGTTGGGATCTATTGCTTGGGAGCTAGTGGGATCCTTTGGATGTAATAAAACATGCTAATTTTTTGTATTGCCAGAGTTCTTGTGCTGATTCCTTCTCATTTGAGAGAGCTGATGTTTCCTTTTGTTGTGAATTTGCTATTATTTGACTGGTGCTTCTTGATTTTTTATTCCTTTTTTCTTTTGGAGGTATAACTGCAAGGTATATTGTGTATGATCAATTGGCTTCATTTCTGTTATTTTCTCAGGGTGTCAAGGCTCTGAATAGGTTTCTTGGTTACAGATAGGTTTATGCAGTGGCTTTCTTAGATGTTGCTTGTTGTAGTAATGTAATTTTGTTTGGTAATTCAGGCTCCAGTCCAGTAGGTGACACTTAAGAATAAGAGCTGACAGGTAGGGGGGAGGGGCACAGATAATGGAGAAAGATGAAAATTGTCTTCTCCTGGTGAGCATTCACCTTCAGTGGAGGTGCAGTTGCTGCATAAACCCAATAAGCAGTCTCTTTCAGCCCATGCTCCCTGGGGCCTGATGGGAAGCATTGCTGCTGATTCCACATAGCTTGTGCCATGCTTATGTTTCCATTAACCCAAGGGGGTCTTTGGTAGACTGGGCAACATCCTCCTTTAGAGGCTGACCGTGCTGAGGGTCATATCACTGGTTCTGTGTGTTTTTAGTGGCAAAGAGTCTTTATAAGTTTCCTGATTTTAGCCTTTTTATGGGGCTTACCCAAATACTGGTTGTAGTAGTCATGTACTGAACATGTTAGCAAGCTCACTGCCTCCTGTGAGGTGGCAGTGGCAGCAGTCTCAGGAAACTTATCTCTTTCCCCAGTGCTGTGTGCTTATGTCAGTAGATTTTCTATAGTGTTGCACCATTCAAGTGTCAGGCCTCTAGGTAGCTCCTATGGGTTAGAGTCAACTGCGGCCAACATGACTGGGTATATACTTGATCCTTGTTTACTGGGGGAAGGTCTCTGTTGTCTCTGGTAATGGGCTGATCTGTGGAGTATGCAGTGGTTTGAGTTCCCTGTTCAGCTTCAGAGTGGGGGCAACAAGATAGGCAGGGCTAGACAAAGCATGCCTGCCCACAGGTCCCCCAGTGGTAGGCACAAGCAGCAGCTCCAAGGGGGAAGTTCAGTGGATGGCCATCAAGAGCCCAGAGATGTGCCTAGGTGTTGAGCTGGGAAACCTCTGCCCCAAGTTCTCTGCACAGGGAAGGGTGGCCGTCTAAACTCCTAGTCCAGGAGAGTGAATGCTCCAAATACATGGAGAGCTTCCTGGGCATGGAGTGGAGAGGGCCCAGCTACAGCATAATCTCTCCACAGGAAAGATGGGTGGCTTATGCTGCTAATCTAGGTGAGTGGGACATCTTAAATATATATACGTATGCACACAGAGACATTTGTCACTTAATGACAGGAATACTTTATTAGAAGTGAACCATTAGGCAATCTGTCATTGTGAGAACGTCATAATATACAAACATAGCCTACTACACACCTAGGCTATGTAATGAATCCTATTGTTCTTAGGCTACAAACCAGCAAAGCATGTAACTATACTGAATGCTGTAGACAATTTTAACACAATTGTACTTTTGTACCTAAACACATCTAATCATAGAAAAAGTATAGTAAAAAACATGCTATTAGAATCTTAAAAGACCACTATTGTAAAGGTAGTGTGTTATTGACTGAAACTTTTTTATGCAGCACATAATTACATGTAATTATGGCAAAATATAAAAAAGAAACATTAAATTTACCATCTTAACCATGTTTTTAGCATTCAGTTCAGTAGTACTAACTACATTCCCATTATTGTGCACCCAATTTCCAGAACTCTTTTCATCTTTAAAAACTGAAATTCTATACTCATTACACAACAATTCACAATTCCTTTCCCAAGCTTCCGACACCACAATTCAACTTTCTGTCCCTATGAATTTGACTACACTAGATACTTCATAAGAGTTAAATCATATAGTATTTGTATTTTTGTGACTGACTTCTTTTTTTTTTCTTTAAGTTCTGGAATACATGTGCAAAACATGCAGGTTTGTTACATAGGTATACATATGCCATAGTGGTTTGCTGTACCTATCAACCTATCACCTAGGTTTTAAGCCCCACATGCATTTGCTGTTTGTCCTGATGATCTCCCTCCTCTCAACCCTCTTCCTACCAACAGGCTCCCATGTGTGTTGTTCCCCTCCCTGAGTCCCTGTGTTCTCATTGTTCAGCTCCCACTTATGGGTAAGAACATGCAGTGTTTGGTTTTTTGTTCCTGTGTTAGTTTGCTGAGGATGATGGCTTCCAGTTTCATCCATGTTCTTGCAAAGGACATAATCTCATCCCCTTTTATGGCTGCATAGTATTCCATGGTGTATATATACCACATTTTCTTTATCCAGTCTATCATTGATGGGCACTTGGGTTGGTTCCATGTCTTTGCCATTGTAAATAGTGCTGCAGTAAACATACATGTGCTTTATAGTAGAATAATTTCATTTCCTTTGGGTATATACCCAGTAATGGGATTGCTAAGTCAAATGGTATTTCTGGTTCTAGATCCTTGAGCAGTAATCACAGTGTCTTCCACAATGGTTGAACTAATTTACATTCCCACCAACAGTGTAAAACTATTCTTATTTCTGCACAGCTTTGCCAGCATCTGTTGTTTCTTGACATCTTAATAATTGTCATTCTGACGCATGAGATGGTATCTCACTGTGGTTTTGATTTGCATTTCTTTAATGATCACTAATTTTGAGCTTTTTTTCATATGTTTATTGGCTACATGTCTTCTTTTGAGGAGTATCTATCCCTATCCTTTGCCTACTTTTAGATGGGATTGTTTGCTTTTTTCTTGTAAATTTGTTTAAGTTCCTTGTCGATTCTGGATAGTAGATCTTTGTCAGATGGGTAGATTGCAAAAATTTTCTCCCATTCTGTAGGTTGCCTATTCACTCTGATGATAGTTTCTTTTGCTTTGCAGAAGCTCTTTAGTTTAATTAGATCCCATTTGTAAATTTTAGCTTTTGTTGCAGTTGCTTTTAGCATTTTTGTCATGAAATCTCTGCCCATGACTATGTCCTCAATAGTATTGCCTAGGTTTTCTTCAAGGGTTTTTATGGTTTGGGGTTTTACATTTAAGTCTTTAATCCATCTCATGTTAATTTTTATATAAGGTGTAAGAAGGGGTCCAGTTTCAGTTTCTGCATATGGCTAGCCAGTTTTCCCAGCACCATTTATTAAATAGGGAATCCTTTTCCCATTGCTTGTTTCTGTCAGGTTAGTCAAAGATAAGATGGTTGTAGATGTGTGGTATTATTTCTGAGATCTCTGTTCAGTTACATTGGTCTATATGTCTGTTTTTGTACCAGTACCATGCTGTTTTGGTTGCTGTGGCCTTGTAGAATAGTTTGAAGTTAGGTAACATGATGACTTCAGCTTTGTTCTTTTTGCTTAGGATTTTCTTGGCTACACGGACTCTTTTTTGTTTCTACATGAAATTTAAAGTAGTTTTTTCTAATTCTGTGAGGAATGCCAATGGTAGTTTGATAGGAATGGCATTGAACATAAATTACTTTTTCAAGATATTGATTTTTAAGATATTGATTCTTCCTATCTTGATATTGATCAAGATTCTTCCTATCCATAAAGATGTATTTTGTGTATGTGTGTGTGTGTCCTCTCTTATTTCCTTGAGCAGTAGTTTGTAGTTTCCTTGAAGAGCTCCTTCAGGTCCCTTGTCAGCTGTATTCCTCAGTATTTTATTCTCTTTGTAGAAATTGTGAATGCAAGTTCACTCATGATTTGGCTCTCTGCTTGTCTATTGTTGGTGTATATGATTGCTTGTGATTTTTGCACATTGATTTTGTATCCTGAGACGTTGGTGAATTTGCTTATCAGCTTAAGGAGTTTTTGGGCTGAGACAATTGGGTTTTCTAAATATAGAATCATGTCATCTGCAAACAGAGATAATTTGACTTCCTCTGTTCCTATTTGAATACCCTTTATTTCTTTATCTTACTATATTGTCTTGGCCAGAACTTCCAGTAGTATGTTGAATAAGTGTGGTGAGAGAGGTCATCTTTGTCTTGTGTTGGTTTTCAAAGGGAATGCTTCCAGCTTTTGCCCATTCAGTATGATATTGGCTGTGGATTTGTCATAAATAGCTCTTATTATTTTGAGATGTGCTCCATCAATACCTAGTTTATTGAGAGTTTTTAACATGAAGGAATGTTGAATTTTATCAAAGGACTTTCTGCATCTATTGAGATAATCAGTATTTTGCCCATTCAGTATGATATTGGCTGTGGATTTGTCATAAATAGCTCTTATTATTTTGAGATGTGTTCCATCAATACCTAGTTTATTGAGAGTTTTTAACATGAAGGAATGTTGAATTTTATCAAAGGCCTTTCTGCATCTATTGAGATAATCATGTGGCTTTTTTCACTGGTTCTATGTGATGGATTATATTTATTGATTTTCATATGTTGAACCAGCCTTTCATCCCAGGGATGAAGTCGATTTGATCCTGGTAAATAAGCTTTTTGATGTGCTGCTGGATTCAGTTTGCCAGTATTTTATTGAAGGTTTTTGCATCAGTGTTCATCAGGGATATTGGCCTGAAGTATTTTTGTGTGTGTGTGTCTGCCAAGTTTTGATATCAGGATGATGTTGGCCTTATAAAATGAGTTAGGGAGAAGTCCCTCCTTTTCAATAGTTTGGAATAGTTTCAAAAGGAATGGTAACAGTTCTGTGTATCTCTGGGAGAATTATTTGGCTGGGATTCCATCTGGTCCTGGACTTTTTTGGTTGGTAGACTATTTATTACTGCCAATTTCAGAACTTGTTATTGGCTTATTCAGGGTTTCTTCTTTCTGGTTTAGTCTTGGGAGGGTGTATGTCTCCAGGACTTTACCCATTTATTCTAGATTTTCTACTTTATTTATATAGAGATATTTATCATATTCACTGATGGTAGTTTGTATTTCTGTGGGGTCAGTGGTTTTATCAGTTTTTATTGTTTCAATTTGATTCTTCTCTGTTTTCTTTTTTATTAGTCTAGCTACCGGTTTATTTATTATATTTTTTCAAAAAAACAGCTCCCAGATTCATTTATTTTTGAAGTATTTTTCATATCTCTATCTCCTTCAGTTCTACTCTGATCTTAGTTATTTCTTGTCTTCTGCTAGCTTTTGGATTTGTTTGCTCTTGCTTCTCCAGTTTTTTTAATTGTGATGTTAGGGTGTTGATTTGAGATCCTTCTAGCTTTCTGTTGTGGGCATTTAGTGCTATAAATTTCCCTCTTAATACTGCTTTAGCTGCATTCCAGAGATTCTGGTACGTTGTCTCTTTGTTATCATTAGTTTCAAAGAACTTCTTGATTTCTGCCTTAATTTCATTATTTACCCAGTAGTCATTCAGGAGCAGGTTGGTCAATTTCCATATAGTTGTGTAATTTTTAGTGAGTTTCCTAATCTTGAGTTTTAATATGATTGCCCTGTGGTCTGATAGACTGTTATAATTTCAGTTATTTTGCATTTGCTGAGGAGTATTTTAATTCCAATTATATGGTCAATTTTAGAGTAAGTGTCATGTGACACTAAGAAGAATGTATATCCTGTTGTTCTGGGATGGAAAGTTCTGCAGATATTTATCAGTTCCACTTAATCCAGAGCTGAGTTCAAGTCCTAAATATCTTTGATAATTTTCTGCCTTATTGATCAGTCTAATATTGATAGTGGGGTGTCAAATATAGTCTCCCATTATTATTGTGTGGGAGTCTAAATCTCTTTGTAAGTCTGTAAGAACTTGTTTTATGAATCTGGGTGATCCTCAGTTGGGTGCATATATATTTAGGATAGTTAGCTCCTCTTGTTGAATTGAACTTTTTACCATTATGTAATGTCTTTGTGTGTCTTTTTTGATCTTTGTTGGTTTAAATTCTGTTTTGTCAGAGACTAGGATTGCAATCCCTGCTTCTTTTTACTTTCCATTTGCTTGGTAAATCTTCCTCCATCCCTTTATTTTGAGCCTATGTGTCTTTGCACTGAGACAGGTCTCTTGAATACAGCATACCAATGGGTCTTGACTCTTTATCCAATTTTCCAGTCTGTGTCTTTTAATTGGGGCATTTAGCCCATTTACATTTAAGGTTAATATTGTTATGTGTGAATTTGATCCTGTCACATGATGTTAGGTGGTTATTTTGCATATTAGTTGATGTAATTTCTTCATAGTATAATTTGTCTTTATATTTTGGTGTGTTTTTGCAGTGGCTGGTACCAGTTTTTCCTTTCCATATTTAGTGCTTCTTTCAGGAGCTCTTGCAAGGCAGTAGTGATAAAGTCCCTCAGCATTTGCTTGTCTGGAGAGAATTTTATTTCTCCTTCATTTATGAAGCTTAGTTTGGCTGGATATGAAATTCTGGGTTGAAAATTCTTTCCTTTAAGAATGTTGAATATTGGTCTTCCCTCTTTTCCCGGCTTGTAGGGTTTCTTCTGAGAGCTCCATTGTTATTCTGATGGGCTTCCCTTTGTAGGTGTCCGGTCTTTCTCTCTGGCTGCCATTAACATTTTCCCCATCATTTCAACCTTGGAGAATCTGATGATTATGTGTCTTGGGGTTGATTTTCTCATGGAGTATCTTAGTTGTGTTCTCTGCATTTCCTGAATTTGAATTTTGACCTGTCTTGCTAGACTGGGGAAGTACTCCTGGTTAATATTCTGATGTGTCTTTTCCAACTTGGCTCTATTCTCCCCACCTCTTTCAGGCACTCCAGTAAATCATAGGTTTGGTCTTTTTGCATGGTCCCGTATTTCTCATAGGTTTTTGTTTGTTTCCTTCTCATTCTTTTATCTCTAATCTTGTCTGCCTGCCTTATTTCAGCAAGATGGTCTTCAATTTCTTTATTTTTTCTTCTGCATGATTGATTCGACTATTGATACTTGTGTATGCTTCATGAAGTTCTCATGTCATGTGTTTCAGCTCCATCAGGTCATTTATGTTCCTGACTAAACTGGCTCTTCTAGTTAGCAGCTCCTGCAACCTTTTATCAAGGTTCTTAAGTTGTTTGCGCTGGATTAGAACACACAACTTTACCTCAGTGGAATTTATTATAACCTACCTTCTGAAGCCTACTTCTGTCAATTTGCCCATCTCATCCTCCATCCAGTTCATCCAACTCTGCACCCTTGCTGGAGAGGTGTCGCAACCATTTGGAGGAGAAAAGGCACTCTGGCCTTCTGTGTTTTCAGTTTCAGGTTTCTGTGGGGACTTTTTTTGTTGATGCTGTTGTTGCTTTCTGTTCGTTTTTCTTTCAATAGACAGGTCCCTCTCCTATAGGGCTGCTGCAGTCTTCTGGGCGTTAACTTCAGGCTCTATTAATCTGGTTCACCCATGTGCCTGGAGATGTCACTTGAGGAGGCTGAAGAACATCAAAGATGGGTGCCTGCTCCTTACTCTGAGATATCTGACCTTGAGGGACACCTACCTGATGCCAGTAGGGTCACTCCTGTATAGGGTGTCTGACAACCTCTGTTGGAGGGTTTCTCCCAGTTTGGTGGCACAGGGAACAGGACCCATTTAACAAAGCACTTTGGCTGTCCCTTGGTGGAAGGGGTAAGCTGTGCTGGGGGAAACCCACTCAACTGATCTGCCTAAATTCCTCAGATCTACTAAGAAAGACTAAGTCTGCTGGTCAGCAGAGACTATGGCCACCCCTTTCCCTAGGGGCTCAGGCCCAGGAAGATCAGAGTTCTGCCCCTGAACCCTTGGCTGGAGTTGTTGGAGTTCTTGCAGGGAGGCCCCATTCAGTGAGGAGCAATGGATTAGGGTCCAGCCTGAAGAGGCACTCTGGCCACAGTATCCCACAGCCAGTGTGTTGTCCTGTGGGGAATACCTCTTAGGAGCAAGCCATCCAGCCTCCCTGACTCCAGCAGAGGAAAGGCGTAGACTCGAGCTATAGAGATGGCTGCCGCATTACCCATCCCCACACCCCCACCGACTACTCCCTGGGAGCTTAGTGTGTTAGGCATCTAGCAGCCCCAGTGTTGGCTGTCACCCCTGCCCCAAGGAGCTCAGATAGCTTAGAGAGCAGGCAGCTGCAGCTGTGATGATGACCGCCTTCCTCCCCTCTGCTCCTCTGCTCCTCCCCAAACTTGGCAGGCTTAGGCAGATTCTAGCCAAATAGCTGTTGAGAATCTGCATGGCTCTCTGATTGGGACCCTACGCCCCACTGGCATGGGCTCATGAGTGGAATTTTCTGATCTGTGGTTTGCACATTTCCATGGGAAAAGTGTGGTTTTCCAGGCCAGGTAGCATGCACACTCACCACTTCCCTTGACTGGGGAGTGGGGGCTCTGCTGCCCCATGTGACTCTTAAGTGGGCCACCCCACCAGACTACTCTTCCTTCCTCTCAGTGGGTCACGCCAGCCACTTAGTCAGTTATGAAGACAGAACCCAGTTACTTGGTTGCTGGTGCAGGATTTGCACACTGTTTTGGTTCTTTTCAATGGGAGCCTTTGATTGCCACTGCTTCTAGTCAGCCATCTTGGTCCCACCCTGACTAAGTTATTTCATGTAGCATGATGCCCTCAAGTTTCATCCATGTTGTATGATGTGTAAGAGTTTCCTTACTTTTTAAGGATAAATAATATTCCATTGCACATTGTTATGGTTAATATTGTGAGTCAACTTGATTGAATTGAAGAATGCAAAGTATTGTTCCTATGTGTGTCTGTGAGGGTGTTGCCAAAGGAGATTAACATTTGAGTCAGTTGACTGGGAAAGGCAGACTCGTCCTCAATCTGGGTGGGCACAATTTAATCGGCTGCCAGCATGGCCAGAATAAAAGCAGGCAAAAGAATGTGGAAAGGCTTGACTCATTTAGTATTGTGTGCTACATCTTTCTCCCATGCTGGATGCTCCTGTCTTGAACAGCAGACTCCAAGTTTTTCAGCTTTGGAACTCAGACTGGCTTTCTTGCTCCTCAGCTTGCAGGCAGCCTATTGTGAGACCTCACATTGTGATCATGTGAGTCAATACTCCTTAATAAACTCCCCTTACATACATATCTATCCTATTAGTTCTGTCCTTCTAGAGGACCCTGACTAACACACATGTGTACACCATGTTTTGTTTACCATTCATCTTTCTTGAAAATTTGATGCTTCTACCTTTTGACTATTGTAAACTATGGCATTGTGAACTTGAGCATGCAAATAACTCTTCAAGCCTTTTCAAAAATAGTGTAGTGGTTTCTGAAAAAAAATTAAAAATATAATTGCTATTATGGCCTAGCTATTCTTCTTCTGAATATATATCCCACTGAGGTATATATAGTTACTGCACTATTTTTTATTGCCACCAATAGCACACAAGGGTTCCACTTTCTCCATGTCCTCACCAATACTTAGTTTCTTTTTTTCTTATTGTTGCAATCCTGATTGGTGTGAAGTGATAACTCATTGTGGTCTTGATTTGCATTTGCCAAAGGATTGGTTATATTGAGAATATACTAATGTGCTTGTTGACCATTTGTATGTCTTCTTTAAAGAAACATCTATTCAAATTTATTGCTTATTTTAATTGGGTTGTTTTGTTATTGTTATTGAATTTTAGGTGTTCTTTATATATTCTGAATAATAATCTGTTATCAGATATCTGACTTGCAAATATTTTCTCCCATTCAGTAAGTTGTTCTTTCACTTGGCTAATTTTGTCCTTCGATGCACAAAAGTTATAAATTTCTTTTTTTTTTTAATTTTATTATTATTATACTTTAGCTTTTAGGGTACATGTGCACAATGTACATGTTAATTACATATGTATACATGTGCCATGCTGGTGTGCTGCACCAATTAACTCGCCGTTTAGCATTAGGTATATCTCCTAAAGCTATCCCTCCCCCCTCCCCCCTCCCCCCACCACACAACAGTCCCCAGAGTGTGATGTTCCCCTTCCTGTGTCCATGTGATCTCATTGTTCAATTCCCACCTATGAGTGAGAATATGCAGTGTTTGGTTTTTTGTTCTTGCGATAGTTTACTGAGAATGATGATTTCCAATTTCATCCATGTTCCTACAAAGGACATAAACTCATCCTTTTTTATGGCTGCATAGTATTCCATGGTGTATATGTGCCACATTTTCTTAATCCAGTCTATCATTGTTGGACATTTGGGTTGGTTCCAAGTCTTTGCTATTGTGAATAGTGCCGCAATAAACATACGTGTGCATGTGTCTTTATAGCAGCATGATTTATAGTCTTTTGGGTATATACCCAGTAATGGGATGGCTGTGTCAAATGGTATTTCTAGTTCTAGATCCCTGAGGAATTGCCACACTGACTTCCACAATGGTTGAACTAGTTGACAGTCCCACCAACAGTGTAAAAGTGTTCCTATTTCTCCACATCCTCTGCAGCACCTATTGTTTCCTGACTTTTTAATGATTGCCATTCTAACTGGTGTGAGATGGTATCTCATTGTGGTTTTGATTTGCATTTCTCTGATAGCCAGTGATGGTGAGCATTTTTTCATGTGTTTTTTGGCTGCATAAATGTCTTCTTTTGAGAAGTGTTTGTTCATGTCCTTTGCCACTTTTTGATGGGGTTGTTTGTTTTTTTCTTGTAAATTTGTTTGAGTTCATTGTAGCTTCTGGATATTAGCCCTTTGTCAGTTGAGTAGGTTGCAAAAATTTTCTCCCATTTTGTAGGTTGCCTGTTCACTCTGATGGCAGTTTCTTTTGCTGTGCAGAAGCTCTTTAGTTTAATTAGATCCCATTTGTCAATTTTGTCTTTTGTTGCCATTGCTTTTGGTGTTTTAGACAGGAAGTCCTTGCCCATGCCTATGTCCTGAATGGTAATGCCTAGGTTTTCTTCTAGGGTTTTTATGGTTTTAGGTCTAACATGTAAGTCTTTAATCCATCTTGAATTAATTTTTGTGTAAGGTGTAAGGAAGGGATCCAGTTTCAGCTTTCTACATATGGCTAGCCAGTTTTCCCAGCACCATTTATTAAATAGGGAATCCTTTCCCCATTGCTTGTTTTTCTCAGGTTTGTCAAAGATCAGATAGTTTTAGATATGCAGCATTATTTCTGAGGGCTCTGTTCTTTTCCATTGATCTATATCTCTGTTTTGGTACCAGTACCATGCTGTTTTGGTTACTGTAGCCTTGTAGTATAGTTTGAAGTCAGGTAGCGTGATGCCTCCAGCTTTTTTCTTTTGGCTTAGGATTGACTTGGTGATGTGGGCTCTTTTTTGGTTCCATATGAACTTTAAAGTAGTTTTTTCCAATTCTGTGAAGAAAGTCATTGGTAGCTTGATGGGGATGGCATTAAATCTATAAGTTACCTTGGGCAGTATAGCCATTTTCACAATATTGATTCTTCCTACCCATGAGCATGGGTATAAACTTCAATATAGTTCAATTTATCTAATTTTACTTCCATTTTGTGTACTTTGGTGTCATATTTAAGAACTCATTGCCAAATACAATGTCATGAAGCTTTTTAGTCACGCTTTCTTCTAGTAGTTTTGTGATGTTAAGTCTTATATTTAGGTCTTTGATTCATTTTGAGTTAATTTTTGTACATGGTAAGGTAAGGGCCCACCTCATGTAGATATCTAGTTTTCCCAATATTATTTGCTTAAAAGAGTATTCTTTTTCCTATTGAATGGTCTTGGCACCTCTGTAGAAAACATTTGATCATATAAACGAGGATTCAATTCTGGGATGTCTATACTTTGTCTATATGTCTGCCTTTATTCCAATACCACATTGCTTTTATTACTTTAGCTTTGTAACAAGTTTTGAAATTAGGAAGTATGAGACTTCACACTTTGTTATTTGTTAATATTGTTTTGGTTATTTAGGGTACCTTGACATTTTATAAATTTTAGGATCTACTTTTCTATTCCTGAATAGAAACAAGATTTCAATTTTGATAACGATTGCATTATATCTGTATATTTCTTTGAGTAGCATTGTCATCCTAACAATATTAAGCCTTCCAATCAATGAACATGGAATATCTTTTCATTTCTTGTGTGTCTTAATGTCTTTCAGCAACATTTTGTACTTTTCTGTGTACAAATCTTTCATTGCCTTGGTTCAACTTATTCCTTAGTATTTTATGTTACTTTATTTTTTGATATGAGACCAGGTAGGTCTTATAGTATGAAGTCTACCCTAGAATCATCTATGTTGATAAAAGGGTCTGGTTGGAAATTCTGAGTCTACTCTGTTCATCAGAGGTCTTGAAATTTTAATCAACCTGGTCTTGTGGTATCATGCTCATATCAGAATCACCCATATGGATAAATGAGTAGTTCTGGGGATTCCCAGGCACACTTCTGTTCATCTGAGCTCAAGAAGCTGCATTGGTAGTTCTCTCATTAATCCTCTGGAGTGCCAATTTTTGAGCCTGCTGGTGTATCTCTCCCTGGAAATTCACTTCATCAGTATGTAATCATTAAGAACTTTTAATTGCAGAAATAGCTCAGAACCACAATTTTCCTTAGAAGCAGTCTACTTGAGAAATGCAACGTTTTTGACTTGAATGAAATGGGGTTTACATAATTTTCACAATTGTGAACATTACTAATTCTATAGGCAATGGGATGAAACTAAGTGCTGGAATCTAACAAGTCTGGGTTCAAAACCATCAAGTGGCACTCAGATCATTTATTCATTTATTTTTTAAAAAGTTAACCAGAAAATACACAGCTCATTACATTGTTTCAAATACCAAATGGCACAATATATATAAAGTGTCTTTGGTGGGTAGGCTTTCTGGGAATTACCAAGATTCCATTTGCTAATCACGAGCACCTATGAAGGCGATAAGTATTTTATGTTCTATGGCACAGACGACTTTTAAAAAGGATAAATTATTCAAATGAGCCTTAGTTAATCACATGAACTCTTAAACAGAGAACTTTCTTTGGATGATGACAGAACAGCACAGCAGAAGAGGCAGTCAGATTTGAAGCATAAGAAGAATTCAACACCCTGTTACAGCTTTGGACTTGGAGGAGGACACAAATTAAAAAAAAAAAAATGCAGAAGGCCTCTAGCAGCAGAAAATGATTCCTAGCTGACAGACAGCAAGGCAAAAGGAACTTTAGATCTAAAACTGCAAGGAACTTTATTCTGCTGATATCCGAATAAGCTTAGAAGCAGATTCTTCCTGCAGCCTACGTATTAGTAACCAGTCGATTCACCACTTTTCTTTCAGCTGTGAGATATCCTAAGAAAACTCCCAGTCATCCCAGACGGATTTTTGACCTAATGTGTGTTGGTTTTAGGCCACTAAGTTTGTGATAGCTTGTTATACAGCAATAGAAAACTAATATAGGGCCCCAAACAACATTTGCACGTTGAAAGTGTTCAATAAGTGTTAACTCTCTTTCATTCTTTATGCAAATGATAACATGTTTGTTTCTCACACAGACTAGTTTCACTTATATTTGCCTAAATGAACAAAATTCTTCCCATGCAAGGCATAACTGAAATCCATTTTTCTGAAGAAGCATTATGTGGTCACTCCAGGGAAAAGTATATATATTTCTTTTTGAATTATCATAACAGTTTTGTTTGTATCTTTTCACCACATGAACTGTATTTTGATGTTTATTATAATTGTGAGTGGATATCTTACCTCCAGAACTAGACTACACATCCTTTAAGGGCATGACTAGACTTTATTCATCTTTATTTCTGATTTATCCAGTTGGTACCACAACTTGTACACATTTGTATCACTTCAAATATTTATTGAGCAAATATATATTTACTGATTCATTATTTAAGATAGTCTATAATCAAATATGTTTAATTAATCAGAAGATGTCTTACAGATTAAAATAGAATTTTCAGTGGAGTAGTTGATAAACACTTATGTAATAAATATCTGCTCACATATACCCAGTAAAAACTGTACATAAAATAATCATTGCTAATTATTGTATTTTGAGTCCAGCATTTCATTTGTAGCTGTTCAATTGTCTGATTTATTTCCTGTTTTGCAAGCGAACTGATTTTCTCGCTGCTCCAAGGTAACAGGTGTCCCATAAATGTTGAACAAGAGAAAAAGCTTTGGGAAAGTATCTGAAACATGAAGATTAAAGCTTTGATGTGAAGAATTATCTACCCTTTGAAGAGGGCCAAAAGTCATCAATAATCATTATAGTATCTTACAGGGGGAATGTAATTTAAAAACATTTGTCAAATACTCTTTAAAAAATACTACCTTAAAATTTGAAAGTTGAAAGAGTTCAGAATCTAAATGTTTTCCAATGCTTTATCTTGTCATTACTTCTCAGTAGCTTTCAGAAAGGTCATTAACTTATATGTAAGAAACTCAGAGTTTACATTTTTTTCTTTGATAGCTCTAAAACCTGAAAATAAATATGCAGGGATAAAGTTATATTAGTTCTGTTTATATAAATTAGTGTTTAAAGTCAGATTTCTGGGTTAAATATAATGATAAGAAACAGCAAATTCAGGATATTAAATAAATAATCAGAATTCCTGCTTAACACAAAATGAAATTATGTATTTAGAAAGGTCAAAATGCACTTTCAGAGGGAATTCACTATATATTTTAAATAAACTAATAAGAGATTTTACAGTTATATATTTATTTTGTTATTAAAATGAACCATTTATGTCTATAAATGACATTTTTAAACTTTAGATATTATTTTACCAAAAAAAATGTAGAATAATTCTCACTCTTCGGTGCTACTTTTTTTTTTTTTTTTTTTTGAGAGGGAGTCTCGCTCTGTCACCCAGGCTGGAGTGCAGTGGCTAGATCCTGGCTCACTGCAACTTCTGCCTCCTGGGTTCAAGTGAATCTCCTGTCTCAGCCTCTCAAGTAGCTGGCATTACAGGTGCCCACCACTATGCCTGGCTACTTTTTTTGTATTTTTAGTAGAAACGGGGTTTCAACAAGTTGGCCAGGCTGGTTTTGAACTCCTGACCTCAGGCGATCTGCCTGCCTTGGCCTCCCAAAGTGCTGGGATTACAGGTGTGAGCCACCATGCTTGGCCCAGTCCTACGTTTTTATGTTCTTAAAAGTTTTGTATTTTTGGAAGGCTAAACATCAATTTTAAACCAATTGGTTTATAATGGTTGACAATAAAAAATATGGCTTAGTGTCATTTGGGATCATTTTAGCTGTGGTAATTCTTTCAATAATAGCATTCCTTAAAATAAAAATAAAAGATATACATGCATATATGTATATTTGTATTTTTAGTTTTGTCTTAATTAAAGTACAGTCATATAAGGAAAAGAAGAAGACAGGTAAAACCTATAGCACTGTAACCAAAATAATATTGGGGATTTTAACAGCCAAGGATGTTGCTGAGTTGAAGAAACAAAAAGAAAAAAAGAACCTGTGTTAAACAATATACTTAATGATTAAACAAAACACATAAGATTGAAGATAAGGTTCAGCTAAAAGACTGAAAAAGAAAAATTTGTTTTATCTGAATATCTTGTAGCGATTTCTGCAAATGTAAACTACTTCTTAGAATAGTGAACATTAGTATGACTGCATGTTTAGGAGGAAAAGAGGAAACAAAAGATAGGTGCAATGTCTCAGAGGAGGCATTGTGTGTAAATGAAAATACATTTGTGTAAAGTAGATGATTGGTGCAAGTAGTCTTTTTGAAAATTAATGAAAGAAATAGTAATAATAGTAACTAAATAAAACAAAAGTCTTCTTTAGTTTGTCTCTTTAGAATTTCCAAAAGGTTTAGTAATTAAGATGACATTCAGAGGTCACAATTTATTGTTAGTACTATGATGATCAAAATTGTCCACATCCATATATGTATAGAACTTTAAAGTCTACAAAAATATGTGTATGAATATATGTATTTATAAATTATAATAAATGTACAGTAATTCCTCTCTTAACTTTGTCAATAGGTTCTTGGAAACTGAGACGTTAAGAGAAGTGACATAAATTTTTTTTTTAAATCAAGGTTGTAAGAAAACTATATTCCCCATCTCTACTAAAAATACAAAATTATCTGGGCATGGTGGTGCATGCCTGTAATCCCAGCTACTCAGGAGGCTGAGGCAGGAGAATCACTTGAATGCAGGAGGTGGAGGTTGCAGGGAGCCCAGATTGCATCATTGCACTCCAGCCTGGGTAGCAAGAGCAAAACTCTGTATCAAAAAAAAACAAAGAAAGAAAGAAAGGAAGAAAACTACATTGAAGGACACTACTTTATTCAAATACCCACTGTCCATCATTTCCCTTAAAGTTGCAGTTTCCAAGAACTTGTTGATGATGTTAAGTAAATGTTTAGTGTTTATAAATATAGATCTACATTATTTCACAACATTTGGATTATTACCCTGACATTACAAATAAGGAAACTTAGGTTCAGAGAGTCAAAGTGGTTTGACTAACAATATATGTCTTAGTCTGTTTGGACTGCTTTAACATAAATATCATAGACTGGAAGCTTATACACAATAGAAATTTATTTCTTACAGTTCTGGGAGCTGGGAAGTGTAAGATGAAGAGTTTGTCAGATTCAATGTCTGGTGACCACATGCTTCATAGGCAGCCATTTTTTGCTGTGGTCCTCACATGGTGGAAGGGATGAGGCAGCTCTCTGGGGACACTTTTACAAATGCACTGTCTCAGTGAGCCAGAACTACATTCCTTTGGGAGGTTCTAGGTAAAAATCTGTTGTTTTACCTTTTCTAGCTTCTAGGGGGCCACTTCATTCTTGGCTCATGACCTCTTTCTCTATGTTGAAAGCACATCACTTCAACTTCTACTTCTTTCTGACTGTATCTCTCCTGCTTCCTTCAATCTAAGAACCCATGTGATTACACTGAGCTCAAGGATCAGCCTACCTGAGGTTCACTGCTGCCACCAATAATGCCCATGTACCCAGCCCACAGGCCCAAGGACTGTCCTGCTTGCTGTTGGCTCACAGCATATCTGGGGCCCACCACCACCACCACCACTGGTATCTAAGTATGCTGCCCAAGGGTGCAAGGACTGGCCAGCCCAGGGCCTGCCACAGCAACCACTGGCACTCAATGTCACCACTCCCGCCTCCAGTGGCAAGGCTGCCAAATGTCTTTACACATTGCCAAGTGCACTAGGACCAGCCTGTCTAGTGTCTCCTTTCCCAGTAAAGTCACTCCATAGCCTTCACAAACAAACATAGACTAGCCCATTGAGGAACTAGCAAATATTGCTAACATTGATTATAGCTGAAAAAATTTTACAGTGACTACAGTAATCCACCCACCTAGAACCAAAGCCTAAACACCCTACTCAACTAACACTATATATATATCTGTAGGAAAAAGTATTACCCTACAAAATCTACTCCACAAAATTGGAAGAAGTGACTGTTACACCAGATGCACAGATAACAATTCAGGGACACAAAAAAACATAAGAAAGCAAGGCAACATGACACCTACAAAGGAATAAAATAATTCTCCAGAAATAGACCCCAAAGAACAAGTAAACAATATGTAATTCCTGAAAAAGAATTCAAAGTAATGATCTTAAAGAAACTCAGTGAGATACCAGAGAACACAGATAGACAACACAAAGAAAACAGAATAAACAATTCAGCAAAGAAATAGAATAATAATAAAACTGAACACAAATTCTTAAACTGGAAAATTTAATAAACAAAATGAAAATACAGTTGAGAAATTCAATAAGATATTATATCAAGAAAATAAATAATTTTTGACCTTGAAGACAGGACTTTTGAAATAGCCCAGTCAGACAAAAAAAAAATAACAACAAAAAAAAAAGAAGAAAAAATAATTTTAAAAAACCCCTTGACGTATGGGACATCATTTAAAGAAATATTAACATTTTGAGATGTCAGAAGAAGAGACAGAGAAAGGCATAGGGAGCCTATTTGATGAAATAGTAGCTGAAAACTTCTCAAGTCTTGGGAAAGAAATAGATATCTAGATAGAGGAAGCTCAAAACTTCCCAAATACATTCAACTCAAAAAGGTCCTCTCTGAGGCACATTTTAGTCAAACTGTCAAAAGGCAAAGACAGAGAATTGACAAAGAGAGAATTCTAAAATCAGC
Organism: Homo sapiens; assembly: GCF_000001405.40. Taxonomy (NCBI): domain Eukaryota; kingdom Metazoa; phylum Chordata; class Mammalia; order Primates; family Hominidae; genus Homo; species Homo sapiens. The sequence goes on from NC_000004.12 coordinate 58,396,909, forward strand.
CAGAGAAAAGCGTCAAGTCACATATATGAAAATCCCCATCAGACTACCAAGAGATTTCTCAGCAGAAACTGTTCAGTTCAGGAGAGAATGGGATGATACATTCAAAGTATTCAAAGTGTTATATATATATAAAAAAAAACTACTAGACAAAAATACTATACACAGCAAAGCTATTCTTCAGAGATGAAGAAGAAATAAAGTCTTCTTCAGACAAACAAATATTGAGGGAATTCATCACACCTAGACCAGTCCTACAAGAACTAAGGGAATCCAAATCTGGAAGTGAAAGGACAATATCTACCTTTATGAAAACACACAAAGTGGAAAACACAAAGGAGTGTAAAACATACTAATGGTACAGATATATAAATGAAAAAGAGAAGGGAAAACTACCATATGATCTAGCAGTACTGAGTATTTATTCAAAGGAAAGAAAACCAGTTCACTGAAGAGATATATGCACCCCCATGCCTATTGAACCACTATTTACAGTAGCCAAAATATAAAATCAACCTATTTTTTAATCAACAGATAAATGAGTAAAGAAGATGTGGCATGCATACACAATGGCATACTATTTAGCCATACGAAATAATGGAATCCTATCATTTGTGGCAACATGGCTGAACCCAGAGGACATTATGTTAAGTGAAATAAATCAAGCACAAAAAGATTTATGCTGCATGTTTTCATTCTCACTTTTTACGCAGGAGCTAAAAAAATGAGCTTACAGAAGTGGAGAATAGCATTACAGTTGTTACCTTCTCCTGCCTGATTGCCCTGACCAGAACTTCCAACACTATGTTGAATAGGAGTGATGAGAGAGGGCATCCCTATCTTGTGCCCACTTTCAAAGGGAATGCTTCCAGTTTTTGCCCATTCAGTATGATATTGGCTGTGGGTTTCTCATAGATAGCTCTTATTATTTTGAGATATGTCCCATCAATATCTAATTTATTGAGAGTTTTTAGCATGAAGGGTTGTTGAATTTTGTCAAAGGCCTTTTCTGCATCTATTGAGATAATCATGTGGTTTTTGTCTTTGGTTCTGTTTATATGTTGGATTACATTTATTGATTTGCATATGTTGAACCAGCCTTGCATCCCAGGGATGAAGCCCACTTGATCATGGTGGATAAGCTTTTTGATGTGCTGCTGGATTTGGTTTGCCAGTATTTTATTGAGGATTTTTGCACTGAGGTTCATCAAGGATATTGGTCTAAAATTCTCTTTTTTGGTTGTGTCTCTGCCAGGCTTTGGTATCAGGATGATGCTGGCCTCATAAAATGAGTTAGAGGATTCCCTCTTTTTCTACTGACAGGAATAGTTTCAGAAGGAAAGGTACCAGCTCCTCTTTGTGTCTCTGGTAGAATTCAGCTGTGAATCCATCTGGTTCTGGACTTTTTTTGGTTGGTAAGCTATTGATTATTGCCACAATTTCAGAGCCTGTTATTGGTCTATTCAGAGATGTAACTTCTTCCTGGTTTAGTCTTGGGAGGATGTACGTGTCGAGGAATTTATCCATTTCTTCTAGATTTTCTAGTTTATTTGCATAGAGGTGTTTATAGTATTCTGTGATGGTAGATTGTATTTCTGTGGGATCGGTGGTGATATCCCCTTTATCATTTTTTATTGCATCTATTTGATTCCTCTCTCTTTTCTTCTTTATTAGTCTTGCTAGCAGTCTATCATTTTTGTTGATCTTTTCAAAAAACCAGCTTCTGGATTCATTAATTTTTTGAAGGGTTTTTTGTGTCTCTATTTCCTTCAGTTCTGCTCTGATCTTAGTTATTTCTTGCCTTCTGCTAGCTTTTGAATGTGTTTGCTCTTGCTTTTCTAGTTCTTTTAATTGTGATGTTAGGGTGTCAATTTTGGATCTTTCCTGCTTTCTCTTGTGGGCATTTAGTGCTATACATTTCCCTCTACACACTGCTTTGAATGTGTCCCAGAGATTCTGGTATGTTGTGTCTTTGTTCTCATTTGTTTCAAAGAACATCTTTATTTCTGCCTTCATTTCATTATTTACCCAGTAGTCATTCAGGAGCAGGTTGTTCAGTTTCCATGCAGTTGAGCAGTTTTGAGTGAGTTTCTTAATCTTGAGTTCTAGTTTGATTGCACTGTGGTCTGAGAGACAGTTTGTTATAATTTCTATTCTTTTACATTTGCTAAGGAGTGCTTTACTTCCAACTATGTGGTCAATTTTGGAGTAGGTGTGGTGTGGTGATGAAAAGAATGTATGTTCTGTTGATTTGGGGTGGAGAGTTCTGTAGCTGTCTATTAGGTCTGCTTGGTGCAGAGCTGAGTTCAATTCCTGGATATCCTTGTTAAATTTCTGTCGATTTGAGGTGGAGAGTTCTGTAGCTGTCTATTAGGTCTGCTTGGTGCAGAGCTGAGTTCAATTCCTGGATATCCTTGTTAACTTTCTGTCTCATTGATCTGCCTAATGTTGACAGTGGGGTGTTAAATTCTCCCATTATTATTATGTGGGAGTCTAAGTCTCTTTGTAGGTCACTAAGGACTTGCTTTATGAATCTGGGTGCTCCTGTATTGGGTGTATATATATTTAGGCTGGTTAGCTCTTCTTGTTGAATTGATCCCTTTACCATTATGTAATGGCCTTCTTTGTCTCTTTTGATCTTTGTTGGTTTAAAGTCTGTTTTATCTGAGACTAGGATTGCAACCCCTGACTTTTTTTGTTTTCCATTTGCTTGGTAGATATTCCTCCATCCCTTTATTTTCAGCCTATGTGTGTCTCTGCATGTGAGATGGGTTTCCTGAATACAGCACACTGATGGGTCTTGACTCTTTTTCCAATTTGCCAGTCTGTGACTTTTATTTGGAGCATTTAGCCCATTTACATTTAAGGTTAATATTGTTCTGTGTGAATTTGATCCTGTCATTATGATGTTATCTGGTTATTTTGCTCATTAGTTGATGCAGTTTCTTCCTAGCCTCGATGGTCTTTACAATTTGGCATGTGTTTATAGTGGCTGGTACCGGTTCTTCCTTTCCATGTTTAGTGCTTCCTTCAGGAGCTCTTTTAGGGCAGGCCTGGTGGTGACAAAATCTCTCAGCATTTGCTTGTCTGTAAAGTATTTTATTTCTCCTTCACTTATGAAGCTTAGTTTGGCTGGATATGAGATTCTGGGTTGAAAATTCTTTTCTTTAAGAATGTTGAATATTGGCCCCTACTCTCTTCTGGCTTGTAGACTTTCTGCTGAGAGATCTGCTGTTAGTCTGATGGGCTTCCCTTTGTGGGTGACCCGACCTTTCTCTCTGGCTGCCCTTAACATTTTTTCCTCCATTTCAACTTTGGTGAATCTGACAATTATGTGTCTTGGAGTTGCTCTCCTCGAGGAGTATCTCTGTGGTGTTCTCTGTATTTCCTGAATTTGAATGTTGGCCTGCCTTGCTAGATTGGGGAAGTTCTCCTGGATAATATACTGCAGAGTGTTTTCCAACTTGGTTCCATTCTCCCTGTCAATTTCAGGTACACCAATCAGACGTAGGCTTGGTCTTTTCACATAGTCCCATATTTCTTGGAGGCTTTGTTTGTTTCTTTTTATTCTTTTTTCTCTAAACTTCCCTTCTCACTTCATTTCATTTATTTCATGTTCTATCACTGATACCCTTTCTTCCAGTTGATTGCATTGGCTACTGAGGCTTCTGCATTTGTTGCATAGCTCTTTTGCCTTGGTTTTCAGCTCCATCAGGCCCTTTAAGGACTTCTTTGCATTGGTTATTCTAGTTATCCATTTGTCTACTTTTTTTTCAAAGCTTTTAACTTCTTTGTCATTGGTTCGAATTTCCTCCTGTAGCTCAGAGTAGATTGATCATCTGAAGGCTTCTTCTCTCAAATCGTCAAAGTCATTCTCCATCCAGCTTTGTTCCATTGCTGGTGAGGAGTGGCATTCATTTGGAGGAGGAGAGGCGCTCTGATTGTTAGAGTTTCCAGTTTTTCTGCTCTGTTTTTTTCCCATCATTGTGGTTTTATCTATCTTTGGTCTTTGATGATGGTAATGTAAAGATGGGTTTTTGGTGTGGATGTCCTTTCTGTTTGTTAGTTTTCCTTCTAGCAGACAGGACCCTCAGCTTCAGGTCTGTTGGAGTTTGCTAGAGGTCCACTCCAGACCCTGTTTACCTAGGTATCAGCAGCAGTGGCTGCAGAACATTGGATATTGGTGAACCGCAAATGCTGCTGCCTGATCATTCCTCTGGAAGTTTTGTCTCAGAGGAGTACCTGGCCGTATGAGGTGTCAGTCCACCCCTACTGGGGGGTACCTCCCAGTTAGGCTACTCTGAGGTCAGGGACCCACTTGAGGCGGCAGTCTGCCCATTCTCAGATCTCAAGCTGCGTGCTGGGAGAACCACTTCTCTCTTCAAAGCTGTCAGGGAGGGATATTTAAGTCTGCAGAGGTTACTGCTGTCTTTTTGTTTGCCTGTGCCCTGCCCCCAGAGGTGGAGCCTAAAGAGGCAGGCAGGCCTCCTTGAGCTGTGGTGGGATCCACCCAGTTCTAGCTTCCAGGCCGCTTTGTTTACCTAATCAAACAACTAACTCCGCAATGGCGGATGCCCCTCCCCCAGCCTTGCTGCCACCTTGCAGTTTGATCTTGGACGGCTGTGCTAGCAATGAGAAAGACTCCGTGTGTTTAGGACCCTCCGAGCCATGTGCGGGATATAATCTCCTGGTGTACCGTTTTTTAAGCCCATTGGAAAAGTGCAGTATTAGGGTGGGAGTGACCCGATCTTCCAGGTGCCATCTGTCACCACTTTCTTTGACTAGGAAAGGGAATTCCCTGACCCCTTGCACTTCCCAGGTGAGGCGATGCCTCGCCCTGCTTCAACTCATGCACGGTGCACTGCACCCACTGTCCTGCAAGTACTGTCTGGCACTCCCCAGTGAGATGAACCCGGTACCTCAGTTGGAAATGCAGAAATCACCCATCTTCTGCATCGCTCATGCTGGGAGATACAGACTGGAGCTGTTCCTATTCGGCCATCTTGGCTCCTCACTCAGTCTAAAATCTCCTTAAGCTGATAAGCAACTTCAGCAAAGTCTCAGGATACAAAATCAGTGTACAAAAATCACAAGCATTATAATACACCAATAACAGACAAACAGAGAGCCAAATCATGAGTGAACTACCATTCACAATTGCTTCAAAGAGAATAAAATAACTAGGAATCCAACTTACAAGGGATGTGAAGGACCTCTTCAAGGAGAACTACAAACCACTGCTCAATGAAATAAAAGAAGATACAAACAAATGGAATAATATTCCATGCTCATGGGTAAGAAGAATCAATATCATGAAAATGGCTATACTGCCCAAGGTAAATTATAGATTCAACACCATCCCCATCAAGCTACCAATGACTTTCTTCACAGAATTGGAAAAAACTATCTCAAAGTTCATATGGAACCAAAAAAGAGCCCACATCATCAAGTCGATCCTAAGCCAAAAGAACAAAGCTGGAGGCATCACACTACCTGACTTCAAACTATACTACAAGGCTACAGTAACCAAAACAGCATGGTACTGGTACCAAAACACAGACATAGACCAATGGAATAGAACAGAGCCCTCAAAAATAATGCCGCATATCTACAACTATCTGATCTTTGACAAACCTGAGAAAAACAAGCAATGGGGAAAGGATTCCCTATTTAATAAATGGTGCTGGGAAAACTGGCTAGCTATATGTAGAAAGCTGAAACTGGATCCCTTCCTTACACCTTATACAAAAATTAATTCAAGATGGATTAAAGACTTACATGTTAGACCTAAAAACCATAAAAACCCTAGAAGAAAACCTAGGCATTACCATTCAGGACATAGGCATGGGCAAGGACTTCATGTCTAAAACACCAAAAGCAATGGCAACAAAAGCCAAATTTGACAAATGGGATCTCATTAAACTAAAGAGCTTCTGCACAGTGAAAGAAACTATCATCAGAGTGAACAGGCAACCTACAGAATGAGAGAAAATTTTTGCAACCTACTCATCTGACAAAGGGCTAATATCTAGAATCTACAATGAACTCAAACAAATTTACAAGAAAAAAACAAACAACCCCATCAAAAAGTGGGTGAAGGACTTGAAAAGACACTTCTCAAAAGAAGACATTTATGCAGCCAAAAAACACATGAAAAAATGCTCATCATCACTGGCCATCAGAGAAATGCAAATCAAAACCACAATGAGATACCATCTCACACCAGTTAGAATGGCAATCATTAAAAAGTCAGGAAACAATAGGTGCTGCAGAGGATGTGGAGAAATAGGAACACTTTTACACTGCTGGTGGGACTGTCAACTAGTTCAACCATTGTGGAAGTCAGTGTGGCGATTCCTCAGGGATCTAGAACTAGAAATACCATTTGACACAGCCATCCCATTACTGGGTAGGTACCCAAAGGATTATAAATCATGCTGATATAAAAACACATGCACACGTATGTTTATAGTGGCACTATTCACAATAGCAAAGACTTGGAACCAACCTAAATGTCCAACAATGATAGACTGGATTAAGAAAATGTGGTGAATATACACCATGGAATACTATGCAGCCATAAAAAATGATGAGTTCATGTCCTTTTTAGGGACATGGATGAAACTGGAAACCATCGTTCTCGGCAAACTATCGAAAGGGCAAAATACTAAACACCACATGTTCTCACTCATAGGGGGGAATTGAACAATGAGAACACATGGACACAGGAAGGGGAACATCACACACCAGGGACTGTTGTGGGGTGGGGGGAGGGGGGAGGGATAGCATTACGAGATATACCTAATGCTAAATGATGAGTTAATGGGTGCAGCACACCAACATGGCACATGTATACATATGTAACAAACCTGCATGTTGTGCACATGTACCCTAAAACTTAATGTATAATAATAATAATAATAAAAGAATTACAGTTATTAAAAGCTGTGAATCCTAGGGAGGAGGGGAGGTTAGGGACAGATTGGTTAATTAATACATTATAGTTATATAGGGGAAATGAATTCAAGTGTTTCATAGTACTGTGGGGGTAGATATAGTTAACAACAATTTATTGTGTTTCTTCAGAAAGCTAGAAGAAAGAATTTTGAATGTTCTCAACACAAAGAAATAATAAATGTTTTAGGTGATGGATATGATAATTATCCTAATTTGATCATTACACCTTGTATAGTTGTATCAAAATATCAGTCTGCACCCCATAAATATGCCCAATTATTATGTGTCAACTAGAAATAAATGGAATAAAGTGCATGACTTTGTATGTCAACTATACCTAAAGTGTTTAACACACAAGAAATATGGGGAGTATAATGTATCATTTCTTCCTTGATATAAAAGGTGCCAAGTGCACTTAGATGTTTGAATTGTTCCAATATAATTCAAATTTTAGTATAATTATAAAATTATTATTATTACCTAAATTTTAAGTTTTAGTTATTTTCCCCCTTATTATTAATCTTCCTCTGTTCACTTCATTATTCTTAGTTAATGTACACTATTTAGTTAATGTCAGCTATAAAATTACGGGTGTTTTAGATCCTGAGAAGTACATTTTATTAAAAATGAAAATTGCCTATTGACACAATGCAATAATGATCTCTCTGTTCCTAATAATTTAAGCATAGTGCTACAGCACATGTTTGCTATTTGATCATAGCTTTGAGAGAAATAGAATTGAGCACCATCAAAATTAACTGAGCATATATAACATTTTTTTCAATGCATGCTCCTCTATTTCTTTCTATTTATCTTCCGTTTTCCTACCTTTCTTTGCCATACTTTCATTCTGTTAAAAGTTTAACAGACAAACAGAGAGCCAAATCATGAGTGAACTCCCATTCACAATTTCTTCAAAGAGAATAAAATACCTAGGAATCCAACTTACAAGGGATGTGAAGGACCTCTTCAAGGAGAACTACAAACCACTGCTCAACAAAATAAAAGAGGACACAAAGCAAATGGAATAACATTCCATGCTTATGGATAGGAAGAATCAATATCATGGAAATGGCCATACTGCCCAAGGTAATTTATAGATTCAATGCCATCCCCATCAAGCTACCAATGACTTTCTTCACAGAATTGGAAAAAATTACTTTAAAGTTCATATGGAACCAAAAAAGAGCCTGCACTGCCAAGACAATCATAAGCCAAAAGAACAATGCTGGAGGCATCACGCTACCTGACTTCAAACTATACTACAAGGCTACAGTAACCAAAACAGCATGGTACTGGTACCAAAACAGAGATATAGATCAATGGAACAGAACAGAGCCCTCAGAAATAATACCACACATCTACAACCATCAGATCTTTGACAAACCTGATTAAAAAAAGCAATGGGGAAAGAATTCCCTATTTAATAAATGGTGCTGGGAAAACTGGCTAGCCATATGTAGAAAGCTGAAACTGGATCCCTTCCTTACACCTTATTCAAAAGTTAATTCAAGATGGATTAAAGACTTGCATGTTAGACCTAAAACCATAAAAACCCTAGAAGAATACCTAGGCAATACCATTCAAGACATAGTCATGGGCAAGGACTTCATGACTGAAACACCAAAAGCAATGGCAACAAAAGCCAAAATTGACAAATGGGGTCTAATTAAACTAAAGAGCTTCTGCACAGCAAAAGAAATTACCATCAGAGTGAACAGGCAACCTACAGAATGGGAGAAAATTTTACAATCTACCCATCTGACAAAGGGCTAATATCCAGAATCTACAAATAACTTAAAAAAATTAACAAGAAAAAATGAAACAAACCCATCAAAAAGTGGGCAAAGTATATGAACAGACACTTCTCAAAAGAAGGCATTTATGCAGCCAACAGACACATAAAAAAAATGCTCATCATCACTGGCCATCAGAGAAATACAAATCAAAACCACAATGAGATACCATCTCACACCACTTAGAATGGCAATCATTAAAAGTAACGAAATAACAGGTGCTAGAGAGGATGTGGAGAAATAGGAACACTTTTACACTGTTGGTGGGAGTGTAAGCTAGTTCAACCATTGTGGAAAACAGTGTGGCGATTCCTCAAGGATCTAGAACTAGAAGTACCATTTGACCCAGCCATCCCATTACTGGGTATATACCCAAAGAATTATAAATCACGCTGCTATATAAAGACACATGCACACGTATGTTTATTGTGACACTATTCACAATAGCAAAGACTTGGAACCAACCCAAATGTCCATCAACGATAGACTGGATTAAGAAAATGTGGCACATATACACCATGGAATACTATGCAGCCATAAAAAGGATGAGTTCATGTCCTTAGTAGGGACATGGATGAAGTTGGAAACCATCATTCTGAACAAACTATTGCAAGGACAGAAAACCAAACACTACATGTTCTCACTCACAGGTGGGAATAGAAGAATGAGAACACTTGGACACAGGGTAGGGAACATCACACATCGGGACCTGTAGTGGGGTGGGGAGAGTGGGGAGGGATAGCATAGGAGATACACTTAATGTAAATGAGGGGTTAATGGGTGCAGCACACCAACATGGCACATGTATACATATGTAACAAACCTGCACATTGTGCGCATGTATCCTAGAACTTAAAGTATAATAAAATAAAATAAAAACAAAATTTTTAAAAAAGTTAATAATCTTTAACACAGGCAAATGCTGTAGCTGTATAGAAACACTTTGTACTGAGTTATACTCAATTTCAGCAGACTGTTTTTCAGCTTCAGAAATAAATCAGCATTTATATTTAATGAAATCACTATCAGAATTTGAAAATATCTTTTATATTCTGTGGAGAAGCATTAGAAAAAGCAGTTTAGCAGTGACATTGTCTTGGCACTTCCATTTCCCCTCCACAGAAACAGCTTGAGGGTTTTCTGGTAAAGCAAACTGCTTTTTACCTCTGACTTAAGTTTCCAACTGCCCTGAAGCTAAGGTTAAACTAGGAAGGAGAGTTTCGATTCATATTTCACACGGGAGTTATCTTTGGACTGCCCTGGGCTATGTGTTTGTACCATATAATGACAGTTCCCACAAGCTTTTAAATGAACCTAGATACCTAGTTAAGTAGCTGACATACTCAAAGCTTCTGTGTCCCCATTTTAACCCAGAGTGTACAAAAGACAATTCATGTTGGCAACTTGTCAGAGACATTCTTGAATGTCAGTTTCTTGTATCAATGCTGTATGGTATCTACAAGATAAAATGGGACACACTGATACCACTGAAACAACTGATAATTTCTCCATGTTGTGAGCAAAGAGTATTTGCAATGGTTAGTTTCATGGGTCAACTTGGCTAGGCTATGGCATTCAATCAAACAGTAATTTACATGTAATGGTGGAGGTATTTTGTAGATGTGGTTAATATCTATAATCAATTAAGTTAAAGAGGTGACCTTGATAATTTGGGTGGGCCTTATGCAATTAGTTGAAGGCCTTAAGGGCAAAACTAAAGTTTCCCCAAGGAGCAAAGAATCCTGACTCAAGATTAGAGCATCAGCTCCTGCCAGAAAGTTTCTAGCTTGTTCACCTTCTCCTGCCAATTTTGGACTTGCCACACCCACAATTACATAAGCCAATTTCTTGAAATAAATCTCTTTATTTTATAGATATAGATATAAATGTAGATAAGATGATATAGATGTTACTGGTTTTGTCTATTTGGAGAACACTAACTAATATACTATTATTGACACAACACTCAGCAAAAGCAGTTCTCTGCTGAAAAAGCTAGTTTTTTTTTTTTAACTTTTCTGTATACAAGGCATCATCTAGCTTGTTTTCTTATGTAGAATGTAATCTTATTAAAAAACACCAAACTCACAAAACAGGGCTGACATTTGGCTTCAAGTTTGTTTTTTTTCTCATAATACTGGGATTACATGATATGCTTTTGACCAAAGAATATTATGATTCAGAGGATAATAACGGGACTCTTGGATATTTTAATCCACTTTCATTGATTTTTAGTGTACTGTACTTCTCTTTTACTCCACAACTCCTTAATTTTTGTATGCATAAAATTTTGCCTTAGTCTCTCTGATGATATTGCTGTATTTATATTTGATCTATAGTTCTTAAAGTTATTCTTTTACTTTCAACAGAAAGAAGGAATTAGTTTCATCTCATCTGTCAAATTTAATAGTTTTATAATGCTATCTGGAAGGCCATGCTAAGAAGGACTCTGTTAGTCTGTGTTTCTGATCAGTAGGAACAATTGTTGTTTTTGGTAATTGACAAGGGTGTGTGAGAGAAGGGACAGGAGGAAATGCAATACCTTTGGAAAATCGTAATCTATACAAAGATGCTGGAAAAATCTTTTATCACCAGTCCTGACTTGTCTATTGAGCACCAAACCTAGATCCAATTACTTCTAGATTTTTCCTGCAAATGGCACTATCACTCTTCTATGAGTTCAAATTTTCCAGATTCCACATGTGAGTGGAATCATATGGTATTTATCTTTCTGTGCCTGGCTTATTCTACTTAACATAATGTCCTCTATTTTATCAATGTCCTTTTTAAAAGGCTGAATAGTATTCTACCGTGTATATTTACCACATTTTAAATCTATTCATTTGTTATATATGTATTAAAACATCACAATGTATCCCATCAATATATACAATTGTTAGTCAATTAAAAATAAAATAAAACTTTTAAATTTAAATTTTCAATAAATGTGTAAATTGTATCACTTTCATCTAGTCATGTAAGCCAGAAAAGATAATCATTTAAGCTCTTCTTTTTTCTACAGCCTTTATTCTTGATAAAACTGAGCCTTGATAATTCTGCTTTCTAAACATTTATTTTATCTATCCACCCCACATATGAAACCTTGGATATATTCCTATCATAAAACTTAAAGAATACTTTTTTTTATTTTACTCTCCCACTAAACACTCTCTTAAGAACAGGCATTCAGATTAGTGTTCGCATACCATAGTGGCTAAAATAATGTATGACACCGAGCAAGCTATCAATAAATATTTGCTAAATATATGGACATCATTTATAACAGCTTTTCCATCCCAACCAAGGTTAGATGTAACTGAATGCTCACTCTCTCCATGTCCTCACTTTCTTCAAAATACTTCCTAAAAAGTACTAGATAACTTGTTTCCATTTATTTATAATCAGTATTATCTCATACTAGTATATGTTAAATTATGCAAACAAACTACATCTCACATCATTCCTGTGCCACTTGCACTCAGTGTAGTTCTTGATTTTTTTATTGTCTCAGCAAAGGTTTTGTTATAGGAAAGTGAATAAGAATTCTCGAGGAAAAGAGGAATCTGGAAAGGTGCTTGTGGTCTGGGGTTCAGATCCTCTTCCAGGTATAGAGAATGGGCATTGTGTTTGTTGTTGTTGTTGTTGTTGTTGTTTTAAGACAGTGTTTTACTCTGTCACTCAGACTGGAGTGCAGTGGCGCTATCTTGGCTCACTACAACCTCTGCCTCCTGGGTTCAAGAGATTATCCTGCCTCAGCCTCCTGAGTAGCTGAGATTAAAGGCATGCACCACCACACCCAGCTAATTTTTGCATTTTTAGTAGATACAGGTTTTTTTTTTTTTTTTTTTGAGACGGAGTTTTGCTCTTCTTGCCCAGGCTGGAGTGCAATGGTGCGATCTCGGCTCACTGCAACCTCTGCCTCCTGGGTTCAAGCAATTCTTCTGCCTCAGCGTCCCAAGTAGCTGGGATTACAGGTGTGCACCACCACGTCCAGCTAATTTTGTATTTTTAGTACAGATGGGGTTTCACCATGTTGGTCTGGCTGGTCTTGAACTCCTGACCTCAAGTGATCCACCCACCTTGGCCTCCCCAAGTGCTGGGATTACAGGCATGAGCCACCACACCGGGCCAAGACAAGCCTTTACCATGTTGACCAGACTGGTCTCGAACTCCTGACCTCAAGTGATCTGCCCACCTTGGCCTCCCAAAGTGCTGGGATTACAGGCGTGAGCCACCACACTTAGCCAGCAGTGTGTTTTTCATATTCAGTTTCACACATAGGTGTCCTGGGTCAGATATAGATTTGTTATCATTATTGAAATGATAACAACTTTGCCCAGTTTTTATCAGAGATGATGCAATGAAAGCTAGATGAAAAACTCGAGTATATGTGTGACAAGGTACTCCAAAGGTGAGGAATGAAGAAAATGGAATTTCTCTGCTTATATTCAGGAGTAGGAGGAAGTTGCCTCTCCTTTCCCTCTCAAAAAGAGGCACAAAAATCTATCCTTCTTCAAGATGTGTTGAAAAGGATCCTAGATTCTCTAACCGTTTGGGATGTGAATGCTTTTTTCTAAGGGCCAGATGCACCCCTGTTTTTGAATTTTAATACCTAGACATATCCCCAAGATACCAGGCATCATTTTCCCTTGAAATGGAAACACATATTCGGGAGCTAGGTAAATCTCTCTGGAGTTCTTTTAGTAACCAAGCAAGTGAATGTTAATCTCTTAAGGCTTGCTTTTAGCCCAGGGACCAATGTTTTTAGTGAAATTTATTCAGAAAGCTGCAACTCTTCAAGAACACAAAATGTTTTCTATACACTGCCATCTGGCTATAATCTCTCAAGATGCAGTTACCCAGGTAAAGTGTGTTTTGCGAAAGCATAGTTGAATATGGGGGTTTGAATTAAAAACCAAAGCGTTGGAGCTTGAAGGCCTTTGGAGATAATTGGACCAAAATCAGAATCTCTGCAGAGTAGAGAGGTATCTGTGCAACTTTACAAATGTAGTTTAAATAATTAATGTCAATGAGAAGCTACTACATGATTGGAATGAAGTAAAAATAATTCTAATAACAGAATATTATAAAGCTTATACCTCAACACACTCTTTAAAATTATTTCTAACAGATGAAAAATCTTAAATAAAAACATTAGTAAATCAAATCTGGTGCTACATTAAAAGGATGATGAATGCTTACTTAGAATGTTTTATTCCAGTAATGAAAAAAAAGACAGTTTAAAATGATTAAATCTATATAATAGAACACAACAATAATTCAGAGTTGAGAATAACTTCCATTACCACTAGGAACCAATATATTAGTTTAATGAACCAATTATAAAGTCTCAGTAATGGAAAACTAAAAATGACTTTTGTACCAAAATAGAAAGGCAGACCTGTGGGATCAATTAGAAACCTCAGAAATGAATGTGCATGTGTGTGTGGGAGTGGGTGCATGTGTATATTCGTATGCATTCAGTATAGATATACAGTTAGTTTCTACTTGGTGAAGAAAAGATAGATCAGTTAATACATAAATTAGGGCAATTAATTACCTCTGAGGAAAACAAAGTGAAAGTATTACAGTAGATTATATGTAACAAGGTTGCGGATGGATTAAAGAATTAAATATCAAATAATTTAAATTCTTAAAAAACAAGAATAAACCATGGGTTAACATTTATCTTGGTTGATGACTTTTCCAAATAAGACATCAAAGATCAAAGATGAAAAACAAAACAAAACATTATTGGCATAGGCCAAGAACAGATTGAGAAGAATATTTGTGATATATGTGACAAGAGAATATCAAATGCCCATAATATTTAAACTGCACAGACATGTCAAAGAGAAAAACTGAAACACAGTATAAGAAAACAGAAATAGCATGAACAAACTTTTCAGAAGTACAGATATCCACTTTCTATAAAGAGCGTATGTAAATAAGAGTTAAATATGCTTCTCCTCTAATGTAATAATGATATTATTATTACTACATTTACATTAGACGAATAGCATCATCATCACCATCATCATCACTGTTAAAATTATCCACTTTTGCAATTGTTTGGAAAGCAGAGACTTTCCTTACTGTTGATGAGAAGGCAAATAGAAATAAATATTCTACAGGGTAATTTCCAAATATATATCAAAAGCTTGGAAAGTGGACATTCTTTAATTCCAGAGAAGTATCCTTTGTACATTACCAAAGATTTCAACAAAGATGTAAGCTAAATATCTGGCAATAACTTATAGTAAAATTGTATATTTATATATATCTATATATATACAGTGCAATACCATGAAGCCATTAATAATCCCATGTTTGAGAACAGTTATCTTCATGAAAAAAGAGTAAAAATAAAAACTGGTTAAATGGAAAATAAGAATGTATTTTTTAAAAAAGAACAAAATGTAGTTATTTGCGGATGGGAGATTAATGGTTATTTCAGTTTTCTTCTCTTTCTTCCTCTTTCCCCTTCTTCTCTTTCTTCTCCCTTTCTTCAATATCCGGGCCTCAAACTGTTCTCCCCTCCATCCCTCCCTTCTCTCTTTCCTTCCTTCCTTCCTTCCTTCCCCCTCCCTTCCTCCCTCTTTCATTGTCTTTCTCTTCTTTTTTGTTCTATTTTATACATCACATATTTTTTCAGTAAATGTGATTTTTTCAGTTAAACAGTTTTTAATATCAAATCATCTTTAAAATATGATTGAGAAAGATAATATGGGGCATTTGAAAGAGAATAATACATTTTTATACAAGCTCCTTCCTGTAGCAATAATCATGTACTTAAAAGCCTTTGAACCTGAACTAAAATCACTTTAAAAAGCCTATAGTTACTACATTTTTATTCAGTGTTTTGATTTTGTTTCTATTTATTCACAGTGGAAAAAATGTTATTTGTGAACTGAGCTGAAGGTATATGACATACTGTAGTAGATAAGGTAAGAAGAATCCTTCTCATAGGTTTTGATATTTAAAGGAGAAAATTAGATTTTAAAAAATAGATAGATGCCACAACCTATATATATACACATACATGCATATATAGAGAGAGATGCATATTTGTTTGTGTATATATTTGCTCAGACACCCACACACACATACATGGCATTCACGACTTCATTGAGTTAGTATCTCACAGAAGCACTTGAGGAGATGCACTAGGAACTAGACATAGGTAAGCAGCACTGTATTTGTATTAATCTAATGTAAAAATTTAATTGCTGTTTAATGTTTGTAGCCCAAAAGCCTTAGGCTTCCAATTTCTTAATCCATCTCCAGAACTTAACTTGGTAAATAACCATACCAGGAAAATTTAGAAAAATAAATTGCGGTGTTTGCTGACAAGGACAGAGTTTACAGAAATATATATATTTTTAAATCTAATGTTTAACACTAAAAAATAGATGTGAGAGAATATTCCTCTCTGCTTTCACAATTTCATTCCTTGTTTGTTTTCATTATTCATACTCCCTTACTTGCTACTCAGTTTCTCTTTGTAAATCAGCACTGCAAGAGTATTTCTGAATTATTTCACTTTTTTTAAAAAAATTGGATCATATTAATTTATGAGATTCAATTAAAATATTTTTACATAATAAATCCAACTGTAAAATAACTTCACCTTCATCATTATTAGTGAACTTTCATCATTTGCTAGTAATATTTATCTTATTATATAATAATATTATACATTAAATCTTGTAGTATAGTATACTATCATATACACATGAAATATTTATATCTCACATATTCTTTACTCTCTTGAGTGAAATTTCTGAGTAGAACATTAAGATATGGTCAGCAATTCTATAATCCCTGATATTATACCATAAAGCACATATACACTGACATGCCCAAACACCTATCTGGACGGCAGAGCTGACATACTGACCATGCAGGTAAGAAATTGAAGCCGTTTTCCTCATTTTAGGATGACCTTCACATCTTTGATGTGCACAAAGTCCTTAAAAAAATAAGTCGCTGAATTGACAGCTTGTTCTTCAAACATAGGCTTAAAAGAAATTTATTCTATTGTTATATATAAGTGGAACATTATAGGAAGTCACCAGTATCGCCTATCATAGCCTCGAGGGCACACAATAAAAGAATTTATTCATCTTTTTGTACGGTCACCCTTGAGATGATGTCAAGGTACAATTCAGTTAAAAAATGCAGTTCAAATTCACATTCGTTTGAAATAATTTCAACTGTTGAGACACTGCTTCTCAGACTTTTCCACTGATATATTGTTATTAATGAAACAGAGAAGTCCTGAGAATGTGTGCTATTGCCTAAAGAAAGATTTTCATATACAAAATGCATTTGCAGGAATTTTTGCATTCAATGCCATAGAAATCTGGCATATGCTTTGGGCAAACCACTATCATTGCTATTTATCACAGTTTTGGAGACAATTTTGAAGATATATTTTCTGACAATAACCAGGCAACCACATGCCACACTTGACTTTCTCTGCTCCCCAAATCATACACACACAGTAAAAAACAGGAACACCTGTATTCACTGTTGTATAAAAAAGGAAATATTCTGATTTTACATTTGAGGAATATAATAGTAAAGAAATTATATCTCTTTAAAATACTAACGTGTCTAACAAGTGATGATTCTAGGGGGAAAATTGTCCTCTGCAACTCCAGCCACTCATTTTCCCACAACACAAACACAAACAAAATTCCACGAGAGTGATCTAAGGCGAATGAATAAATGAGACCATTTGAGCTGGAACTCAAAATACCAATAAAATCACAACTATATTTCACAGAAAAGAGGAGGCAAAACATGTCAGGCAGAAGCAAAATCCATCAATGCCATTGAATGAAATATTGAAAATATTGTACAAATGCTCTTGCACCCAATTTTCTCTTGAGCAAATGGAGGAAACTAGAACTCTACTTCTTGTTTCAACCTACGTAAGCAGCACCAAGAGTACACAGTGGTATTCTAGAAGTTATCCAAATTACAGCATATTCCAAAATATTAACTTTATTCAAAGATCTGGAGATGTGCATGATTACAGGCATGAGCCACCATACCCAGCCTCTATGTATTCATGTATCCAAAGTGTATTTATTTATCATTTAATATATGCTGATATGGTTTGCCTCTGTGTACTCACCCAAATCTCATCTCAAATTGCAATCCTCACATGTCGAGGGAGGGACCTGGTAGGAGGTGATTGAATTCTGGGGGCAATTTCCCCCATGCTGTTCTCATGATAGTTAGTGAATTCTCACAAGATCTGTTGGCTTAAAAGTGTTTGGCAGTTCCTCACCTGCTGTCTCTCTCTTGCCACCTTGTGAAGGAGGTGCTTGCTTCCCCTTCACCTTCCGTCATGATTGTAAGTTTCCTGAGGCCACCACAGCTACGTGGAACTTCAAGTCAATTAAACCACTTTTGTTTATAAATAACCCTGTCTCAGGTAATATCTTTATAGCAATGTGAAAACAAACTAATACATACGCCAAAATGGCACTACATCATTGGGGGGTACAAGAGTGAACAAAACTAAGTCATTCTCTTCATTGAGCTTTTGCTCATGTGTATGTTTGTGTCTATATGTGTATATTTGTTCATGTACACAAACATGTTCCCTATTGGAATTGGGAGGACAACATAAAAATAAGTAATTTGAATTAGAAAGGGAAGAATGCCATATTTTTTACTTACTAGGTCTCAGTATGAAAAGTGTGAAAAAAATTGAACAAGTGTATGACATGATAATTTATATACCATAGAAAGATATTTCTACAACAATCTATAATATAGTCAAAAATAAAGAGAATAAAAAACAAAAGGTAAGTTAGAGCTTGGTCAACTGATTGTGAACTATTATAGAAGTATAAAGAAGTAAAAAGGAGAAGATTTGAGATTGAAGGGGCAAGCTTATCATGTCAAGCAGCAGAGGTGCCAAAAGCCAGAGGGTCATTTGATGTTATTTTGCCAGAATCTAGACATCAAGAGCAGTATAGATAAGGAAATTAACTCCGTTTGCTATTAGCTACTTTACTTTTGGCTAATTTCTGGGTGGGCTGATGTGTTCCTGCATTCCCTGAGAGATTTACACTCGTGGAAACTAAGGTATAAAAAAATCCTCAAGAAAGTCAACTAGGTCATATATTCCTGAAAGACTGAGTCAGATATATATTAAGGCTGCTTAAAAGTTATACTAATACCAATGACCTCTAAAGGAGAACTTTTAATAGAATAATAAAATATGCTCTGTAAAACAAAGACTGTTTTTTTTTCTACTTCCCAACCTTGTGAATATTCCCTCAGTCTTCTAACCATCATTGATTTTGGGACATAGTAGGAATGATTGTTTAATGAATGGATTAATGATCCAATAGGAAAGGGTTAAGAATTAAATTAGATGTGAAAAAGAAAGAGAAATGACATAGGATAGAATTTCTAGCATAAGGCAGTAAATAAAGGCATTATTAACTAAAAAGTATAGATAAGTCGAGAATTATAATTAAGTCTTAGTTATAAGTAAGTAGATAAATCTAGACTTAGTTATAAGTAACTAAGTAAGTAATCTAGTTACAAGTAAGTCTATAGTTATCTACAGTTATCTTACGGGTTATCTTGAGTAGAGGAAGGGTTTTGGGGACTAGGAAAACTTTACTGTAAACACAGCCAGAGAAGAAAGACCAATTGGAAAGGAATTTGGGAGAGATCAAATACAAAAGAAAGAATCAAAGAGAGGCAAAGGATGCAAGTGGAGATCATCTTAAGAAATTGAAAACTCATTTTTATTTCCAGTGTTACACTGAGGATACAGGAGTGAATAAGAAACTCAAGCTTTCCAAAGGCTTTTGATATTTTTAACATTACTAAGTTTTTAGTCAAGCAGCAGACATAGTTTCAAGGTAATCAGGCCAATCAAACCTCAGAGCCATGTATCCAGGGAGATCAGTAAATTTCTCTTAAGGGAAATTTTTAATGACAAGACAGATAGCCATCTGATAGAATCCATTTGTTTCTATTGCTTCTGCACTGTTGGAAAAGGTGACTTTGAGATTGCTTCCAGCTCTACATTTTATGATTCAATTATTCATTTAAACCATCAGAACTAACCATAGAATAATAATTCAAGCAAATCATAAAATTTTGGTCCCCAGATTGTAATCAATTTATGTGGGGTCTAATGTTTCAAACAAATAGCTTTTGTTACAATTATGAACATACACATTATGGAACTAGATACTGCTTATACTTTATTTGAACCCAAATATTAACATTGTAAAATTCTTATGTTGTGAGACGTGTGATTTATCATTTGCTTGTCCTCTCAGAGCTCTCAAATTAGTATACATCATTTATATTTCTAGTGTATGCTAAAATGTTAGAAAGGAAATTATTATATAGCACATTATTTGACATAGATATTTCAATTTCATGCAATACTTGTTGCATCTAGTGCTTGTTATTTAACAACTTTTTAATTTAAGTGTGTAGGTAATGATTTTTGAAAGTATATAGAGGCTGCACTCATTTCTCATTTCTTAGCTATTGGATCTAGGTCATAGATTAATTTTGCTAGTGATTTTAAAGACTGGAACAGTAATTATTTGTATCATCTTATGGTACCTTTTAAAATCACTAATGGAAAAAGCCAATATTAAAACAGTTATTCTCTAATTACCTTAGGTCAATTGATACAGCTAAGTACAAATGCAAGGTAGTACACAATTTATCTTATTTTTAACAAAAGTCTACAATAACATTCTCTTTAATAATTTCAATATAGATTTGAAAGAAAAAGAACCTGATAATTGTCAACATATTTTACACACATATTCAAAAATTCATGTATTTAATGGTTAGCAAAGTATCCTGAAGTGCCAAATTGACAAAAATAATGTTTTATTTTTTTCCAGTTTGTTCAAATACATTGGTGCACAAAACCTGGATTATGCAGACAGGTTATACAACATCATATTTCATGTTGGGGACAGATATAAGTGATATAATAAAATGGCACAACCTAAGTTCTTGTTTCAAATTGACGTTTCCCCTGGCTGATCATTGAATAAACTATCTAGATCTATTTGATGATTATTGATATCTATTTTTTTTTGCTTCCGCTAGTCAGATTTTAACTCTGGGACATTCAGGATTCATTTCTTACTTGTGCAAATCCCTAGACCCTACCTTGCCTCATATCTTTCTTTCTTTTTTTTTTTTTTTTTTTGAGATGGAGTTTCTCTCTTGTTGCCCAGGCTGGAGTGCAATGGCATGATCTCAGCTCACCGCACTCTCCACCTCCTGGGTTCAAGTGATTCTCCTGCCTCAGCCTCCCGAATAGCTGGGATTACAGGCATGTGCCACCATGCTTGGCTAATTTTTTGTATTTTTAGTAGAGATGGGGTTTCTCCATGTTGGTCAGGCTGGTCTCAAACTCCCGACCTCAGGTTATCCACCCATCTTGCACTCCCAAAGTGCTGGGATTACAGGACTGAGCAACCACACCTGGCCAACCTTGCCTCATTTCTACCTTACAATTCTGATATCTGTATTGAATTCAGTTTCATGGTCTGCATATGTGGCATGACCCCAAGCCAGCATTACTTGCACGCCAGGTGAATATCAGTCTCAAACAGCTGTGATCACCTTTGTTTCACTAACAGCTTTTTGACTCACTAACCAAACCAACACTAGTTCCTATAGATAATGTTTGTAAAAAATATTTTCATGACAACGGTAACACATAATGTTAAAAAATCAAACACTACAAAAACATACAAATTAAAAACTAAAAGACAGTCCACTACCCTATCGAACACCCCTGAAGTGACAACTTTTGCTAATTGGGTGTTTTAATTCTTCTGAAAGTTAAGCCCATAACCCTAACTAATATTAAAAGTAATATCTTTTTCAATTTAATCAATCTTAGTAAATATCTATGGACTCTGCTTTAAAAGATGATGATGGCTTTATTTTCCATCCATAGTTTTTAGCAGATATTCTGGTAATGGGGGCCACTGTAATACAGAAAATCCAGATAACTAATAAATCATTATTTTAAATAAAACTTGATTTTCCACATATTAAGGAGAATATCCAGTACTCAATAATGAAGAAGGTGCACTGCTTAAGATATAGAAATTAGTAGGAGAATACAGTTCCCCTTCTAACTAGAACAAATCATAAAATCTACAAAATCATAAATATTTTAATGCCCCAGAGGGCTGAGTTCACTACGTAACCTAATTAAAAAACTACAAGAGGAGACAAACTCTTTCTAGGATGGACAAAACCTATGCTGCAACACGTTTGCCAAATCAGTGGAAAGAAGAGGAAACCACCATAGATACAAGTCACAAGTACTAACCTGACGTTGTAATTAATTCTTAAAGCCTGAGAAGTAACTAGGCTTATAGTTTCAAATCCCTGTGAACCCCAGAAACAACAGAAGTCTCCATTTACCACTTATTTTTTTCACGGACTTTTCCTGAATGATGAGGGGAAATTTGTGACTAGGTAAGTCAGGAAAACAGAAGAAAAGCAGCCTCAGCATTACAGGCACATGAGACCGGCATAAGTCTGAGGGTGGAAAATAAAAACTGAGAAAAGCATGTTCATACCTTAGACTTTACACTATAAACCATAAAGCAGCTGTAAAGCACAATTAAGAGATAGAGGGGCATAGGGTCCGTTTAAGTCTGGAGGCAAAGTAAGAAAATAGAGAAAAACCCTCTGCGCACTCCGGGCCTTAGACTAAGTACAAGCAAAATTTATCTATTGCTGCTCATAGACTAGGGGAGCTGACAGAGACTTAACCAATTAAGAGTACAAGTGCGTAGGGCCTGCCTACTCTGTGCACAGGGTTCTAACAATTACCGAAGGGATGACCTGGGGGGCCTTGGTTTGAAGGCCAAGCAGACAAATTAGGAGACTGTATGACTACTGAATGCGACTATAATGAGTTAATATCAAAGTCCAAACCAGCCAAGCAACAATCTAGATTGATTGAATTCTCCTCACGTGAATTGCCTGACAGATGCAAAATCTCCTGTTTTCTGGATGTAAAAAAATGTCTAAGTCAGTGTTATTCTTGCACACACAATGTGTGACACTCAATAAAAAATAATGGGATATACTAAAAAAAAGCAAGTACACATGACACATTGGCAATAGACAAAACGGTAACTAAAGCCAAACACAGACATTTTGTTCCAAATATTTCAATATCAGGGCCATAAAACCAGTGATGATAAATATGCTAAAACATTTAAGCAAAAACTAACAATATGCCTGAAGAGTTAAAGAATTTTAGCAGAGAGATCCATACCATATTTAAAAAGTCCAAATTGAAATTATAGAAATAAAAAATATGACATTAAAGATTAATAATTATTTTAGTAAGCTTAATAACAGAATGAATATACAGAATAATCATTTTATTTGACAGCAGGTCAATAGAAATGATTCAAACAGAAACATAGAGATTATTTTTAAGGAAAAAAAAAGAATAGAGTATTTAAAAACAGTTTGACAACATTAAACTACCTAACATATGCATAATGGAGTCCAAAAAGAAAATAGAAAAAGAATGACAATAAAATATTCAAAGTTGAGAAGTTTTTAAGATAAATAAAAGTCCTATATATACAGAAAAAAATCAGAGAATACCAAGGAGGATTAATAAAAGAAAAACAAAGCTTGGCAGTCATAGTCAAATGGTATTTGCTGAAAATTAACAATAAAGAGAAAATCTTAAAAACTATACCAAGAAACAGTAAGAATTACAAATTTTTTTTTATGAAAAACAATGGATACCAGAAGACAATTACTGGCAATTTTTGAGGCTGTCAACCTAGAGTTTTACATTGACAAATATATCCTCCAAAAATATATGTAAAATTGACTTTTTTGACAGCAAAATATTAGAGAATATATTTTGAACAAATACAATATGTGTGCATTTTTATAAAGATATATATTAATAAATTTTAATTTATAAAAATCTACTTATAATTTTGCTCATTTGCTGTGTTTTTATTTAAAAACACAGTTACACCAACAAATACGGGATGTAATTACTGAAAAAAGATATCTGAAATACAAGTAACTGAAAAATAGTATCACATGGAAAAATTCCACACATTAATAAGAAAAGGTCCAACAGTACAACAACCAAAAGGCTTTAGATTTGAAGCACTAAATATCATCTTATTTATTTGATTGTCTTATTTCCATTTTTTTTGTGAAATTACCATGGAGAGATTTTATGACCTATATTCTACATTTTAAAACTTTTACATAATTTTCTTTTTTGTTGTTTCTTGGTTTTTATCATTTTGAACATAAATTTGTTTAGGCCTGGATATTTCATTTATTCAGCCCTTGATTTTCTTTTATTTCAGAAACAATGTTCCAATTTCACAAAACCTCTTTTGTTCTTTTTGATTGCTCCTCAGAGTCACCTCTTCTATTTAATGGAATCAACAAATTACATATTTAGTAAACCTTAAATTTTCCTTAGGACAAATCAACTTTCCTCATAGTCATCTGAGTCACTAATATAGTTGGTTTTCCATAGTTTAGTTTCTGCTAATAGGAATATCCTTAATATATTTTTTCTCTACTGAATATCCTACTCACATTTTCAATTCTCAGTTTTATAACTACATTAATAGTGCTTATGTTCTCCAAAATACTCTACCTAAATTTATATGAATTGTTGAAACCACACTTCTTCCTGAAAAAGTAGCTTCTATAATATCACTGTACTTAAATAATATAGTTTTCCAAACTATATTATTTTTCCAAACTATATATTTTTCCAAACTATATATTATTTTTCCAAACTATATATTTTCCAAACTATATTATTATTCTATGTTTTCCATAGAATAACATTTCCTAAATATTTTAGATTTCATTACATATCTTTTCTCTCATTTGTTGAAGTAAACCATATCACAATCCAGAGGGCATATGAGACAATTTTTGATAAATAAAATATTGTTTTTCCCTCTGTAAAATCCATCCTTTAACTTTTGTTATAATACTTACCTACTTAAAACCATTCCATGATAAGTGTTATTACCTAAAAAATTAGCAAAAGCAAGATTAACATTAGTTTTTCATTTATGAAACAATTATTCATTGACCACATACTATGTTCAAAGTACTATGGCCAACACTGGGTATAAACGAATGAATAAAAGAGAATATATCCAGTTCTTTGATGTATGCACTGTAATTGGAATGCAAACATCAAACAAGAACATAAACAAATGCACACAACTAATTTCTAAGTAAAGATATTAAAAAATAAAAGAAACTAACAAAAAAAATTCTCTAATTCTCACCCACAATATCACCCACTACTTTTTCATAATGCAGTTAATATTTTGAAAAAATCTGACCATATTAATTAGCTCACAATTGTGTTTTTGATCATTACTGAAGAACTCCTGAGAATCTTTTTTTTTAAGTTGATAACATATCTTTGGGTGTTCAAAAATATGTCAAAGTACTTGATTTTAAAGGATAAACATGATTTATGTATGTGACACAGTACAATATAAAGTTATCCAATAAAAAGAGCTACTGTAATCAATTATATTAGAAACTAACTTTAAATATAAATATATAGAGAGGTTAAAAGTGAAAAAAAAAATTTACCAGGCATGGTGATTCATGCCTGTAATTCCAGTACTTTGGGAAGCTGAAGTGGTCAGACTCTATGATCCCAGAAATTTGAGACCAGCCTGGGCAACATGGCAAAACCCTGTCTATACAAAAAATACAAAAATTAGCCAGGTGTGGTAGTGCGCACCTGTAGCCCCAGCTACTTGGGAGGCAGAGGTGTAAGGATAACTTGAGCCTGGGAAGCAGAGATTGCTGTGAGCCGAGATCATGCTACTGCACTCCAGCCTGGGTGACAGAATGAGACCCTATTTCAAAAAAAAAAAAAAAAAGAAAGGTAAAAAAAATTAAAAGTTTTAGCTATGTATATGTATCAGTCCATTTTCACACTGCTTGACTTACCTGAGACTGGGAAGAAAAAGTAGTTTAATGGACTAACAGTTCCCTGTGGCTGGGGAGGCCTCATGATTACGGTGGAAGGCAAGGAGGAGCAAGTCATGTCTTACATGGATGGCAGCAGGCAAACAGAGAGAGCTTATGCAGAGAGACTCCTGTTTTTAAAACCATCAGATCTCATGAGACTTATTCACTATCACGAGAACAGCATGATGAAATTACCTCCCACTAGGTCCCTCCCACAACACGTGGGAATTCAAGATGAGATTTTGGTGGGGACACAGCCAAACCATATCAGTATAAAAACATACATTAAAACATACAGCTAAGCATAAGGTAATTGAAGTGATTATTTTAATATCAGAAAAGTAGATTTCAGGAATATTACAAGGATAAAGAACACATTTCATAACACGAAGAGGAAAATCTACCAAAACTATATAATATTTGAAATGTCTACAAAATCTTTAACAGAATATCAAAATACATAAAGTAAAAAGTAACAGAATGAAAACAAGAAATAGACAAATCCACAATTACAGTTGGAAATTTAAAATCACCTATCTTAATAACTCCTAGAATAAATAGAAAATTAACATGAATGTGGAAGCTTTAACAATATTATTAACCAAATCAAATTCTCTAAGCCATCACTTTAAGAGAATAATGCAAATCTAATGTAGAAAGAATGTATGTAGAAACAATGAAAAATGTCAAAAGAGTGAAATACTCTATATAAGAGCAGACGTCAATGACATTGAAAATAGATAATAGAGAAAATCAATAAAATCAAACAATTTGTTTAAGATCAAAATAATTGAGTAACTCCCTGGCTAGACTGATATTTAAGAAAAATAAACACAAACTCACAAACTTACCTTTGAAAATTAAACAGGAGACATCAGCACTGACCCTACATGAATTAAAACATTCATAAGGTCAAATTATGTACAATTTTATATGAAATAACACAACTTAGATAAAATGAACACATTATTTGAAAGCTGTTGTGGTAGGCAGAATGGTTTTCCAAATTTATCTATGCCCTAATCTCTGAAATCTGTAAATATTTTATGTTGCTAACTGGACTTTGCAGATGTAAGTAGTAATAGTACACATACATCATAAGGGAGAGTGTCCAGATCATTGTGCTTCAATCTAACCACGCGAGCCCTTAAAAGCAGAGTATATTCTCATTCTGGGGTTAGGGAAAGATGGCACAAGAGGAGCTCTGAGAGATTGGAAGCATGAGAGGGACTCAGCCTTCCATTGTTGTTGATGGTAGAGGGATGCCATGTGAAAAGCATGAGAAGGAATGTAACAACCTCTAAGAGCTATGCTGTCAGTCAACAGTCAACTGACAGCAAGGAAACAGGGAATTGAACTTTACAATGGCAAGGAGCTGAATTTGGCCCACAACTGATTGAACTTGAAGTATATTCATCCTCAGAGACTCCAAAAAGAAAACCTTAATTTTGGCCTTGTGGGATATTAAGCAAATGGACCCAACTGAACCATGCTGAACCAGAACTTGGGACATACTGAACTGTGAGATTAAAATGTATTGCTTGGTGCCACTAAATTTATGGCACTTGGTTAAAACAGTAATATAAAACAAACAGCCACAAATGTCAAAAGTGACTCAAGAATAGATAATTTGAGAAGAACTACCTTGACTAAATAAATTTAATTCACAGTATAAAACCTTTTCACAATCAAAATGCCATCTTGAGATAGCAATACTGGTAGATTTTTCTTAAACTTTTAAGATGAAATAATAATGTCAATGTGAAGCTTTTTAAGAAAGGAAGAGGGATACCATAATCATTTTATGAGACCATTATTACCCTGTACTAAACTAAACCAGAATGAAATTGATTATAGTTTTAAAATTCATTATATAATATCTTGCCTGATCATTGATGTGAACATCTTTAACAAAACATTAACATATTGATTCAAATGATACCTAAAAGTGTAATCATTATCAAAATTTTTTACTTAGAAATACAAGACTAATATTAACATCTAACAATAAACCAATGCATTTTATGATATTAAAAGAATAAAGAACAAAACCTTTATTATCTTTTCAATAGACTCTAAAGTCATTTAATAAAATTCAGCACCTAATAAAATTCATATATTCATGAGTTTAAAAATCAGTGTACTAGAAAAAGAAAAGAACTTTCACAACTTGATATAAACTGTAAACTAAAAACCTATAGCTAATATTGTACCTAAGATCAGAAAAAGGACAAAAGTTGTCCACTCTTGCTATTTCTATTCAACATTGTACCAGATATTTTTTATTTTAACTTTTATTTTAGCTTTCAGGGTACATGTGGATGTTTGTTACATAGGTAAGCTAGTGTCAAGGGGGTTTGCTGTGCAGATTATTTCAGGTATTAAGCCCAGTACCCAGTAGTTATCTTTTCTGCTCCTCTCCCTCCTCCCATGCTCCACCCTCAAGAACACCCCAGTGTGTGTTGTTTCTTTCATTGTGTTCGTAAGTTCTCATCATTTGCCTCCCACTTGTAAGTGAGAACATGTGGTATTTGGTTTTCTGTTCCTGCATTGGTTTGCTAAGGATAATACCGTCTAGCTCCCTCCATGTTCCCTCCAAGTTCCTACATGAACTTGTTCTTTTTATGGCTGCATAGTATCCCATAGTGTATATGTACCATATTTTCTCTATGCAGTCTGTCATTGATGGGCATTTAGGTTGACTCCAAGTCTTTGCTATTGTGAACAGTCCTGCAATGAGCATCTGTGTACATGTGTCTTTATTATAGAATGATTTACATTCCTCTGAGTACATACCCAATAATGGAATTGCTCTGTCTGGTGGTAGTTCTGCTTTTAGTTCTTTGAGGAATCACCATACTGCTTTCCACAGTAGTTGAACTAATTTAGACTCCCACTGATAGTGTATTAGTATTCCCCTTTCTCTACAACCTCACCAGCATCTGTTATTTTTTGACTTTTTCATTATAGCCATTCTGACTAGTGTGAGATGGCATCTCATTGTGGTTTTGATTTGCATTTCTCTAATGATCAGTAATATTGAGACTTTTATCATATGTTTGTTTACTGCACATATTTCTTCTTTTGAAAAGTCTGTTCATGTCCTTTGTTCACTTCTTAATGGGATTGTCTATTTTTCTCTTATAAATTTAAGTTCCTTACAGATGCCATATAGACCTTTGTTGGGTGCATAGTTTGTAAAAATTTTCTCCCATTCTCTAAGTTGTCTGTTTACTTTGTTGATAGTTTCTTTTTCTGTGGAGAAGCTCCTAATTTTAATTAGATTCCACTTGTCAATTTTGCTTTTATTGCAATTGCTTCTGTTGTCTTTGTCATGAAATTTTTGCCCATTTCTATGTGCAGAATTGTATTGTGTAGGTTGTCTTCCAAAGTTTTTCTAGTTTGGGGTTTTACATTTCACTCTTTAATCCGTCTCGAATCGATTTTTGTATAGGGTGTAAGAAGGGGTCCAGCTTCAGTCTTCTGCAAATGGCTAGCCAGTTATCCCAGCACCATTTGTTGAACAGCGAGTCTTTTCCCCATTGCTTGTTTCTGTCAGCTTTGTTGAAGAATAGATAGTTGTAGGTGTTTGGCCCTATTTCTGTGTTCTCTATTCTATTCCTTTGGTTTATGTGCCTGTTTTTATACCAGTGTCATGCTGTTTTGGTTACTGTTGCCCTGTAGTATATTTTGAAGCCAGGTAATGTGATGTCTCCAGCTTTGATCTTTTTGCTTAGGATTACCTTGACTATTTGTACTCTTTATTCATTCCATGTGAATTTTCAAAAAGTTTTTTTTCTATTTCAATGAATATTGTTATAGGTAGTTTGATAGAAATAGCATCAAATCTGTATATTGCTTTGGGCAGTATGGCCATTTTAATGGTATTGATTCTTTCTATCCATGAGCATAGGATGTTTTCCATTTGTTTTTGTCATCTCTGATTTCTTTGAACTATGTTTAGAATTCTCATTGTAGAGATCTTTCACCTCCCTAGTTCTCTGTATTCGTAAGTATGTTATTCTTTTGTGTCAATTGTGAATGGGATTGCCTTTCTGATTTGGCTCTTGGTTTGGACTTTGTTAGTGTGTAGGAATGCTAGTGATTTTTGTACATTGATTTTGTATCCTGAAATTTTGCTGAAGTTCTTCGTCAACTGAAGGAGCTTTGGGGCTGAGACCATGGGGTTTTCTAGATAAAGAATCACATTGTCTGAAAATAGAGATAGTTTGACTTCCTCTCTTCCTATTTGGATGCCCATTATTTCTTTCTCTCTTGCCTAATTGCTCTGGCTAGGACTTCCACTACCATGTTGAATAGGAGTGATGAGAGAAGGCATCCTCGTCTATTTCTGGTTTTCAAGGGGAATGCTTCTTTGTACATCTAGTAGAATTTGGTCATTAATTCATCAGATTCTGGGCTTTTTCTTGATAGGTAGGCTATTTATTACTGATTCAATTTCAGAGCTCATTATTGTTCTCTTCAGGAAATCAGTTTCTTCCTGGTTCAGTCTTGGGAGAATGTATGTGTCCAGGAATTTGTCCATCTCTTCTAGCTTTCCCAGTTTGTGCACATAGAGGTGTTTGTAATTGTTTCTGATAATTATTTTTAACTCTGGGGGGTCAGTGATAATATTCCCTTTATTATTTTTGGTTGTCTTTATTTAGATCTTCTCTTTTTTCTTCTTTATTATTGTAGCTAGTGGCCTATCTTATTACTTAAAAAAAAAAAAAAACTCTTGGATTCAATGTTAATTTCAATGGTTTTCATGTCTTGATGTCCTTCAGTTAAACTCTGATTTTGGTGGTTTCTTCTCTTCTGCTAGATTTAGTGTTGATTTGTTTTTGCTTCTCTAATTCTTTCAGTTTTGACGTTGAGTTGATAATTTGAGATCTTTCTAACTTTTTGATGTGGGCATTTAGTGCCATTAATTTTCCTTTTAACACTGCCTTATCTATGTCCCAGAGATTCTGGTATGCTATCTCTTTGTTCTCATTAGTTTCAAAGAACTTTTTGATTTCTGCCTTAATTTCATTATTTACCCCAAAGTCATTTAGGAGCATGTTGTTTAATTTCCATGTAATTGCACAGTTTTGAGTGATTTTCTTAGTCTTGATTTCTATTTTTGGTTTGTGAGTGTGTTTGGTATATTTCAGTTCTTTTGCCTTTGCTGAGGATTGTTTTATGTCTAATTATGTGGTCAGTTTTAGAATATATGTCATGTGGCAATAAGAAGAATGTATATCCTGTTGTTTTGAGCTGGAGAGTTCTGTAGAGGTCTATCAGATCCACTTGGTCCAATATGGAGTTCAGGTCCTGAATATCTTTGTTAATATTTTGCCTCGATAATCTGTCTAAAACTGTCAATGGAGTGTTGAAGTCTCCCATTATTACTGTGTAAGAGCCTATGTCTGTTCGTAGATCTCTAAGAACCTGCTTTAAAAATTTATAAATTTGGGTGCTCCTGTGTTGAATGCATACATATTTAGAACATCTAGGTCTTCTTATTGAATTGAACCCTTTATCATTATGTAATGTCTTTCTTTGTCTCTTTTGATCTTTGCTGGATTGAAGTCTGTTTTGTCTGAAATTAAGATTGCAACCCCTGGATTTTCTGTTTTCCATTTTCTTGGTAGATTTTCCTTCATCCCTTTATTTTGAGCCTATGTGTGCCATTACATATGAGATGGGTGTCAACTTTCCACTCTGTGCCTTTTAAGTTGGGGATTTAGCCTGTTTACATTCAAGGTGAGTATTGATATGTGTGGATTTGATTATTTCATTGTGTTGTTAGCTAGTTATTATGTTGGCTTGTGTTTCTTCTTTATAGTGACACTGGCCTGTGTGTTTAAGTGTGGTTTTGTGTTAACTGACAGTGGTCTTTCCTTTCTATATTTAGAGCTCTTTTCAAGATCTCTTGTAAGGCAGGTCTGGTAGTAATAAACTCCCTTAACATCTGCTTATATGAAAAGGATCTTAATTCTCCTTTGCTTGATAAGCTTAATTTGGCCAGACATAAAATTCTTTAAGAATGTTGAATATAGGCTAACAATCCCTTCTAGCTTGTTGGGTTTCAGCAGAGAGGTTCACTCTTAGCTTGATGGGGTTCCCTTTGTAGGTGACCTGTGCCTTTTCTCTCTAGCTGCCTTTTACATTCTCTCTTTCATTTTGGTCTTGGAAAATCTGATGATAATGTTTCTTTGGGATTATATTGTTGTGTAGATTCTTGCAGGAGTTCTCTGTATCCTGTAAATTTGACTATTGGCCTCTCTAGCAAGGTTGAGGAAGTTTTCATGGACAATATCCTAAAATATGCTTTCCAGGTTTTGGTCTTCTCCCCTCTCCCTTTCAGGGATGCCAGTGGTTCATAGATTTGATCTCTTTACCTAATCCCATACTTCTCTGAAGTTTTGTTCATTCCTTTTTTTAAAATTTTTGTCTGTCTTATTTGAGAAAACCAGTCTTCAAGTTCTGAGATTCTTTCCTCAGCTTGATTTATTCTTCTGTTAATACTTATGATTGCATTGTGAAATTCTTGTATTGTGTTATTCAGCTCTTTGAGACTCTTTAGATTATTTTTTTATACCAGCTATTTGTTCCCTCATTTTCTATATTGCTTTATTGTGGTTCTTAGTCTCCTTGGATTGGGCTTTGCTGTTCTCCTGAATCTTGATGATCTTTGTTCATATCCATATTCTGAATTCTATTTCTATCATTTCAGCCTGGTTAGGAACTCTTGTTGGAGGACTAGTGCAGTCATTTGGAGGACATATGACACTCTGGTCATTTGAGTTACTAGAGTTCTTGCTTTGGTTCTTTCTCATCTCTGCATGTGGGTATTCCTTTATCTGCAGTGTGGATTGAGTATAGTCAATAGACTTCTTTGCTGGATGTTTTCACTGGGCTGAGGCTTTGTGCAGGGCCTTTATTGGAAGCTAGCTTCTTGTCTCTGGTTTTAGAGTGGGGTATGGTAGTGAGGTATATTTGGTGTTGAGACTTTGGGCTATAATCCAGTAGGTGGCACTTAGGCTCATTGGTGAGTTGGTAGACTTTCTCTGTTTTGTAGCTCCCCTATGTTTCCTTACAGTTACAGCCATGATGCTTCTCAATGATCTGAAATTGTGAGTTCCTCTCCCTTTTAAGTGCTGTCTGTAGATGGCAGCTTGGGGCTCCTAGGCTACCTACTGCAGTTATGCTGTGATCTCATTGTTTATGTCCCTTCCCCAGCTTGGAGGCAGTAGAGGAAGGGATTGTATCAGAGGTTGTGGCCAAGGGTGTTTGCTTGTCTCCTGGGGAATCCAACCCAGAGAGATGCAGGTTAGCAAACTCTCAGTGCAATCAGCCCAGGAGAGAGGGTCTGTCCTGTGGGCCCAAGACAGGGTTTCCCCTAGGGTAGGTAAGACATGTAAGAGACAGACTGACCTCCTTTCCTTGGATCAACTGCAGTTTGTTGGAGGTATGGATAAGGCACTTAAGTTCTTTTCCCCTTCATTAGTCTTAAGGTAGCAAGGGCAGTTCCACTGCAGAGGCAGTGACAGAGAGGCTCTCAGTTGCACCTAGATGCTCTGTCTAGAGTATTGCTACTGGCTTGATAGCTATGGTTGGCTGGAGGCACAGGCCTGGAGGACCTGTTTGTTGAGGAGATATGAGAATGAGCACCTGCATAACTGTCTGACCAGTTTTTTGGTAGGCCTGCTGCTACATGCTGGGGACCCGTTCCAGTCTCTAGTCACTTTGGATTTTCCAGCACCTGGAGGTATCATCAGTAAAGGCTGTGGAACAGCAAAAATGGCAACCCGCTCTGGGAGCTCCATCCCAGGCAGTACAGATCTGTTGCTGGCCCTAACACACCTGTAAGTGGTGACTGGAGACCCCAGTTGGGAAATCTCACTCAGACAAAAAATAGGATCAGGGTCTTGCTTAAAAAAGCAGGCTGGCCATATTTTCATACAGTAGTTGTACTGTTCTGGGAATCCAGTTCACCTCAGACAGTCCAAAGCCTGAAGCCTGGAACAGCTAAGTCACCAAACAGTAAAGATGGTGGTCCACTCCTCCCTCTGGGAACTCTATCTCAGGGAGCTTTGAAACCTCTGTCAGCTGAAGAAAACCAGCAGGGGTAGCTGGGGACCCCAGTTGGGATACTCCACCCAGTGATGAGAAATGGGATCAGGCACCTGCTTAAAAAAATGGTTTGGCCATAATTTTCTAACTCATCTGTGCTGTGTTGGAGGTCCACATTAGCCCTTGGTTGCCTTAGACTCTCCAAATTCTGAAGGCCGGAATAGCAAAGTCACCAAAACAGCAAAGATGGTGGCTTGCCTTTCTATCTGGGAGCTCCATCTCAGGGAAGTTTTAAATCTCTGTCAGCCAGAAAGCACTGGTGGGGATGGCTGGAGACCCCAGTTAGGAGGTCCTGCCCAGTGAGGAGGAATGGAACTGGGGACCTGCTTTAAAAAATAGTCTGGCCATATTTTCACAGTGCAGCTATACTGTGCTGGGGGACCACCCCCACCCTCGGTCACCTCAGACTTTCCAAAACCTGAAGGCCTAAATGGCTAAGTTGCCCAAACAGCAAAGGAGGAAACCCACCCCTACACTTAGGATAGGAGCTCCGTCTCAGGGAGGTGCCACACTGCTACTGGTGGCAGGCTGGAAATCCAAGCCAGTGAATGTTATCCTGTAAGGTGGCATGGAAGTGGGGCCTGCAGACTGTCACTGCTTAGTCGACTAGATTCAATCCCTTTCCTAGGAGTATATTTGGGGGTCTAACTACCTGCTTTGCCAGAGTTGCAGCTACTTTTGCAGAGAAGCCCAGAAAGCCTGGGTATCTAAGGCTCCCTGGTCCCCATGTGTGGCTGGAGAAGCTGCTCTGCTGAGACTCCATGTAGTTCTGTGTTAGACTGAAGGCCATGGTGGAATGACTTTACAAGGGCATTTCCTGACCCGAAGGTTGTAAAGATCCATGGGAGCAGCATGGGTTCCCGGGGTCACACATTTACTCATGGCTTCCCTGAGGGAGGAGAGGGCTTGGGAGGTTCTCTTGGCTTTGTGTTACCCCTAGGTGGGCCATTGTTCTGCCTTGCTTTCCTCAGTTCTCTGTGGGTTGAGTTGTTTCCTTGATTAGTCCCAGTGTGAGTACCCAGATGTTTCAGTTGAAGGTACTCTATTTATTCACCCTTTCTGTTCCTGTCTTTGAGAGCCACACACACTAGCTGCTTCTAGTCAGTCATCTTGGCCACCTCTCTTGAGATTCTTAGCTAGTGCAACAAGTTACGAAAATAACTAAAAGACATGCAAATTTAAGAAAAAAGAAGTAACACTTAACTTGGGAGACAATGTGATCCTGTGTATAGAAATTTTAATAAATTTACAAAAAAATCTACTTGGATTAATAAATTTAGAAATGTTGGAGGATAAAAATCCATACACTGATGTCAATTGTGTTTATTTATACTAGCAACCAACTATTAGAAAATTAAATTAAAGGAGCAATACCTCTTATAATAGTACCAATACTTAGGATTGAATACTTAGCAATAAGTGTAACAAAGGATAATCAAGATGTATATAAACTATCGAAGAAAATTTTTTAAAATACCTAAATAACTTAGAGATATATGCTGTTCTTGGACTAGAAAACTCAATATTATTAATATGTTTATTTATTTATTTTTTACACTGTACTTAGATTCAATGTAATCCCAAATAAAAGTGTTATAAGCTTTTTCTCCAAACGAAATTGACAACCTGGTTCTGACATTTATATGAATATGTAGAAGTACTAAAATACACAATACAATTTTCTTTATCTAGACCACAAGATTTTCAACCATAATTAATTAGTGCAATTGGAAGTCATCAAAATAAAGAACATCTACTCTTTGAAAGTATCTGCTAACAAAAAAAGCCACAGATCAAAAACATTTTTGCAATACACATATCATCTGGAAGAATTGTATATAGAATGTATAAAGAACCCTCACCCTCACGGCCGGGCACGGTGGCTCACACCTGTAATCCCAGCACTTTGGGAGGCCGAGGCAGGTGGATCATGAGGTCAGGAGGTCAAGACCATCCTGGCTAACACGGTGAAACCCTGTCTCTACTAAAAATACAAAAAAATTAGCTGGGTGTGGTGGCGGAAGCCTGTAGTCCCAGCTACTCAGGATGCTGAGGCAGGAGAATGGTGTGAACCCGGGAGGTGGGGCTTGCAGAGAGCCGATATCATGCCACTGGACTCCAGACTGGGTGACAGAGCGAGACTCCATCTCAAAAATAAACGAATAAAAAAAATTAAAAAAAAAGAACACTCATAAGACAAAATAAGAAGACAAATCCCATAACAGAAAATAGACAAATGATTTATACAGACACCTGAATAAAGAAGATATATGAGTGACCAACAAAGACATAACAATATTAATGAACATCAGAGAAATGCAAAACCAGAAAGGATCAAAGCTCTGCCAGCATCTTTATCTTAGCCTAGTAAAAAAAAAAAAAAAAAAAAAAAAAAAAAAAAAAAAAAAAAAAAATTCAGATTTCTGATTCATAGAATCATAAGATAATACATTTTTGTTGTTTTAAGCCATTAAGTCTGTGTTAATTAGTTACAGCTGTACTTTAAAACAAATACAAATACCATCCCCCTAAAATAACTAAGCATGAAAGATTGACAATAGAAAGTGTTGACAAAGAGTTGAAGCTATTGGAGCTCTCATCGTTAATTGGAGTATAAAATGGTACCACAACTTTAGAAATTAGTTTGGCAATTCTTACAATGTTGAATATATGCTTACCTTATGAACCAGCAATTCCACATCTTGATACTTACTCCAAAGAAATGAAAATATATCCCCACACAATAATTTATAGATGGATGTTTATAGCAGTTTTATTTATAATAAGCCCAAGTTGAAAGTCACCTGTGTCGATTAAGAAGTGAATTGATAAAGAAAAATTGTGATATATAAATAATTATCTATCTGTCTATATAAAACTCCCTAATTTTATTGATGCACACAAAAAAATATAGAAAAATCTCAAAAATATGCTGAGGAGAAGAACCTAGCCACAGAAGAATAGATTCTATATAGCTGTATACCTATAATGTGTAGGGACATGAAATCTATTTTTTAGTGATAGAAAGCAGATCATTAGTTGCCTGAAACTGGGGTATAGAATAGTGACTGAGTGGAAAGACATAATGGAAATACACTCTATCCTAAAATTACTTAGACTTACACAGGTATATATATTGTACCTTTAAAAGGTGGGCATTTTGCTCTGTGTAAATTGTTGTTTGATAACAAAACACTTCTAGTAATTCTGGCTAACCATACTTTGTTAAATCTGACAGTGTAACAATATTTATTTCATAACGTTATGTGTATTATTAATAATAATTTGCTGTTTTGAAATTTTTTAACCTTAAAATTTGAGACATTTCTTATGAATTAAGTGTTAATCCCCATAAATTGTTTGATTGTCTCATAAACTTTTATACTAAAAAGTAAATGAAAATAATAAAATAGATGTCTGAACTCACGCAAGTTCCTGTAGAATAATTATAATCAAATTGCAAATGTGTTTCTTTCTTCTGGCAGACAGATTGATTATAGTATAAAAAATCTAAGATTTTATTGATGGAAGCTTAAATAACTCACATTTTTATTTAACATTACAACATTTTTATCTATCATTATGTTTATCTCAATCCTTATCCAAACAAAACACACTTAGTACCTGAAGATAAAGCGTGTTCAATGCCCTTTCTCACTGGGAAAATAAAATCCTTTTGGGCGCTAGTCAAAGGCCTCAGGTTTCTCTGTTACTTTTCCTACTGCTTTATGCTTTGAGTGATCCACAGAAACTGGTAGAAGAAACCTACTTTTTAATTTTTTAATTTTTAACTTTTGTGGGTACATAGTAGGTTTATATATATATATAGGGTACATGAGATGTTTTAGAAGAAAGCCTACTTTTTAAATAGAAAACTGGCTGAAGTAAAAGCAGATGTTCACATGACACTGTGCCACATCCTACTGAAATGAAGTTACTAACAAATATTAAATGGGTAATTTAATTCTTATTTTATTTTATTTTTTTTGAAATGGAGTCTCACTGTGTCACCTAGGCTGGAGTGCAATAGCATGATTTCAGCTCACTGCAACCTCTGCCTCTCAAGCTCAAGTGACTCTCCCACCTCAGCCACCAGAGTAACTGGGACCACAGCTGTGGACCACACTTAGCTAGCTATTTTTTTCTATTTTTGGTAGAGACAGGGTTTTACCATGTTGCCCAGGCCAGTCTCAAACTCCTGGACTTATGCATTCCACCCACCTTGGCCTCCCAAAGTGCTGGGATTACAGCTGTGAGCCACCATGCCCTGCCGGGTAATTTAATTCAATTAAAGGAAATACTTCCTTTTATGTGAAACCACTACTTGATTACATTAATTGCAGTCCACTTTTCACATTCTGACGCAGAGATGCTTCTTTCCAATATCAGTATCAGCATCTCTCCCTTAAATTGCTACAAATCACTCACTGGATTTGTGCCATTTTTGGTCGTGTTTTCTAAGCTCCCACCTCTGCCATGGGCCACTGTTAGGTTTGCTACTGGACATGGTGCAGGTTTCAGACTCAGTCACCCTTAACATAATGCTTTCATGTACTCAGAGAACCAGGAAACACTGGAGCAGGTCTCCTTCCCCTTGGCCCCTTATCTCAACCATTTTCTACAACACAACACAATCACACATTGTTGTATATGTGTGTCAGACTTTTTTGAAGGGCTGCAGAAATGCAGAAATAAGTAAATCAAAAGAGGATAGTTAAAACTATGCACTAAATATTTTATTCTTAAGTTTTGAAGGAAAATAGTAAAAAATAAAATAAATTTTAAACATAGTCTCTTTTATTTTAAATCCCCTTTCCTCAGCTCATTCTTCTATCTTGACCTATTTTCTTCAAACCTCCACCTTATAAAATCTCCCCTAACCTATTGGGAATCTCCATTCACACTGAAAAGGATTGATCTCTCCCCAAGATGCCATCCCTTACCCTCTAGCAGTACACTTTCTCAAATCTGAGTTATTTAACCTATTACAAAAATACTTCAGGTCTCCATGAAATCTTGTAAAGTTTTTAGCACCTCAAGTCTCATAGAATTCAAGACAGACACAAACCCTCTCCACTGGATACCCATTTTAAGTAATTCCCCATCAAGAATTGGCAAATATGCCCCTTGTCTTTTCCACATGCCACTTGTGGACTTGTGGATCACTTTTAGATTTGAGGCAAGTTGTCCAGTACTAGGCATTCTCCTTCTCTCTTTAACATGCGCGCGTGCACGTGCGCGCGCGCGCGCGCACACACACACACACACATACCATTCAACCATTTGCCAAGGACAAAATTATTTCTCTATGACAGCATTTTTTTTTTTCCAAAATGGCATCAGCTTGTGAAGGAGTTTGCATGAAGGCTAATGTCAATCTTCTACAACCTGGCAGAAAAAGGTAAACAATCTTTTCTCTTTATAACTATATAGAAAAAGTGATCTTTCCTGAATAACCTCATCTCAATAATAGCGACATCATGAACCCACTTATAAACTTGAAGTTATCCTTTGTCTTTCCTTCACATCTCCTACTAAATCCCTTCACAAGTGCTGTTCTTTCTATCTTCAAATTATATTTTGAATCAAGCCACTTCTCACTAAACCTCCAAGATAACGTTGTTGCCTAAGATACTATCGCCTCTTACCAAGACTACTGCAATAGCCTACCAACGAATCATCTTTCAGCTTTCATTTCTGTCCATTCCCTACACTATCTAATGATATTTTAGAAAGTGTTAGTTAAATCTTGTCATATGCCTACTTAAAACTTTAATGAATTTCCTTTCATTCTGAGAAAAAAGTCCAAGGTCATAATGGTATAAAAGCACAGCCTTATTTGGCCTCTCTTTAGTATTTTGGACTCCATTTCTGCCCACCTACTCCACTCAAGTAGCTCTGTCTTTATTCTACTCTTTTTAAACATGCCAACCAGAGAGTTCCCTAAGGACTTGGAGATTTTCCAACCATCAGTCTGGAATGCTATTCCTTGAGACAAATGCATGACTTATTCCCTCACTTGATTCAGCTCTGCTCCAATATGGCATCAGCTCAGGAAACTTTTCTAACCATTTAATCCATAAAATCCCTCTCTGACTTTTCCCCAACATATTACTTTTGTTGTTGTTGTTGTTGTTGTTGTAACATTTGTCATAATACATCAGCATATTTATTTAACTATTTATTTATTGTATTGTCTGTTTTCACCAAGCACAGGGATTTCATCTGCATTATTCACATTTTTCAGTACTCATAAGAGTGCTTGGCACAAACTGGATAATAAATATATTTTTAGGGTATAACAACATGAATGAATTAATAAAATGATAATTATCATTCTCTCTTAGTAATTCTCCATATTTTTCTGTTTTAAATCATTTGCCAACTTCTGGTATTTTTTAAACTTATGCTATATAGATGGATAATGCCTTAGTATCTAAAAGCACAAAAAATATATATGCCTAAAGGAGGTCATTTATGTGAAACAAAACTTTGGAGTCTTGAAAGAATATAAATTATGCCACGCAACATTTAAAATCCAATAGTAATGTTTAAAAAAAGAGTGGATACAAAATATATTTAAAAATAATTTCAACTTTTATTTTAAAGGATTCAGGGAGTGCATGTGTAGGTTTGTTACATGAGTATATTGCATGATGCCGAGGTTTGGGGTACAATTGACCCCATCACCCAGATAGTGAGCATAATATTACCCAATAGTTTGGTTTTCAACCCTTTCCCCCATCCAAATCTCCCTGCTCTAGTAATACCCAGTGTCTATTTGTTGCCATCTCTATGTCCATCAGTACTCAATATTTAGCTGCCACTTATAAGTGAGAACATGTGGTGTTTGGTTTTCTGTCCCTGAGTTAATTTGCTTACAGTAATGGCCTCCAGCTCCATCCATGTTGCTGCAGAGGACATAATTTTGTTCTTTCTTATGGCTGCATAGGACACAGAAGATTT
Source organism: Homo sapiens (assembly GCF_000001405.40). Classification (NCBI taxonomy): domain Eukaryota; kingdom Metazoa; phylum Chordata; class Mammalia; order Primates; family Hominidae; genus Homo; species Homo sapiens. The sequence goes on from NC_000004.12 coordinate 58,437,798, forward strand.
TTAGGACTGTGAAAAGATTTTACATGATATTATACTATGATACCCTACTATAATTTAAAATAGTGGATTTTTTATTTTACTGATAATTCAGTGTACCTGACAGTCAAACATTGATATATAATGCTTAAAGTTTAACAAAAAATATTCTGCAGAGCTTAATATTTTATGTCAATTGTTTGTGTTCTTTAAAGTGAGAAGACGAATTTATTTGGTCCAAGTCTTAAGATTACTATTTGAACTATTCTAAAATAATTTGTATTATTATGGGAACAGACAAACACTTAGATAAATAATTTTGGAGTCCTTATTTCAAGTAACACAAGCATTATTCCACATTCATCTATTCATAAAGATCACAGGTCATTATTTAGCTTAACTAATAATAAAGTCTACTGCAGGAATTGATGTACTAGTGTCTGCCTTTGGATCACATAAGACTTTTTTTTGGTAAAAGCTTTAGAAATAATATTTATAAAAATGTATTCAAAGCACATATGTCATAACATACTAGAAATGATCTAAAAATACCAAAAAGCTTATATGGGGCATAAGGAAATTATCTCTTTTGAACTGTAATCCAAAGAAAGAATTACCTGATAATGAAAGGGTGGTTTTTCAGCATAACTTTATGTTTTATTTTTATGATTCCAAAATTACAGAGTTAATGTAAGTTCTATAGGGTTTCATCTGAAATTCTAACAACCAAAAGTTCTGAAAATCTGTGTGCATGTGTTTAAAATAACTCATCTGGTAGTAAAATCTGGTTTGACTTGAACTCATTTTGAGGACTCTTGACCTGAACTGATAGGGGGTACAGTTTTTATTTGTCCCTCCCACTGTGAATATTTATATGTTTCACTGCTGATGTATTAATATACTCAATTTTAAAATGCTACCCTTGATCTTACTAGGAGATATTATAAAATATATTTCATATACATTGTACTACTCTGATAATTTCTGAAACCTATAATCCTCTGGCTTCAGTGGATTTGGATAAGAAATTATCGAAGTGAATATCCTTATTAAAATAAATCTTGAACAGTATGGAAATGTGTTCTTCAAAAAGTAATGAGCTTAAACCAATGCTGGGCATAATTTGTGCTAAATAACTGTTAACTATTACTATTAACCTGAATCATTGGTCTTTCAACTATGAATGAAAAGCATTTGTCAATTAAAACTCCAACAAGACATCTCAAACAATACATGTCTAAGAAAAAACTTGAATCCACCCTCACTGGCAAAACAAACAAAAACTGCTTACACCACATGCTTTCCTCCCACACCAACTGAGTTACTGTGAATTTAGTTTTTTGGTTACTTATATCCAAAACCTTGGTACCATTCTTGATGTGATGATACTTTTCTTTCTAACATATGCCACATGCAAGTATCAGAAAATCCAGCTGGAATCAGTTGTCTCTAACTACAAAATATATCCAGAACTTGACCATATTTAATCACCTACACTGCTAACTCTGTTTTGAACAACAGATTTATTTCTTCTGGATCGTTCCAATATCTCCTAACAGTTTTGTCTGATTCTATTTTGATTCTCCCTCACCACTAACTCAATCCACCTTCCAATCTATTCTCAACAAGGCAGTTTATTCAAATCATGTCACTCTTCTACCTAAATTATTGAAATTCCTTCCACTTTTAATCCAAATGAAATCTAAAGCCCACAATAATCTACTACCTACAATCTCGGACCTATATGATCTGTTACTACTTTATCTCTGAACTTACCCACTAACATTCTTCCACTCATTATTGCATTCCAGGCACACAGGCCTTTATGTTCTTTCAATACACCAGGCCAATACTCAGCTTTGGGCCTTTGTCCTGGCTGTTTCTTCCCTCTATACCTGTCTTTCAACAGATGTTTGCATTGCTAAATTCCTGAACTTCTCCTAGGATTTTCTCAAAGGGCAGCTATATTCTCAAAGTGGCCTACTCTGTCCAACCTGTTTAGAAAAACAACCTTACCTCCTCCAACTCTGATACTCTGGAGTTACCTTACCTTGCTGTATAATTTTTTATAGCACTTTCCAGCTTCTAACATATTATTAATTCATTTTTAAATTAAACGTTTTTTTTTTTTAAATTTTTTAGAGACAGTGTCTGGCTCTGTCACCAAGGATGGAGTGCAGCAGAGTGATGATAGCTCGCTGTAGCCTTCAACTTCTAGGCTCAAGCAATCCTCCTGCCTCAGCCTCCTGAGTAGCTAGGACTACAGGCACATGCCACCTCATCTGGTGAATTTTTTTAAAGTTAATTTGTAGAGACAGGGTCTCATTATGTTTCCCACACTGATCTCTACTGGGGTAACCCACTCCCAATATTTCAAAGTAGGTTCTTTCTATTTTCCATAAATGTCGGCCGGCTGAGAAATAAAGAGAAAGAGTACAAAGAGAGGAATTTTACAGCTGGGCTGCCAGGGGTGACATCACATATTGGTAGAACTGTGATACCTGCCTGAGTCTCAGACCAGCAAGTTTTTATTAAGGGTTTCAAAAGGGGAGGGGATGTAAAACAGGGAGTAGGTACAAAGATCACATGCTTAAAAGGGCAAAAAGCAAAACAAAGATCACATGCTTTTGAGGGAACAGGACAAAAGGCAAAACAGAACTACTGATAAGAGTTTACATTCAGCTGTGCACGTATTGTCTTGATAAACATCTTAAACAACAGAAAACAGGGTTTGAGAGCAGAGAACCAGTCTGACCACAAATTTACCAGGGCAGACTTTTTCACCATCCTAATAAGCCTGAGGGTACTGCAGGAGACCAGAGCATATTTCAGTCCCTATCTCAACCGCATAAGACAGACACTCCCAGAGCGGCTGTTTATAGACCTCCCCCCAGGAATGTATTCCTTTCCCAGGGTCTTAATATTAATATTCCTTGCTAGGAAAATAATTTAGCAGTATCTCTCCTACTTGTATGTCCATTTATAGGCTCTCTGCAAGAAGAAAAATATGGCTCTTTTTGCCTGAACCCACAGACAGTCACACCTTATGGTTGTTTTCCCTTGTTCCCTAAAAATCACTGTTATTCTGTTCTTTTTCAAGGTGCCCTGATTTCATATTGTTCAAACACACAAGCTTTACAATCAGTTTGTACAGTTAACACAATTATCACAGTGGTCCTGAGGTGACTTACATTCTCAGTTTACGAAGATAACAAGATTAAGAAATTAAAGTAAAGACAGGCATAATAAATTATAAAAGTATTATTTGGGAACTGATAAATGTCCATATTAAAATGAAATCTTCACAATTTATGTTCCTCTGCCACGGCTCCAGCCGCTCCCTGTGTTCGGGGTCCCTGACTTCCCACAACAGGTCTCAAACTGCTAGCTTCAAGCGATCTTCACACCTCAGCCTCCCAAAGTGCTGGGATTACAGCATGAGCCACCTGTCCTAGCCTAGTAACTCATTTCTAAATTTAATTTTTTATTGTTTAACTTCCTCCACAAGAATGTAAATCCACAAAAACAAGGATTATCACGATTGTATTCCAAACCCCTAAAAAAAGATGAAAAATATATATATGCACATATTTACTAATTTCCAAGAAAATATCTTATTTTGACTTACTTTCAAAGAATTCCTTTTGTCCTTAATCAATTTTAATTTTTTTTTTTTTTTTTTTTTTTGAGACAGACTCTCACTCTGTCACCAGCCTGGAGTGCACTGGTGCCATCGCAGCTCACTGCAACCTCCATCTCCCAGGTTAAAGTGATTCGCCTGCCTCTGTCTCCCAAGTAAATGGGACTACAAGTGCGTGCTACCATGCCCAGCTAATTTTTGTATTTTTAGTAGAGACGGGGTTTCACCGTTTTGGCCAGGATGGTCTCAATTTCTTGACCTACTGATCCACCTGCCTCAGCCTCCCAAAGTGCTGGGATTACAAGTGTGAGCCACTGCACCCGGCCTCAACTTTAATTTTCTGTACTTTACTGAAGTCCAGTATAATCCAGAACTGAGAGAAGCTGTGGACAAGCAGTTGCAAATGTAAACACTACATTACATCATCACCTAACATGGCCAGTCATTTATTTAGTCCTCTCTAGTGTTTGCTATCCAAATCCAAAGTATTTTTAATTCAGATACACATGGCTAATAAATATGAAATGATGCTGAAAGGAGCTCAGTCATGTTGGGAGAGGACAGAGTTTTCATGGCACATCATATCAATTGCTTCAACACTTTTAGCAGAATGGAAACTAAAATGATGAAAACCACAATTGCTTAAAACCTCAACAATTTGCGTGAGTCAAAACTACAACTCTAGAAACAAACCTTAAAAATATTTATTTGCTTCTTAAAATATTGTAGTTAATTTTGTTTGCTAATATAAAGTATAATCCTAAGAAAAAGTAAGTTGATATACTTTTGCTAGCCAAATACAAGTTATATAATGACAACTTTTCATATAAAGTTCTAATAAAATTTGTAACACAAAATAAGATAATTAATAAAATATGAAAATTTTCATTTCCTATATGGCTAAAAAACACAATCATTTTTATGTTTTTTCTTTCCAGGTAATTTAAATATTTTCATTTTATAGGCTAAACTGCACTAAGAATATAGTAAATGCTTATTGGCTGAGTTGATATAGTTTATGAAAATTTACATATATAACAAAGTATGTACATAAATAAGAAACATTAATATTTTATACATGTTTTTATTTCTGTTTTGATGAATAACTGGCACTATAAGAACATTTGTTATTTCAGAACTTTTCTGATAAGAAAAGGAAATCTGAAACTAGTAAACTATTTTTTCTGCTTTTATTCGAGGAGATTTATATTACATTAAAATACATATGTAGATATACAAATATACATTTATTAGATTGTCATTAAAAGTAATGACAAAAACCACAATTACTTTTGCATCAACCTAATATATGTATACATATGTCATATATACACAACACATGGCATAAATATATATCTGTGTGTGTGTGTCTATGTGTGTGTTTGACTGGGTTAATCCCTCACCCCCAATGTTTGTTAATTTTATTTGACATACTTCTTAGTCTAATTACCATGCTTATCATCTCAATGACTTTTTTGGATCCACTTTGCTTTTAAAGAGTGAGGTTTTTTTTAATCATTTACTCATTTATCATCTGTTTTTATATATATTTTTGTTTCTGTTTTTGACACAGTCACTCTGTGGCCCAGACTGGAGTGCAGTGGCATGTTCATGGCTCACTGCAACCTCTACCTCCTGGGTTCAAGTGATTCTCCTGCCTCAGCCTCCCAAGTAGCTGGGATTGCAGGGGTGCACAACCAAGCCTGGCTAGTTTTTGGATTTTTAGTACAAATGAGGTTTCATCGTGTTGGCCAGGCTGGTCTCAAACTCCTGACCTCAAGTGATCCACCCACTTCAGCCTCCCAAAGTGCTGGGATTACAAGCATGAGCCACTGTGCCCAGCCATATTTTTACAATTTTTAATACAGAAGGTATGAATACACTGAAGTTATTTTGGCTACCTAGTGTCTATCTTTTCTTCTTCTATCAATACTCCAGCTTTTGTTTGCATATCCACTTACCCTTCTCAATATTTTCTTCTTATCACTATCCCATCAGTACTTCCCATCCTTCAGTCCAGAGTTCAGGGCACAAGACAGTATAAACCAAATTGATGCAAAGAGGCTTGTGTTGGGAGAGTCTGGAAGTTTTAATCAGTTTCTGAAAGCGCTACCAGGAAAGGGCCTCTTCTTGTTGGTTATGGACAAGGAGCTAAGTACCCTGGAAGCTGCTTGCAGTTGCTTAACACCCTTGGAGGGAACAATCCTTGAGACTGATGGACTCTGTGGAAGACTTAGAGAATAGACAGAAAAATGAAAAGACAAAGTGCCTTTTATGATGTCAGTGGGTTAAGCTTCCCCTTCTACCAACAAACTATCAAGTTTTAGCTTTATGAATGTATAAATTTATTTAAATTTTAATCTAGTTTCCATCAGGTTTTAGGTTACTGAAAGCTTCAAGAGTTTTTACTCATAAATTTGTTGTACATAAAAACTTATTCAAAACATCTTGAAGCAGGGCCTTGGAAACTTTCTTTCATTATTTATTGTACCAACAATGTTGTTTCTTAGTTAAAAACAAAAACATACACATTTCGTTAAAGTCTTTTTACTTTTAATTGTTTTCTCTCTCTTTGTGCCATCTTTCCAAGGTTGAAATCTGACCTTCACCCTCCTTTTCTCTTTTATTCTAGTAATCTGGAACGTCTTTTTATTAATAAACAATTTTCATGGGATTAGAGTTCTTCCTAGATTTGGAAAGACATTTTCAATCTTTACTACTGCTTTTCCCTGCCTGGTTGAAAAAAAATCCATGGCCAATTAGGTGAATATTAATTGTTCTGAATTATTTGAACCATATATTTAATGTTTCCTTTCCAACCATAGGAAGCTGACATACTTTGTGAAATCATAATTGTAAATTTCCATGATTGCATTTGTCTTCCCCACAATTAGTACTAATAAGTAAAATTTTATGATACATTCAGGTGTAATAAAAATAATATTTATTAGAACCTACTATGCACCAAATACTATAGACTGAGTTTTGCATATCTCATTTACCTTCACATCAATTTTATGAGGAAAATTATACCTCTATTTTATAGGTGATAAAATCTAGTCTTACAGCATGATTGTAAAGCCTCTTGCTTTTCCTACAATGTTACTTGCTTTAAAATGTAGGTTAATAAATTCATATATATATATATATAAATATTTTGTAGTAAGGCACTTTGCATTTGATGAAATATTTATTTATTGATTGATTTTTATCCATAAATCTTTAGTGATTGCAGTCTTTAAAGTATCTATCATAAACTAAATATTCCAATATGCCAATAAGAAATGACATGATTAAGAAAAGGTCGCTTAATTTATAGTGCATTACGGTTATCTATACCTTCATCTGTCTATTCTAGGTCCTAAATGGTGAGTCTTAAATTCTTCCCTTGGAAAGCATGAGCATCTTAAAAGGATCCACAAATGTTCTTCAACTGATTCAAATTTTTACATTTCATCTACCTTAATTCATAAGACAATAGATTACTTAGAATTGGGAAGGCAAAATATGATCTAAAAATAGTAAAGTATGAATTACCTAGGTTAAATAAACTTCTTTTCCTTTTCTTCCACTACCTTCTGCTTTCTCTTCCCATTTTTTCCTCTTCTCCCCCTCCTCTTCTTTTGCCTTTTCAAAAAGAGCAAGTAATGCTCGTGAAGTTTTTCTTCACAGAGTTGCAAAGTTTAATTCATGTTCTCCAATATCATTCTCATCTTCTTAATGTTTTTAATAGTTAATATAGAGTGAAATTTGATCTTGACTAGCAAGGGTAAGAATATGGGATGAGCTCAGTTGTTGCACCTCATTAGTTCTCTATTCATATGCTAGAGTTAACTCAATGCTAGATCACTTCATACATAAAGCTGTATGTGAGAGGAAGACAGCCTTCCCCATTTTCAGCCAAACTACCAAGGGCATATCTATCTGCCCCAAACAACTCTGCAGTGGCCAAGGTATTCTGGCTATTTAAGTAATTAAAACATTAAAATAAGATAGTTGCAGCTGTCAATTAATTGGGGCTGTGGGTGTCAAATATAATTAATTAGTTTCTTCAACAAATAGTTATTGTGTGCCTGCTCTATCATGTTAACTGAGGTTTTTATAGCCAATAGGATAGACGTGGTCTCAAGCAAAATGAAGCTCATAGCCTAATGTGGGATGAAAATGCAAAACAGATGCCAGATAATTAATGTAACTTAAAAACGAGAACCTAAAAAGAGAATATTTGCTGGGAGAAAAGATTTATATTTTAAAGAGAGTGGGCCCACAGCTTTTTAAAGAAATAAAATTTAAACTGTAACAAAAATAAATTAGAAGATACTAGCTATTTGAAGGTGAAGAACATCCCAGACATGGTGCACACCATGTGCAAAGGTCTTAGGGTTGAAAGTAACTTGGCTTATTTCACAAACTCAAAGACCATTCACGAACTCACAGCCTAAAGTACAGTGAATGAGAGCTGAGTGCAGTCACACATAAGATTTGAAAGGGAGCAAGAAGCCAGATTATGTGGTTATTTTCAGACCAGAGTAAATGCATTTGGTTTTGATTTTAACTGTAGTGGGAAGTTATTGAAAGACTTAATCTGCAGATAAATATGATGAAATTTATATCTTAAGGTCCCTTTTATAGGAAGGCGAAAAATTGATCAGGATGTAAGATAGAGATGGGGAAAATGTGGAGGCTACTGGTAGAGCTTAGGCAAACAATGATAGGGATGTGGACTAAAATTATGAATGTCAGGTGAGTAACTGAGGATGGAGGGAAGACATATTTTGTATATAAGATCAACAAAAGTATGATTGATTGCTTTGCATGCAAAGAAAGACTCAAGGAGAGGATTCTGGGATGGATAAATAAATTAGGGAGATAAAGGCAAAGAAGAAGTCCTTAAATCCATGGGAATGTATGACATTATCATTAGTAAGAATGTTCAGAGACAGAAGAAGAGAACTTTGAGTACCCAGAGTGGTCCAGATATCTGGAAGCTTTATACAGATGGAGAGGTTAGCAAAAGAGGCCAGCAGAAATCCAGAGAATAAAAGAAAAACAAAGAACAGTAGTATAAGAGATATTGCCTGTCCTCTCCAGACCCAACCCACATACATTTTTTTTAAGATATTAGTTAACCACTTTATCATAATTTCTAAAACACTGGGTGAGATGAAGATAGGCAAATGTCCATTTAATTTGCCAAGTCTTTCATATTGACGGTAGTAGAGGAAGAAGCCAGACAATGATGAGTTGAATGGGGGTGGTGGTGGTCATAAAGTTGGATCAAGAGAAGGATTTGGTTTGTTTTTGTTTTATTCTTAGGTGCTGATTTTAGGCCAGAGTCATGCGGTGGTGTAGGATGGTAGTAGGTTATAGTTTCAAACTGATAAAAATAATCCAGAAACAGCTTAAAGATAATTTAGAGAGACAAAATTTTAAAAGATTTTGATAATGAAATAAGGGATGGGATCTGAGCAAAAGTGGGCATACTCTTTGTAGAAAAAAAAGGTTTTACTATTGTTTAAGAGTAGGTAAAGGGAGAAAATGGAGTTCATACATAGACAGGTTGGTAAACCCCACTGCATTGCTACCAAAACTGAACATCATATGCATTCGGGGATATGTGTTAGCTATAGATAATGTTTTTCCTTTATTTTAGGTCTGATTTTATGAGATTGGATATCATTATAAAGTTATTTTTTTGCCATAAAAATTGTAATCTATCAGTAATCTAATTTTGTGCAAAAGTAAATTAGAGGTTCCTACACTTAAATTAACACGTAAGTCAAAATGTTGTTTTACTAAGCTATTGTACATTGTATATTTCATTCTGGAGTACAAGTCATATTATCAGAAATCAGTAATTCATTTTAAATTTTGATGACTTACTGTTTTCATAAATTTCTGCATTAAAAAAATTATTACTTAAAATATTTCTCTAAATATTTAAAAAACGGATCCCAAGTAAAAACAATCTAACTTGCTACAACTGAGGAATAAATTATTATTTTCTAATATTAAGTGCTATTTGAATGATTAGTACTAAAAAAATTAACTGATGAAATCAGTTTTACTATTCAAAAGTCAATATGTCCGGTGAAAGGAATTGCAAGGCACTGGAATCTAGATTACTCTGAGAAATTTTGAAATAGCTTTCAGAATGTGTATTAGATGTAGATAACTGCTATTTTAGAATTAAGTTTAAAGAAATATACCGTTCATAAGTTCTTGCAGAGAAGCAATGTTTGACACACTTAATATTTACCTCTGTTTCCTTCCTTTATTAAGACATATTACCAACATATTGACAGACCATATAAAATATATGCAAATGATTTGTGACCACATAAACAACTTTTTACTTTTTTTTCACATGATGTAACAAATTATTTGAATTATGGAACTTTTAGTCCTTTCTGTTAATTTGTGTACTTCTTCCTTGAATCAAAGAGATAGGAAGTTCCACATGGATGGATACATGCTGTGAAGCCCATTTTTAATTTTTCTTTGAAGACATTTTATAGACTATCACTACCACATGGTGTTTAAATAATGATAATTGTGACAAAATTTCAATGAGATACAGAAAAAATTGTTTAGGGTGCATGACATGTATATTTAATCATTTTTTTTTTTACATATGTGTCATGAAACCAGGACTGGCCTAAACTGTAATAGATGAAAGTGTCCTATTCAATCACACTAATAAAATGTATATTCTCAATCACCAGCTTGTTTAAAATATATTTCAACTTCCAAAAACCTTACTAAGTGAACAAATTAAAATCACTCAGGCTTGGTGTATTTAAGATATGATCTATAACACAGTTTACCTCTCAAGTATTCAATATATATATTTCCTCATGAATCTGAAATAAGTTAACAAACACTGTAGTATTTCTTCAAATGTTTAACACAGGCTTGGCTCAAGAATTAGAACTTGAACTGATGAACAACAGAACATTCATTAATTCATGTCTGCCAAGTTTTTGTTAAGTAACTGTTTCTAATAAGTAAATTTATATTGAATGTTAGAGGGACTTTCTGCATATTGAAAACAGTCATCAAATACAAACTTCTTCATTCTTGAATGCTTGCTGTTAGACAGGCTATTGCATTTTTTTTTTTTTTTTTTCTTTTTTTTTGAGACAGAGTCTCGCTCTTTCGCCCAGGTGGGACTGCAGTGGCGCTATCTTGGCTCACTGCAAGCTCCGCCTCCCGAGTTCACACCATTCTCCTGCCTCAGCCTCCGGAGTAGCTGGGACTACAGGCGCCCGCTACTGCGCCCGGCTAATTTTTTTGTATTTTTAGTAGAGACGGGGTTTCACCGTGTTAGCCAGGATGGTCTCGATCTCCTGACCTCGTGATCCGCCTGCCTTGGCCTCCCAAAGTGCTGGGATTACAGGCGTGAGCCACCGCACCCGGCCTAGACATGCTATTGTATTTTTTAAAATTAAGACCAACTGGAATATATAACTTCCTAAATGTATTAACAGAATTTCTTCACGTTAAAGAAAATTTATTTAGAGAATTTTGGACTAACTGAATTTGTGAAGTAGCATGCACTTTTAATAATCTACTGGAGCCAGTTCGTGTATTCCTGTGAGTCCAATACCACTCAGGACTCAGCACAGGATAAGCCTCAGACAGACTGGTGTCAATTACAGCTCATTGCCTGAGATCCACAGCTTAATTTAGCTCATGTTCTGTTTCTTGGTGTTTTTTTATTTTTTATTTTTTATTCCCAAGAATTCTTACTCTGATATTCCCCTTGCGTTTTTGTTTGTTTGTTTTTTTGTTTTTTCTGGTTCTTCTCCTCAGTAATGAGTCACAATAAACGCTTTTATTGGGTTGCTTTCAGGGTCTCCTAGTTGATGCCTCATCTAGTTTTAAAGTCTGAGTCCAAGATCTTATCCTCAGGTACAGACCCTTCTGGCGTCTCCATAGTATCTCCACTGGAACACAGAAGACATGCCGTGACCTTTTAAGTCCTATGGATGACACTGATTTCTCACAGGACTAAGAAAAATCTGAAAGATTCTTCTTTCTCATTGTATTGAAGCATCATCATTGTGCTAAACCGAAATTTAAAAATTTCGATTAATTATATATATATTCATAAATGTATGAATAATTTATAAGTATAAACATGTTTATATATAATTTGTAAATATATAAAAAATATATACATATAGCTTATATATTATATATATGTATGACCCTTAAACTGGGCACTGGGGCATTATTCATATGATATTTATTTCTTCTGAAAAAAGTTGTATGTAACATTGTTCAGCATTTGAAGTTTTAAATTTAGGTTCAAAACTGTAGAGTCCTGAAATGAAGTTTTTAGAAGGACTAGAAAAAGATGTTTTGTTTCTATCTTTACAGATAAAGGAATGCGCAATACAGGTCTTTTATCATGTGCTGTCAATCATGTGTCTCCAGAAAGATTAGATAAGATTCTCAGCAACTGAGCAGGAGATTGTTTGAGACCTACTTCCCTAGCCGGCTAGACCAGAATAGTACCATGACTTTTAGAGTCACTCAATTACCATACAACTAAGAGCTGACAAAGGATTTAACTGAGAACAATAGCAGAATTAGACAACATAATAAATAAAGACAAAAAGCGTGTGTGTATGTAGAAATGAAAAATTATTAGTTGAGGCTTACATAGTTTTGCAATATGCGTATCTCTTTTTAAAAAATATTGTAGGATATGTAACACTTTAATGGAAATAAATAAAACAAGAAACTCAGAGATATTTCAAATATTGCTTCTCTATATACTCCATTCAGCATTCAAAATTTTTTTATCATATACAGCAGATGATTTCTAATCCAGAAGTTTCAAAAAAAAACTTTTCAGATTCACTGACTCTTTAAATTTGATTTTAGCTTTCTTCCTAGAAGTGAAAGCACATATTTATAGAACTACAATATTTGATACATAATTTCAGTGCAATGTGGTCTGACTGAAGTTTACCTTCAGATTAAAAAACTTTGCCTTGAGGAAAGCTGACAGGTTTCTCTCTCCTCATCATGTACACCTCAAGGCCCTCCTAAAGAGAACAAATTCTCTATGGGTAAAAGGCAACAAAGTTTTCAAGAACACAAAATAAACCACCCCAGTAGGGTTGGGTCCTATTAATGGCCCCATTTCACAGGGAGGAAATACTCTTTGATTTCTTTCTCTGGGGCTTAGAGATGTCTCTTGCTTGGAGACAAGACCTCCACAGTCCATGTGGAGCTCTGCTTAACAAGGTGGGCTCAGCTTAGCAATGGCATATGGCTTGCCTCTGCTTGTTCACATTACCAAGGATGAAGAGTAAATAGGGATTTGGGGTTGATACTCTCACCAGAGGGTATGCATTTGGCTGGACTGCCAAATCCTGGGATAGTGGCAGAAGGACTGACGCCATTCAAGGCAGAGATCATGACCCTGACCATTTCTGTCTTTGACAGTGACTAACTGTAGATGTTGTTCTTTTGGGCTCTGGCTTTTACTTTTACTTTTGGCTTTTACTTTTCCCAAGGCTAGGATCCTAGGATCTCATAGCTCTGCTTCTGGCTGGGATCCTGTTCCATCACAGTTAGATTATTTTTACATTAGGTTGATACTATACACCCTACTAGCTGTGTAATCAGAAATGCTCATTTCAATATCACATCTCCCGCATCAGACATTATAGACACTGAAATTTCATAGCAGATTCATATTTACTACAGATCCTTAAAGTTGTGGTATTTCCTGCTGATTTGCTAGGGCCAAAATAGCATGTTTCTGTATTATTTCAAGTTATCTGAAAATCTGTCCTCTCAAATTTCAGAGATCAAGAACATTATTAGTGCAATTTGGTGTACAAAACTTATACTTCTAAAACCAAGGAGTAGGCCAGAATTGTTCCCTTATTTTGATAATAGATTGGTTTGTAAAGATTCCTGCTTTCTTCCCTTGTGTTTGTCATATCCTTGGAATCAGAAAGGAATCCTGATAAGATGACTGATGGAGGTCAAGAGGAGAGTCTGTTATGAAAGGCCACCCTGGGATGAAAATCAACACCTTGACTATATTGTTGTAGTACTTAAGTCAACTGATGTTAACATGTTAATGACATAACAAGACATTAGCTATTCAGCTTTTTAATTACCAAAAAATTTTATATAGATGTCCAAACCAATTGCAAATGGGAACAATTGGAAAATCACTTAAAATTTTGCTTTAATGTCAATTTCACTAAATCCTTAGTCACTGTAATATGGATCATGATGTACAGTTAAAGGCTAACTTTATAATGAAAACTGCATTATTAGAAGTTATTCTTAAAATGCATAAAATTGTTTAAGATTTAAAAATCAGATTTTTAGGTACAGAATTTTCCCTCCTTTATTTCTATTTCAGAAATATGTAATACGTGTCATTGAAGACTTTTTCATTTAGACCACATACTTTTAGTAACTTATTGCTATAATAAGTTACTAAGTTCCCAGGGGGAAATATAATAAGTTCCCCGGGGGGAAAAACCTAGATGAACTTTTTTCCCTGAAACACTTTCATAATTTTCATAAACTTTCTAAAACTTTAGTTATGAAAGTTTGATTGTTTTGCCCACTTAGCTTTGCTACCTGAAAGGAATATGTGACTTCCATTAATATTACAAGGATTGAGATTGTTATAAGTGGTAAAATTATCCTTTGTTATTTTTCTTAAACTCTACTATAAAATAGATTTTGGAAACACTGAATAGTGTTTTTATATTTATAATATCAGTTAATTTATACATTTATAATATCAGTTTTATAATTTATGATACCAGTTATAATATCAGTTAATGATTATTCCAAGATCCTACTGTCAGGCAATCCTTATTTCCCATTGTGGTACCCAAGTATTTATTTCAAGAGTTTTTAAATGCTTAAAATGATAATGTAGAAAGAGCTTGTAATATACTACCACAGCATAACAGAAATGAAGAAACAGTAAAAAGTATCACAAAACTGTGAAATGGATCAAAGTTCAACGGTAATGGCATATGGATCTTACACCTCTTCAAGATGCCAGAGGATTATTAAGATCAGGCTTGTGGAGCCCCAAAGTCATCACCTTACTGTTAATATTTGATAATTAATATGAGATACTCTGGTAGAAGTTAGTTCTGAGAAATATTTCCTTCATAGTTAGTGCTAATGAATATCTTTTTTTCTTTCAGCCACTGCTAAGGATAAACTGTGTCAAAAAAGATACTAGGTATAACCAAATATAAATTCTGACAACTACTAGTTGCATGACTTCAGACAAGTTATTTAATCCTTCTCATTTTTAATTTATGATTCTGGCAACTTGTTTCAATGATACTTTGAGGAGATTTGTTAGAAATATATAGGGTCATACAGGTAAAGACAATTAGTACATCATTTGGCATTGTGCTTGTTCAATAACTATTGTTCTTAGTTCCATTTTTGTTGTTAGTCTAATTTTTGGTGTTTAAATCATAAATTTTTGGTAAACTTAAATTTATCAGGAATTCATATATATATAAAACATATACTCATTACTCATATACTCATTATGAGTATATATATATATATATATACACACACATACACACTTATATTTGGAGACAAAAACACAAATTTACATTGTATAGGGATGTGTGTTATGTTAACCATGGATCAGATAAAAGGAGAGTAACGAATGTGATTTTGTTAATTGGCTGACAGTTCTTTCATGGACTTCATAGATCTCCCAGTTTCCTTACTCAAAAAAATTGGAATATTTTTTTCTTTTTTTGAGACAGGGTTTTACTTTGTCACCCAGGCTGCAGTGCGAGGCAGGATCTTCGCTCACTGCAGCCTAGACTTTCCAAGGCTCAAGCAATCCTTCCATCTCAGCCTCTCTGGTAGCTGGGACTACAGGTGTACACCACCATGCCTGGCTAATTTTTGTATTTTTTGAAGCGCTGAAGTTTCGCCATGTTGCCCAGACAGGTCTTGGACTCCCGGGCTCATGCAATCCACCTGTGGCAGTCTCAGGAATAGCATTTAATATCCAGAAATTAATTAAAGATAAATGGGGATTAAACATTTAGAGGATTTATTTAGATACATTTCCTCTTTACATTTATTATTCTTAATAACTTTAACTCACTTAAGTATATAAAGCACAACCGTTTATTTACAACTGTTCAGTGTCCAAAATAGACTCTAAATATTATATATAACCCAAACCAGGAAAGCATTTTTCAGAGATATAAATGTCCCTCTGAAATCTTTACACGCTTTAATGAAAATTGAATTTATTTGATGTTGCAGTTCAAATCCAGAGATACGGAGTGTAAGACAGTGAATTCATTATCCATATACATCTAGATATATCCTTTATGTATCTGGCTATTCTTAGCTGTATATTCTGAAGTAATTTAATTATGTTCTTCTCAATTTCTGCTTCTTTAAAATAGGTTACTACTATTATTACTAAGGATGCTAAAGTTTCCACCACCACTATTATTACTTCTCAAGGCTAGTGTAAAATAACAATAATATTCTTAAAATATTAAAAAATAGTGTAACCAAATCATGGTGCATTTCTTAAACCCAGGAGATACACTAAGATATTTGTTTACATACATTCATGTTATATGTTTATGATACGGGAGAGTTCCCTGATCCCCTTGGCAGGATGTGACACAGGGTTGTGGCTTGCCTGTTCAGCAGCTGCCACTGCTCAAACCCCTGACAGGAAGGGGAGCGCGCAGACAGGTAGATGAAAAAGCCAGGGCGAATGCTCTGGGTTTCAGCCCCGCAGTAGTGTCTAGGGGTGGGTGCCTGCAGCTCCAGTGTTACAATGCTCTTTTAGCCTTGTCATTTACAGACGGCTTACATGTTAGCCAGCTCAATGAACCCTGTGGCTTTTCAAGGGCAGGGAGCCAGTGTGACAGCTTTCTGTATCCCAAGCTCTTGTTCAGAGCCTGAAAGAATTGAGTCACACATGGGCTTGAAGGATAAATTCACGGTTTTATTAAGTGGTAGAGGTGGCTCTCAGCAAGATGGATAGGGAGCTGGGAGGGGAATGGAGTGGGAAGATGATCTTCCTCTGGAGTTTGGCCATCCAGTGGCTGAACTCTCCTCTGTCCATCCCCAGCCGGACTCCTCTCAGAGTTCAGATGTTCCTTCCCCTCTCTCTTTCTTTGCCATGCTGTTCTGTCATTCTTCTGCTTGTCTCCTTGTCTGCACGTCTGCTCGTCTGCTTCTAGAGCCTGGGATTTGGGATTTATGTGGGTGCAGGATAGGGGAGTGGCAGGCCAAAAGGCAACCTTTTGAGAGTGAAACAGAAATGTCTGTTCCCACTTAGGGCCATGGGTCTCCAGGCTTGAGGGTGAGGCCTTTGCTGGGGACCTCTTCTACCCAATATTTCCCTGTCTCCTGTCTGTATCATTTACATATATGAGAAGGTCTATATAATCATCATTACTACTCTGAAACTGAATGCAAATCCTCAGAGCTATCCCAACACTTTTTAGTACCAATATGACATCCTCTACTTGTTTCTGATGTCCTTTCCAACTATTCCTTAGTATTTGTGAATAAGAATCTACCATTAACTTCACAGAAAGTGAATTCCCATTCAGATGTGTGGTTAATCATATTTTTTTGTAATATTTTCTCTTGTTTTTTCTTTCCATCAAAAATTATTTACTATAACTTGGAACTGAGTGTTTACAAAATCATAACTATACATGTTGCTCTTTCAAATGCAGAAAATTCTATCATTTTATCTGAAACTGGTAAGTACACTATACATATTATTTTCTTTTGAAAACATCATCCAAGAGATTTGGAATTCTACTAGCATTACCAGTTCAGGTTATATGACTGTGAAAGAGGTATGGAGGGAAATGAAATAAATTTATTTCTTAATAATAAGTGTGAGTTCTATTCACGAATTTAGGTGGAAATGACAAATTGAGAAGGAAAGATACCAGTTTCGGCCAAGATACTGAAAGACTGAATAATTCTGATAGTACAATTACTTAAGATACAATTACTATAATTTGAAATGGGAGAAGGGGTGCAGAAAAATATGAAAGATGTAACTAATCTTTATTAAGCGTCTATGATATGTTAGTTTATTATGGATATAATGTGGGTTCTTTAATCAGGAAGATGGTGTTCAAATTCAGGCTCTTCAGCTTACTAGTTGGTAACCTTGACTGAGTTATTTATCATGTCTGCATACCTCAGTTTTTCTTAACCATTAAATGGAAATAATAATAATACCTACTTTATAAAATGTCTACATGGATTAAATTTAAATGTATAAAACACTTAGAGCATACCATAGGTATATTTCTACTTTTAAAGAATAGGAAATGAAAATCTGTGAAAGTTAAGAAATTCTCAAGGTCACTGCAATCAGTAAGATGGATCAAAACTGGGATCCATCTGCTTTTAAGTCAATGCTCTTTCTGCTGTGCTAAAATGAGACTAGGATAATAATAGATTGTGAAAATATCAATAGTAGGATCAAAATACAAATGAACTGTGCCGAGGTGAAATTTAAGGAAGAGGGAATGGCATGAAAAACAGATAGATGGTAGTTTTATAGTAATTACAAGAACTTGAAGGTATGGCAGCATAGCATTCAATAAACGTAAGATTGAGCTCAAAATTTTCTGGAAGGCTTTGTGGCTTACTATGGGGTGTTTGATATTCTGTGTCTTGTTTCCCTCTGAGGGTGTATTCAGAACCATCTCTATTTTCTTGTCATTAAGCAACATTCAGTCATTTTTTAGGTCCCACTGCCCCAGCCTGAGATTGCTAAATTTAAAAAGATTTTAGAGAAAACATAACAGACTTGTAACAAAATCTTTTATCACCATGGTCAAAGCCATTGCCATGTCTCCCCTGGACTAGTGTAAAGGCCTCATTACTCATGCATCTTCTGTTTATTTTTTATAGGTCAGCCCACATGAGTTTTTATACAGCAAAAATCAATATCTCCCTACCCCCACCTAAAAGCATACAAACCTTTCCAATATTACTTTCAAGGAGACCTAAGTGGCTTATCATGATCTCCAAAATCACACATAATTTGGCTCCTGCATACCCTATCACCCATTCACGTTACCAATCTAACTTACTCAGACCCAATCACAATGGATTTTCTTCTTTCTGTCTTTTGACCACAGAAATCTTAGTTCCCCTTGCAATTCCTTTGCCCTGGAATGGTCTATTTCAAGGTGAGGTCTCAACACTGACTTCTTTTTAAATTATTTTCTTTCCTAGTTTTTTACTTCTTTGTTTATCTCCCTCCTGCTTATTCACATGTAAAATAGAATAGAAGCTGAGAGGTGACAATGTGTTAGCAGCCCCTGCTCGCTCTCAGTGCCTCCTCGGCCTCGAAAGGCATCTGCTCTGGCCACGCTTTAGGAGCCCTTCAGCCCGCCGCTGCACTGTGGGATCTCCTCTCTGGGCTGGTGGAGGCTGGAGCCAGCTCCCTCTGCTTGCAGGGAGGTGTGGAGGGAGAGGCGCTGGCGAGAACCAGGGCTGTGCATGGCGCTCGCAGGCCGGCGCAAGTTCTGGGTGGGCACAGGTTCGGTAGGCCCCATACTCCAAGCAGCCAGCCAGCATCACCAGTGCCAGGCAGTGAGGGGCTTAGCACTCAGGCCAGCAGCTGCAGAGGGTGCGCTGGGTCCTCCAGCACTGCCCCCCAACCTGCACTGGCTTGAATTCTCGCCAGACCTCAGCCGCCTCCCTGTGGGGCAGGGCTCGGGACCTGCAGCCCACCATGCCCGAGCCCCGCTACTCCCCATGGGCTCCCGCGCAGCCCAGCCTCCCCGATGGGCACCGCCCCATGCTCTGTGGCACCTGGTCCCATCGACCGCTCAAGGGCTGAGGAGTGCAGGCAGGTGGCATGGGACTGGTGGGCAGCTCCGCCCACAGCCCCAGTGGGGGATCCACTAGGCCAAGCCAGCTGGGCTCGTGAGTCGGGTGGGCACTTGGAGGACTTTTATCTCTACCTTGGGGTTTGTGGATGCATCAATCAGCACTCTGCATCTAGCTAAACTGGTGGGGACTTGGAGAACTTTTATGTCTAGCTAGAGGATTGTAAATGTACCAATCAGCACTCCGTGTCTAGCTAAAGGTTTGTAAGCCCACCAATCAGTGTTCTGTGTCTAGCTAATCTAGTGGGGACTTGGAGAACTTTTGTGTCTAGCTAAAGGATTGTAAAGGCACCAATCAACCCTCTGTGTCTAGCTCCGGGTTCATGGATGCACCAATCAGTGCTCTGTGTCTAGCTAATCTAGTGGGGACTTGGATAACTTTTATGTCTACCTAGAGGATTGTAAGTGCACCAATCAGCACTCTGTGTCTAACTAAAGGTTTGTAAACGCAACTATCAGTGCTCTGTGTCTAGCTAATCTAGTGGGGACTTGGAGAACTTTTGTGTCTAGCTAAAGGATTGTAAATGCACCAATCAGCACTCTGTGTCTAGCTCAAGGTTTGTAAATGCAAGAATCAGCACTCTGAGTCTAGCTCAAGGTTTGTAAATGCACCAATCAGCACTCTGAGTCTAGCTCAGGGATTGTAAACACACTAATCAGCACCCTATCAAAAAGGATCAATGAGCTCTCTGTAAAATGGACCAATCAGCTGTCTGTAAAATGGACCAATCAGCAGGATGTGGGTGGGGCCAGATAAGGGAATAAAAGCAGGCTGCCTGAGCCAGCAGCTGCAACCTGCTTGGGTCCCCTTCTACACTGTGGAAGGTTTGTTCTTTCGCTCTTTGAAATAAATCCTGCTTCTGCTCACTTTTTGGGTCCCCACGCCTTTATGAGCTGTAACACTCACCGCGAAGGTCTGCAGCTTCACTCCTGAGGCCAGCGAGACCATGAACCCACCGGGAGGAATGAACAACTCTAGACACACTGCCCTAAGAGCTGTAACACTCACTGTGAAGGTCTGCAGCTTCACTCCTGAAGCCAGCGAGACCACAAACCCACCAGAAGGAAGAAACTCCAAACATGTCTGAGCATCAGAAGAAACAAACTCTGGACACACCATCTTTAAGAACTATAACACTCACCGTGAGCATCCATGGCTTCCTTCTTGAAGTCAGTGAGACCAAGAACCCACCAATTCCAGACACATCTTGGTGACCACGAAGGTACTATCACCTATCGCCAAGTGGTGAGACTATTGCCTATCACCAAGCGGTGAGACTATCACCTATTACCAAGTGGTGAGACTGTTGCCTATTGCCAAGCAGTGAGTACCATCAGACCCCTTTCGCTTGCTATTCTGTCCTATTTTTCCTTAGAATTCGAGGGCTAAATACCGGGCACCTGTCGGCCAGTTAAAAGCGACTAGCGCGGCTGCTGGATTAAAGACACAGGTGTCAGGCTTTCTGGGAAAGGGCTATCTAACAACCCCCGACTCTTTGGAGTTGGGACCGTTGGTTTGCTTGGAACCAGCTTCTGCTTTTCCTGTACTTCTGGGCTGAGCTGAGGGTCGACAGAGAGGAAAGCCATTCAGCTCCAGGGTCCCAACAACAAGTTCGTTGACCCTGTGGCCACAAGCAGAACTCTCAAAGGCATGTCGCCCAAGTGAGACTTGCCCATCTATCCATCCTGACACTTGCCCCCTGGGTCCTAATACCTGCCAAACAAACTTCCTCTCGCCTGTCTTCTCCAAGGCTAGCCCTGCCTCTAAAAATCACTCCCTGTCTCTGGTGCTTTTCTAGTTTCTCCTATAAGAATGATTTCCAGTATAAACTCCAGGACTCTGTAACCTTCTTTAGGCACCTGGGATCACCAATCAGAAACACATAATTTTTGCCAAAGCCCCGACAGGGTGGGGAACTATCTTATCTGGAATTTTAGGATCCCTCCTCAGAGAAGCAGGCCTAACAAAAGCTATTTCTGAATCTAGGATATGAGGAGCCTCAGAAATTGTATCCTTCCTATTCATATAACTGAGGACAACAGACATCACTCTTCCAACCCTGGAGAGCCCTTCCTTCCCTCAGGGTATGGCCCTCCACTTCATTTTTGGGGCATAACATCTTTATGGGACTCGGGGAAGTTCCCAGTACTAACAGGAGAATGCTTAGGACTCTAACAGGTTTTCGAGAATGCATTGGTAAGGGCCACCAAATCCGATTTTTCTCGGTCCTCCTGGTGGTCTAGGAGGGCTGGCAAGGGTGCAGGCTCTCAAGAATGCATCAGTAAGGGCCACTAAATCCGACCTTCCTCATTCCTCCTTGTGGTCTGAGAGGAAAACTAGTGTTTCTGCTGCTGCATCAGTGAGTGCAACTATTCCGATCAGCAGGGTCCAGGTACCGTTGCAGGTTCTTGGGCAGGGGGAGAAACAAAACATACAAAAACCGTGGGCGGTTTTGTCTTTCAGAGGGAAACCACTCAGGCATCAACAGGCTAACCCTTGAAATGCACCCTAAGCCATTGGGACCAATTTGACCCATGAACCCTGAAAAAGAGGCAGCTCATTTTTTCCTGCACTATGGCCTGGCCACTATATTCTCCCTCTGATGGGGAAAAATGGCCACCTGAGGGAAGTACAAATTACAATACTATCCTGCAGCTTCACCTTTTCTGCAAGAGGTAAGGCAAATGGAGTGAAATACCTTATGTCCAAGCTTTCTTTTCATTGAAGGAAAATACACAACTATGCAAAGCTTACAATTTACATCCTACAGGAGGACCTCTCAGCTTACCCCCATATCCTAGCCTCCCTATAGCTCCCCTTCCTATTAATGATAATCCTCTGCTAATCTCCCCTGCCCAGAAGGAAATAAGCAAAGAAATCTCCAAAGGACCACAAACCCCCCCACCCAGGCTATCGGTTATGTCCACCTCAAGCTGTAGGGGGAGCAGAATTTGGCCCAACCTGGGTATATGTCCCCTTCTCTCTCTCTGATTTAAAACAGAGCAAGGCAACTGGGCAAGTTTTCAGATGATCCTGATAGGTATATAGATATCCTACAGGGTCTAGGGCAAATGTTCAACCTCACTTGGAGAGATGTCTTGATACTGGAAGAACAAACCCTGGCCTTTAATGAAAAGAATACAGCTTTAGCTGCAGCCTGAGAGTTTGGAGATACCTGGTATCTTAGTCAAGTAAATGATAGGATGACAGCTGAAGAAAGGGACAAATTCCCTACCAGTCAGCAAGCCATCCCCAGTATGGATCCCCACTGGGACCTCGACTCAGATCATGGGGACTGGAGTCACAAACATCCGTTGACCTGTGTTCTAGAAGGACTAAGGAGAATTAGAAAAAAGCCCATGAATTATTCAATGATGTCCACCATAACTCAGGGAAAGGAAGAAAATCCTTCTGCCTTCCTCGAGTGGCTACAGGAGGCCTTAAGAAAATATACTCCCCAGTCACCCAAATCACTTGAGGGTCAATTGATTCTAAAACACAAGTTTATTACCCAATCAGCCACAGATATCAGGAGAAAGCTGCAAAAGCAAGCCCTGGGCCCTGAACAAAATCTGGAGGCATTATTAAACCTGGCAATCTTGGTGTTCTATAATAGAGACCAAGAGGAATAGGCTCAAAAGGAAAAGCGAGACCAGAGAAAGACCACAGCCTTAGTTATGGCCCTCAGACAAACAAACCTTGGTGGTTCAGAGAGGACAGAAAATGGAGCAGGCCAATCACCCAGTAGGGCTTGTTATCAGTGTGGTTTACCAGGACACTTCAAAAAAGATTGTTCGATAAGAAACAAGCTGCCCCCTCATCCATGTCCACTATGCCGACGCAATCACTGGAAGGTGCACTGCCCCAGAGGACAAAGGTTCTCTGGGTCAGAAGCCCCCCACCAGATGATCCAACAACAGGATTGAGGGTGCCCAGGGCAAGCGCCAGCTCAAGTCAACACCCTCACTGAGCCCTGGGTACTTTTAACCATTGAGGGCCATGAAATTGACTTCCTTCTGGACCCTGGCATGGCCTTCTCAGTGTTAATCTCCTGTCCTGGAAGACTGTCCTCAAGGTCCGTTACCATCCGAGGAATCCTGGGACAGCCTGTAACCAGGTATTTCTCCCACCTCCTCAGTTGTAACTGGGAGACTTTGCTCTTTTCACATGCCTTTCTTGTTATGCCTGAAAGTCCCACACCCTTATTAGGGAGGGATGTATTAGCCAAGGTTGGAGCTATTATCTACATGAATATGGGGAATACGTTACCCATTTGTTGTCCCCTACTTGAGTGGGGGAATCAACCCTGAAGTCTGGGCACTGGAAGGACAATTTGGAAGGGCAAAAAATGCCCACCCAGTCCAAATCAGGCTAAAAGACCCCACCACTTTTCCTTATCAAAGGCAATACCCCTTAAGGCCTGAAGCTCATAAAGGATTACAGGATATTGTTAAACATTTAAAAGCTCAAGACTTAGTAAGGAAATGCAGCAGTCCCTGCAACATCCCAATTCCAGGAGTACAAAAACCAGTCAGTGGAGAGTAGTGCAACATCTTAGACTCATCGAGGCAGTAATTCCTCTATATCCAGTTGTACCCAAACCCTATACTTTGCTCTCTCAAATACCAGAGGAAGGAGAATGGTTCATGGTTCTGGACCTCAAGGATGCCTTCTTCTGTATTCCCCTGCACTCTGACTCCCAGTTTCTCTTTGCCTTTGAGGATCCCAAAGACCACACGTCCCAACTTATGTGGACGGTCTTGCCCCAAGGGTTTAGGGATAGCCCTTACCTGTTTGGTCAGGTACTAGCCCAAGATCTAGGCCACTTCTCAAGTCCAGGGGCTCTGGTCCTCCAGTATGTGGATGACTTACTTTTGGCTACCAGTTCAGAAGCCTCGTGTCAGCAGGCTACCCTAGATCTCTTGAACTTTCTAGCTAATCAAGGGTGCAATGTGTCTAGGTTGAAGGCCCAGCTTTGCCTACAGCAGGTCAAATATCTAGGCCTAATCTTAGCCAGAGGGACCAGGGCCCTCAGCAGGGAACGAATACAACCTATACTGGCTTATCCTCGCCCGAAGACATTAAATCAGTTGCAGGGGTTCCTTGGAATCACCGGCTTTTGCCCACTATGGATCCCCAGATACAGTGAGATAGCCAGGCCCTTCTATACTCTAATCAAGTAAACCCAGAGGGCAAATACTCATCTAGTAGAATGGGAACCAGAGGCAGAAACAGCCTTCAAAACCTTAAAGCAGGCCCTAGTACAAGCTCCAGCTTTAAGCCTTCCCATAGGACAAAACTTTTCTTTATATGTCACAGAGAGAACAGGGATAGCTCTTGGAGTCCTTACTCAGACTCGTGGGACCACCCCACAACCAGTGGTATATCTAAGTAAGGAAATGGATGTAGTAGCAAAAGGCTGGCCTCACTGTTTAAGGGTAGTTGCGGCGGTGGCCATCTTAATGTCAGAGGCTATCAAAATAATACAAGGAAAGGATCTCACTGTCTGGACTACTGGTGATGTAAATGGCATACTAGGTTCCAAAGGAAGTTTATAGATGTCAGACAACCTCCTACTTAGATATCAGGCACTACTCCATGAGGGACTGTTGCTTCAAATACATATGTGTGTGGCCCTCAACCCTGCCACTTTTCTCCCAGAGGATGGGGAACCAATCGAACATGACGGCCAACAAATTATAGTTCGGACTTATGCAACCTGAGATGATCTCTCAGAAGTCCCCTTAGCTAATCCTGACCTTAACCTATATACTGATGGAAGTTCATTTGTGGACAATAAGATACAAAGGGCAGGTTATGCCATAGTTAATGATGTAACCATACATGAAAGTAAGACTCTTCCCCCAGGGACCAGTGCCCAGTTAGCAGAACTAGTGGCACTTACCCAAGCCTTAGAACTGGGAAAGGGAAAAAGAATAAATCTGTATACAGATTGCAAGTATGCTTATCTAATCCTGCATGCCCATGCTGCAATGTGGAAAGAAAGGGAGTTCCTAACCTCTGGGGGAACCCCCATTAAATACCAGAAGGAAATCAAAGAGTTATTGCATGCAGCGCAAAAACCCAAGGAGGTAGCAGTCTTACACTGCTGAAGCCATCAAAAAGGGGAAGGAGAAGGGAGAACAGCAGCATAAGCAGCTGGCAGAGGCAGCAGAAAGGAAAAAGAGAGAGACAGGAAGTCAGAGAAGGACAAGGAGACAGAGGAGGAGACAGAGGGACAGAAAATCAAAGAAGGACAGAGAGGAAGAGACAAAGAAGAGTCGAAGAGAGAGAAAGAGAGAGATAGACATAGTAAAGAAAAAACAGTGTACTCTATTCCTTTAAAAGCCAGGGTAAAGTTCTGTCTACCCAGCCAAGGCATAATCTTCTTACGTGGAACATCGACCTATATCTGCCTCCCCACTAACTGGACAGCCACCTGCACCTTAGTTTTTCTAAGTCCCAACATTAACATTGCACCAAGAAATCAGATCTTATCAGTACCCCTTAAAGCTCAAGTCTGTCAGCGGGGAGCCATACAACTAATACCCCTACTTATAGGGTTAGGAATGGCTACTGCTACAGGAACCAGAATACCTAATTTATCTAATTCATTATCCTACTACTACACACACTCAAAGGATTTCTCAGACAGTTTGCAAGAAATAATGAAATCTAACCAGGAGCAGTGGCTCACACCTGTAATCCCAGCACTTTGGGAGGCCGAGGTGGGCAGATCATGAGGTCAGGAGATCGAGCCATCCTGGCTAACACAGTGAAACCCCATCTCTACTAAAAGTACAAAAAATTAGCCAGACATGGTGGCGGGCACCTGTAGTCCCATCTACTCGGGAGGCTGAGGCAGGAGAATGACGTGAACCCAGGAGGCGGAGCTTGCAGTGAGCCGAGATCGTGCCACTGCACTCCAGCCTGGGCGACAGACGAGACTCCGTCTCACACAAAAAAACAAACAAACAAACAAAAAAAAACAAAAAAAAAAAACAATGAAATCTATCTTTACTCTACAATCCCAAAAAGACTCTTTAGCAGCAGTGATTCTCCAAAACCACCAAGGCCTAGACCCCCTCACTGCTGAGAAAGGAGGACTCTGCACCTTCTTATGGGAAGAGTGTTGTTTTTACACTAACCAGTCAGGGATAGTATGAAATACTACCTGGCATTTAGAGGAAAAGGCTTCTGAAATCAGACAATGCCTTTCAAACTCTTATACCAACCTCTGGAGTTGGGCAACATGGCTTCTCCCCTTTCTAGGTCCCATGGCAGCCATCTTGCTCTTACTCGCCTTTGGGCCCTGTATTTTTAACCTTCTTGTCAAATTTGTTTCCTCTAGAATCAAGGCCTTCAAACTACAGATGCTCTTACAAATGGAACCCCAAATGAGTTCAACTAACAACTTCCACCGAGGACCCCTGTACCGACCTGCTGGCACTTTCACTGGCCTAGAGAGCTCCCCTCTGGAGGACACTACAACTGCAGGGCCCCTTCATCACCCCTATCCAGGAGGAAGTAGCTAGAGTGGTCATCAGCCAAATTCCCAACAGCAGTTGGGGTGTCCTGTTTGAGAGGGGGGATTGAGAGGTGACAATGTGTTAGCAGCCCTTGCTTGCTCTCAGTGCCTCCTCAGTCTCGGTTTCTGCTCTGGCCATGCTTGAGGAGCCCTTCAGCCCACCGTTGCACTGTGGCAGCCCCTCTCTGGGCTGGTGGAGGCTGGAGCCAGCTCCCTCTGCAAGCGGGGAGGTGTGGAGGGAGAGGCACAGGTGGGAACTGGGGCTGTGCACGGCGCTCATGGGCCAGCATGAGTTCCAGGTGGGCGCAGGCTCGGCGGGCCCCACACTCCAAGCAGCCAGCTGGCACTGCCGGCCCCAGGCAGTGAGGGGCTTTGCAGCCGGGCCAGCAGCTGCGGAGGATGCGCTGGGTCCCCCAGCACTGCAGACCCGCCTGCACTGTGCTCGAATCCTCACCAGGCCTCAGCTGCCTCCTCACAGGGCAGGGGTGGGGACTTGGAGAACTTTTATGTCTCAGGGTTTGTGGATGCACCAATCAGTACTCTGTATCTAGCTAATCTGATGGGGACTTGGAGAACTTTTATGTCTAGCTAGAGGATTGTAAATGCACCAATCAGCACTCTGTGTCTAGCTAAAGGTTTGTAAACACACCAATCAGGGCTCTGTGTCTAGCTAATCTAGTGGGCACTTGGAGAAATTTGCATCTAGCTAAAGGATTGTAAACATACCAATCAGCACTCTGTGTCTAGCTAAAGGATTGTAAATGCACCAATCAGCACTCTATGTCTAGCTTGGGTTTCAGGGATGCACTAATCAGTGCTCTGTGTCCAGCTAATCTAGTGGGGACTTGGAGAACTTTTGGGTCTAGCTAAAGGATTGTAAATGCACCAATCAGCACGCTGTGTCTAGCTCAAGGTCTGTAAATGCACGAATCAGCACTCTGTGTCTAGCTCAGGGATTGCAAATGCACCAATCTGCACCCTGCAAAAATGGACCAATCAGCTCTCTGTAAAAGGGACCAATCAGCAGGATGTGGGTGTGGTCAGATAAGGGAATAATAGCAGGCTGCCCAAGCCAGCAGTGTCAACCCACTCAGGTCCCCTTCCACGCTGTGGAAGCTTTGTTCTTTCGCTTTTTGCAATAAATCTTGCTGCTGCTCACTTTGTGGGTCCTCACTGCCCTTATGAGCTGTAACTCTCATTGGGAAGGTCTGCAGCTTCACTCCTGAGGCCAGCAAGACCACGAACCCACTGGGAGGAATGAACAACTCCAGACAGGAGGAATGAACATCTCCAGACGTGCTGCCTTAAGAGCTATAACACTCACTGCGAAGGTCTGCAGCTTCACTCCTGAAGCCAGCGAGACCACTAACCCACCAGAAGGAATAAACTCCAAACATGTCCGTACATCACAAGGAACAAACTCCGGACACACCATCTTTAAGAACTGTAACACTCACTGCGTGGGTCCATGGCTTCATTCTTGAAGTCAGTGAGACCAAGAACCCACCAATTCTGGACACAAAACCACAGATTTATCATAGTCAATTCCATAACTTTATTATGTTTAAGTGACGAGTAAATAAATAACATGTTGTCCTTTACATGCAGAGACAAATCATCAGTATAGTCCATAATTTGAATGATTTCCCTATTTTACTTTTGAATTTGTGCTAATATATGTTCTTTTTATGTCATTTATTGTGTCACTGAGAGGGATTAAAGGTGTCTTTTGTGATCAGGTACCTATATGAGAATAGAAAGATTTAAAAATTAAACCTGTATGTTTCTGAGGGACGTAGCTGATTTTCTGAGGCAATCCACTGAGTGGTTACAATGGGCTCTTAAATAATTGCATTTTCTTGAATCGGTATGCTGTGACTAAGGTACCTGTGAGAAGAGAGGATTGATTTCCCTCTTATACTTCCCATCCAAGTTCAAACCCTACCTTAAGAAGAAACAATTAGATTGCCTCTAAATGCAGTGTTACTGATGAGCTTGTTCCATGGTCAATGGTGGAAATCAATTTTCATTTAAGAACCTACAGTACTTAGCCTTTTTCCTTTTCTGTAGTCTTTATTGATTCTTCTTTCCATAGAAAGACACTATCCATTCTACTGTAGCCAGGCACTGTTTCCAAGATTCCATAATAATGGAGTAAAAGTTCTCAGAGGGCTTTCCTAGACTGGCAACATGCCCATTTTTTAATTTGCAGATGAAGGCTATTCTATCTATCATTGAGCATGGGAGAAGACATTTAAAAGAGACAGAAACATTATTATGAAAAGCCTCAAAATAAACTCTTCTCTGGCCTGTCCAGAGATTTCAGGGGTAAGAAAAAATTAAAAGAATACTCGGATGGATTATAAATTACTCTTTTAATTAAGTATGGCCACCAATTTCTTCAGGTCAAAGAGCAGCTTGAAATGATTCCCTCTGTCCCTCCCAAGCTCAGAGCTAAGGGTTTTTTTTTTTTTTTTTTTTTGGTTATTAAATAATTTGTTTATTGTATGGCATTTACAAAGAAAACAGACAATGCACTCAGTAGAAAGAATAACAATGTATTTAGGGCTTTATTTTTAACTGACAGCAAATAGAAATCCTTTAGTGAGATCATGGCAATTTGACAGTATTATAATTAAGCTCAAAT
Organism: Homo sapiens; assembly: GCF_000001405.40. Lineage (NCBI taxonomy): Eukaryota > Metazoa > Chordata > Mammalia > Primates > Hominidae > Homo > Homo sapiens. Next base: position 58,467,531 of record NC_000004.12, read on the forward strand.
AAAGGTACATGGGGTACTTGGAAATCAAGATCTACAGCTGCCTATTTCCACATCTTTCAATCCATCTGGCTCCTTAAACAGGGGAAAAAGCCCTTATTTGGTGGAGAAGCATTTCCAAAATGAAGTTACAGTTTCTCTCTATTAAAATTTACTGTCACATCAACTGTTAAAATAGGGCCTTTTGTGTGTTTTGTTATTTCACCTTAATATCACCAGAATTCCTGTAATTCCACAATTGTGATTTTTTTGTGTAGGGGGTTTTCAATGCATATTTTTTCACCAAAGAGAGAACACTATTCAGCAGTAATTTTTATGTTAGAATTGTACACCATGTGGCTTCTAGATTTGTAAGACAGAAGAGTCTGCCTTATGAGGAATGACTCCTGGTTTCACAGCAAAGTTGTTTTCTGCGAGGTGCCTTCTCAGATTAGGCCATCCTCCCTTCTTTGTTTACAATGAAGATTACCTATGAATATCATGAGAGGTAAAAACAGTCTATTTCACATTTAGTTTTCATAGATTCATTTGCTCTGAGGTGAGTTTTCTCATAAACATTTAGTGAACTGCCCTTCATTTAGCATTGCAGTTCTGTATATTTTGTAATGGGGGATAGTCTCTATGATACCTCTAGTTTTCACTTAAATGCATGACTCAGTAGGGGAAAAAACAATAGAACCTAAGCCTTATAATAAAATATAGTTATTCCTGATATTTTTAAAGTACAAATAACAGTAGGTAATGCATATGCAGTCTAATATAATCAAAACAGAAAAAATGCTGCTTTGAGGAGCTAAATGAAAGAATTAGAAATGTAACAAGTTTTTTATGGCAATACTTTGATATTATACTCTGCTAATGAAATTGTGTCTTAGTTTAAGTTTTTTCATTTTTTACAAAGTGAAACTCAAGTAAATTATATAGCCATATGTAATTTTCATGCCCTTTTTATGAGATATTTCTATTATATATTCCTTCTCAGTTGAAAGAGAACTTTTATTATCTGAATTACATTTTGAAGTGTTCTTTATTATAAAATTTAAAAATATCTAGGCAAAAAAATAAGAAAATTACAATTTTGTTTACATTAGGCTTATAAATACATGTTAATTTATCTAACTTTTTAAAACAACAACAACAAAAACCTTTTTTAATTCTAGTAGCTAAGAGCTTCCAAAATGAGTTTTAGCTGCATTTATCAATTGGAAATTTATCTTTCCTTTTCATTTAAAAATGTTATACTATATGTGATTGACTGCTTCATAACTGTAGATATTTTGTATGGCCTTTATTTCATTTTGTTTTTCAGATGTCTTTGCATCTGTGGAATTGTTCTAGCCAGGATAGCCTTTACTTTGAGATTCAGGTGGAATTAAGCATTGCATTCTCTAGTCATTGGAGTGAGAGAATCAGAACTCTCCTGGCTTATCTAAAAAGAAGAAGGTCTTCTGAATACACAAATTTGGATTTTCTTGGCACAACAGCCAGACATTCAAGACTTTAATTTAATTTTTTTTTTAACAACATTCTCCCATTAGTAAGTTTTTAGTTGTGTTGTGATTGCCAAACTTTTACACCTGGGAATCTGGCATTGTATATCCATGATACTAAGAAAATTTCATTTCTCCCTAGGATGCTAATTAGACTTCTCTAATCCAGCTGTTAAAGCCAGGCAAAACAGGAGAAAGGGCTAAATTAATAAAGAAGATCTCAGATGATCACCACCTAGATATCTACATTTTCTGCAGTAAAAAAAGCACGTGAATCAATTTTTAAAATATTTCATGCAAAAGTTTGGGGTGTAAGGCATACACATGTATTATCAATAGAGGAAAATGATGAACACATCTCAATCATTTTGGGAGATTTATTTGCCAAAGTTAAGGACATGCTCAGAAGACAGGTCTATGCCTTTCTCCAAAGATGATTTTGAGGGCTCCAAATTTAAAGAGGAAATGGCGGGGTATTGAGAAGCACACAGTTTTCACATAAACAAAAGGGGCAGAGGAAAAATGTGGAATCTGCATTTTACCTAAGATAATGCAGACAAAAGAGGATAGGGAAACAATCAGATATATAGTTGTGTCTGGCAGGCGTGGCTGAACATGTAAAGATAAGCTATCAATCTGCATTGCCATGGTGAAGTTTTAACAACGCACCAGGAATTTCCTTGTGGGCAAAATATGGGGGAGGCATGTAGCTTTTCATTTTGTACCCATATTATTTAGGAACCAAAAGAAGGAGGCAGGTTTGTGTGACCCATTTCCTTTTCCAGCTTGACTTTTCTCTTTGGCTAAATGAGTTTGGGGTCCCAAAATTTAGTTTCCTTTCACTATATATTTAAGTATCACTTAATGATAACAATAAAGGTTAGAAAACGCCCACTTTTCTAACTTATCTACAAAGATGTTTTATAATTATATAATAGTAAATTTGATTTTTCTTGTATATGTTAGAATTATTCATTCAAACAGGAAATTATCAGTTAAATGAAGATCAGACTGAACATTTTAGAGAGGACAAAATGGAAGGAAATAGTTGTGCTGAATACTTTTCCATTAACAATGGGATAGTTAGTTCCTAGTAGTCTGAGTCACCTGGATTCACTAGGATTCACTAGTGTGTTTTATGTATATTCTAATATTCTTGGTGCAGTTTTTTTTTTTGGTCTTTATTTATAAAATCAGGATTTTTTAAAATTATAGAACATATTATGTGCATGACATGCTACTTGAAACCTATAGAGAAAGCAGCTGGACTACATTGGTACATTTTCATACAAATCCAGAAAGCCAACCATTTAAAGAAGAGTAGGTTTCTAATTAAAAGAAGTATATTTTCTTATGATGGATAGGGTTAGCAGATAAAATACAGGACACTGAGTTAAATTTGCATTTGAGGTAAACAATGAATATTTTTATTATTATATCTCAAACATTGTATGGGATATAATTACACTAAAAATTATTTGTTGCTTATCTGTCTGATTAAATTTAGTCTAAATATGTCCTCTGCAACACTTAGGACATACTTATAATAAACTTTTTTTCATTTCTTTCTAAAATATGAATTTAACTTGGTATACTTTATTTTCATTTGCTAAATGTAATGACCGTGGGTCATTTGAGTTATAAAAAATTATGTAGATACATTTAAACATCTATAGCTTTACCATATATAAATGATTATGTCTAATATTTTGACATACTTCCTAATACACTTTTTGAATATTTGATAGAGTTAAGCTCAAAATGCTAATTTTTATTTTTAAATAAAAATAATTAAATACTATCAATACTAGACTACAATTTACATTATTTTGAAGACAGGTAATGTTACTCTTGGTAAATTTATTAGTCTTTCCAATATAGTAAAAAAAATAGTCATTTCATACCTTTTAAAGTATTGAGAAAACATAAATTAAATTGCTTTTTCAATGAAGGATGTCATCACAATGCAATGTATTTATGCTAAGGGACATAAAGAACTATTTTGCTTAGTGATTCTTCTAGCATGAGTTACTGTAAAAATAATTGGCTATTTTATAAATTAGAAAGGGAGAGTATTATTCTTCTAAGTATTTATGAGACAGGTAAATATTTAATTAAGCAATAGGGTAAAATTTTTGGTGCACAGAAAATGTTTCCTAGAAATGAGAAAAAAATGACTACATGACAAGAAAAGTTAAAGGAAGCAGTGGGGAATAAAACTTCATCTTTGTGTGAAAGAATATACCTAAGGACCAACTCCTGAGTTTTTGTACTTAATTAAGGAAAGACTTGAAAATTCTTTTACAAATGATTTTTTATTTATGCATCTCAATTTGGTTTCAATTCAGGTAAATTAGGATAAATCTGGAAGGGTTTTTTGTAGATAAATATATGGCTAGTTTGTTTTCTGAAGTTTTGCATATTTAAAGGAAAACACTAGCTTTCATATATGAAAAATGATTTGACATGTCATTTTTTAATAATGATTTATTATTTTTAAATTCTGAAAATACAAACTCACCCATTGTCTTCTAACACAACACTGGAGGAAAAGAACACATTTCCGTCTCTGTTTTCCAGTTTTGTTATTCCCGCTCTTAGTTTAACTTCTATTTTCTATACGCACATCAATATGCCTTTTTATTTTTCCTTTTATTCAAATGCTTCCAACTTATTGTCCAGGTATTCAGTGATCCATCTACTTAACATTCACCCGTCTGCCTTCAGACAATAAAATAAAAGTTTTCTTATTTTATTAATTGGTGTTTGTGATCTTTTAGTCCTGTTTATTAAAAATAGGATATCAGAACTGAATATAAAATCAAAATTCTCCTTCCTTCATATTTATTATATTGTTTTGTCTATCAGTTTCCTTTTCTCCTTTTTTTAAAAATAACTCTGCTGAGACATTATACGTATCATATAGTTCACCCGTTTCGAGTGTACAATTCAATAATATTTACATCATTTAAGAAGTTGCATAATCATTACCATAAATTAGATTTAGAATATTTGCATACACCCATTAAGATACTTCTCACACATTTACTGTTAAGTCCCACTCCTGGCCCCAGGAACCCATTAGTTTATTTTCTGTTTCTGTAGATTTACCGAACATGCCATGTAAATAGAGTCATAGGATATGTATTCTTTTACGACTAGGTGCTTCATTTTCTTCTTTACTCTCTTGAGTGTTTCTGGATTGTCTTCTGTATCGCTGCTTCAATTTTTTACAGCTTCAAATTGTGCTCAACCACTTCCAATATAGATTTTGATTCTGATATTACACTTCACTTTCTTGAAAATATTTTTGAAAAGCCCTCACACACACACCCCCCCACACACCTACTCCCCCATACATATGTACATCATAATCTCATTCTTTTATTTTTTCATTTCCAGATGAAACACTGTATTCTAGATATTAGGAGGCTGGGATTATATTCCCATGAAAAATAGCATTTATGAAATAAAGAGAAACTTCCTAGTAGTTTTTTTGGTGGGAGAGTCTTGAGAATGTAGCATTTACAGACATTACAAATTGTCTTTAATTTTTTGAGGGGGAATTCAGATGTATCTTGAGAAATTCTAAAATAATTTTTCCATATGGTAATCATGCACCTTGTCAATTATTATGACTGGAACCAAGTACTTTAAATAGTAAATAAAGGACTAGGTCAAATGTGTATCATCTAAGAAAGGAACATCACTCATGGTAGTTAAGATGTTGAGAAGAAAGTAGCACTTTGCCTGGGTCAATTGCCACTAACTCAAAGTGAATAAGTGGTTGGATGGGTGGGTGAGGTTTCGAAAGATTTAATTATGCTCTGAAGTTTTATGTGTAACTTTCTTTTTTTCTGAAGATGATTTTAATAACCTTCTTAAATGGAATAAACCTCAGTACCCCAAATTTTAAGAAATCCCATTAAGTCTTAAATTAATATCTTAAATAATGGCACAGTGTCATTTGGGGCATATAAATGTTCGTATCTGATTGCTTTTTACTCTCCTATTATGTTGTCCAGTGACTAGTGAACAAAAGCAACATTTCCAGTTAGTGGAAGAAGCATCAGAATTTAAAAGAAAAAATATTGTTATAGAATACAAAGCAATTAGATTGACAAATATCCTCCCTTTAAATTATCAGGTGGCTTAAGTGTATGTTGATATAATTACAATGTATTAGAAAAATCATTCATTCATTGTCTTTTATAATCAGCTTCTTGAATGAGGACAGAAGCTGAATGCTGTATAAAATAATTATTAGTGCTTATAGAATAAACAAATGTTAACAATGGCTTTGATTCCTAGAGTAAAGATACAGTGTTCGCTGATCAAAATATTGATAATTAGCTCTGATTTTACTGTTGTTGAAAAATGTTATTTAATGGATTTCGAAATGCTTAATTGTTTGCTGCCCTCAGTAAAACATTTATATAAATGAATAATCAACATATTTTTATTTGCCCATTGAGGGAAAGAAAATTAAAGAAGTCTCTTAATAACTTTCTTAGTAAAAATTTTAAGATAAATGTGTTTTTTTATAAAACTCTTACTCCTATGTTCTTACATGAATTGAAATATCAATTTTAAAAAATTAAAATGTAATTTTCTTTAAGGAATATACAACATTAAAACATACATTTAGGGCCAGGCACAATGGCTCACTCCTGTAATCTCAGCACTTTGGGAGGCCAAGGCAGGCAGATCACTTGAGGGCAGAGGTTCAAGACCAGCCTGGCCAACATGACGAAACCCTGTCTCTACTAAAAATACAAAAAAGAAAAAAAAAATTAGCCAAGCATGGTGGTGCACACCTGCAATCCCAGCTACTCAGGAACCTGAGGTGGGAGAATTGCTTGAACTCGGGAGGCAGAGTTTGCAGTGAGATGACAACATGCCACTGAACTCCAGCCTGGGTGACAGAGAGAGACTCTGTCTCAAATAAAAAAAAAAATAGATAAAAAATAAAAAACCTGTACACTTAATTTCTTTTGGATGATCTAGGAATCTATAAATATTTTCATCAGAAACATAAACAGTTACTAAAATTAAATAAAACTAAGTTACATGATGTAGCAGTTATAAAATATGGTTGTATCAAATTATTATCTATTGAATGAATTTATGGTGAAAACACACAGTAGTATAGAACAATCCTAACTTCAGTAATTTGAATTCTGACACAGTTGGGAACTATTGGAATTGTGGCTCTGTCATAGAGTTTATCTTATCTAATGAATGGGAGACATTAATATAGATGTAAGAAGCATGCATATTCAGCACCATGAAGCAAAAATCAATCAATCAATTAATTCAAAACAAGAAAACAAAAATCCCACACTATAAAAATACATAAAAGCAACATTTAGATTTCCAAGTGCTAACCCTTGTTCTTGTCTGTGTTCTATGACATGCTGAGGACTTGCGAAGATAACATGGAAGCCATCAACATCCAATTTTTTTTTTTTTGCAATGTGACTAATGTAAACAAATTTTGTCCTGATGTTATAAAAGCTGTGTCCAACAAAGAATGCTGAAAAGCAAAGAGAGCTTAAAGTGCTAGATTTGTTTTGCTTTATTTACTTCTTAGAGCATTTCAGGTTTAGATAACTTGTGTCTATAAAGACATTGTTAAGATGTGTTGCTCTTACTTCCTTGGATCACAATGCTGGGGAATATTAGTACTTTATTATAGGAAAACAAATATTCTCTGCCTTTACCTCATATTTCCACCAAGAAAGAGAAAATTTCTGCTTAAATTTCTATCATCTTCCCTACTGGGAAGTGGGGGCTGAGGGATGAGGGGAGAAATGCAGACTCTTCACTCTTTTACCATCTCCTTTCAATGGGCATTGCTGCTATTTCAACCAATCAGGCACTGAGAATTTGACTTTCCCTAAAAGGCACTGAAGATATTCCGTGCTCGTGGAGTAAGATTTTTCTTTTTTTCCTTTTTCTTTAAGTCAATCTAGTGAAAACATAATTATCAGTGTCTGCTCCTGGCAGTTCCAGGGTTAAGATTTTACTCTTCCGGCAATGGAGAGTTGCTGCATGGAGCAGGTGTTGCTTCTGATATCCCACTAGTATCCCTGAACATGAGTCCCAAGATTTAGCTTTATAGAATATTCCAATTTGTCTTTTAGTAAAGTATCTTTAAGAACTCATCTTTTGTTAAAGTTTTACCTTGCAATATGATGCATCTTTCTTACTATTAATGAAGTACCATTTCCACTCATTTGGCTATTGCGTAATTGAAGGGGATAAGATCACACAATCAGCATTTTTGTAGAATGGATTATTATTTGTATAATGAATTATGTTTCAATTTATCAGCTTTCCATGCACCCACACCAGCACATAATCAGGACTGTAGTGTGTAACAATTTGCATTTTTAAATAGATCCACTGATCGATTTAACAACTACTTGAGAGCCCATGTAGTAGTTTTTGTTTGTTTGTTTGTTTGTTTATTTGTTTGTTTTGAGACGGAGTCACCATCTGTCACCCAGGCTGGAGTGCAGTGGCACCATCTTGGCTCACTGCAACCTTCGCCTCCCTAGTTCAAGCGATTCTCCTACCTCAGCCTCCCGAGCAGCTGGGATTACAGGCTCCCACCACCACGCCAAGCTAATTTTTGTATTTTTAGTAGAGACAGGGTTTCACCATGTTGGCCAGGCTGGTCTTGAATTCCTGACCTCAGATGATCCACCCGCCAGTAGTCTTCTTTAAAAATACAAAAATTAGGCCGGGCGCGGTGGTTCATGCCTGTAATCCCAGCACTGTGGGAGGCCGAGGTGGGTGGATCATGAGGTCAGGAGATGGAGACCATCCTGGCTAACACGGTGAAACCCCGTCTCTACTAAAAATACAAAAAATTAGCCGGGCGTGGTGGCGGGCGCCTGTAGTCCCAGCTACTCAGGTGGCTGAGGCAGGAGAATGGTGTGAGCCCGGGAGGCGGAGCTTACAGTGAGCTGAGATCCTGCCACTGAACTCCAGCCTGGGTGACAGAGAGAGATTCCGTTTCAAAAAAAAAAAAAAGAAAAAAAATATAAAAATACAAAAATTAGGCCGGGCATGGTGGCTTATGCCTGTAATCACAGCACTTTGGGAGGCCTGGGGGGGGATCACCTGAGGTCAGGAGTTCGAGACCAGCCTGGCCAACGTGGTGAAACCCCGTCTTTACTAAAAATACAAAAATTAGCCAGGCATGGTGGTGGGCGCCTGTAATCACAGCGACTCAGGAGACTGAGGCAAGAGAATCACTTGAACCCGGGAGGCGGAGGTTGCAGTGAGCCGAGATCGTGCCATTGCACTCCAACCTGGGCGATAGAGCAAGACTCAGTCTCAAAAAAAAAAAAGATTTTTTTTTTCCACCAAGTTATCATGTTGCATTCTTCCTCATTCTGTCTATACAGGAAATATTTTATCCAATACTATGGTTTCCTTACTGGTTGTTACCTGCAACATCTCAAAACCACCAATCAATGTTAGACTAACTTGGAATTGATTAAGAAGAAAGCAACATTAGGTAGTGAGAGGATATTAGCAGCCATAAACAAACTAAGTAAAATTCCCAAGGAAATCTAAGAGGTCTGAGTTAGCAAGCAGTAAGACTCCTTGAATAAGAGAAGAAAGTGGAAGGAAGAAGGAGAAAACAAGACAAGATGTTAATGAAGGTCATCTTATAGGCTACATCAGGAGAACCAGATATCAGAAGCCAATGCTAACTTTTTCAACACTAATAGGTCATCCTAAAAAGGTTTTGTGTGTTATCTTTATTAATTTTATGCATAAATTGAAGTTTATAAGAATAAGCTAATCTAATTGTCTTTTTAAAACTATTTCTTTAAATTAAAAAAAAATTAATAATTTTAAAACTAAAAAAATCTCATTAGGAGGTAAAAGAACAGAATATATAAAATAAAGATTATGTGTTTTTTAAATAGGGGCCTTACATATTATTTTATTTATATATATATGTATATATATCTTAAAAAATTAGGAGATAAACCAGATTATTTTAGCTAGATGGATTTTTCATTCAGTAGCTAATTTATTATATAACACATGTTGTGACACTTTAAATTAAATATGAAAAACTTATTTTATATAAATAGAAAAAAATTGTTTTTGAAACTGAAAGAAAGGCTTTGTCTGAGTCTAATTTTGGAATTCGAAAATAGGTTTGTTAAAATTTGTTATTCTGAATATTTTATACATTGTCTTGTCCTGTTCTTTATTAAAATTTATTCTTCATATCAAGTTGCATGTCTAATACATATGTCATACTTTTAAAATAAAAGGAATCTGTTGTAAGTTAACAGTTAAAATTGGTTGGGCCTGTTTAAAAGACTAGTTAGCAATGAAAACCCTGAATCACTTCTAATATTTTATTTTACTTTTTCACATCTTCCATATATGTGAGAAAGATTCATTTTATGTTTGAACTTTAGTCTATCTGAATAAAACTGTATTTCACTTATCCACCTGCACCTTTATGATTGCTTGCTAAAAGATAACCTTTCATTCAAGCATGTGACTTTTCTTCTATTATATGCCATGAATAATGAAATTCATGCGTTCAAAGTAGGACAGTTTCTAAATGTTATTCTAGAAGGTGGAACCTCAGTGACAGTCTTCCCTCCAGACCTTTCTTTCATTTCCATCAGTGCTTGCTTAAGTAAAGCTCTGAATGGGAGGGCATTGAAGAGGGAACGCGATTCAGACAGGCAGACTGTAAGGTGGCTCCCATGATCCCCATGTGCTCATGTTCACACATTCATATGAGCATGACCTGTGGCTGACTTCAAAACTATAAAATTCCACAAGGGTGACAGAATTTTATTCCTATTGTTATATTATGTTATATAAGACTTTTGCTAACAGACTCAGTCTGGAGACTCTCTCACCCCACTTTCTGTCTTTTAAGAAGCAAGCTGGCAAGAATCTTTCAGACAGAAAGAACTGATTGAAGCCATCAACCATGTGAGCAGGGAAGTGGATGCTTCCCAAGTGGAGCCTCTAGATGAAATCCCAGCCCTGGCTGATGCTTTACAACTTTGTGAAACACTGGGCAGAAGAACCAGATAATCTGTGCCTGGACTAAAGGTCCTCAGAAAGTATAAGATAATACATGTGTGTTGTTTTCAGTGGCCAAGTTTGTGGTGAACATTGTACACAAGAGAGAATACTGCTAATATATAGGACTTGGTCTCTCAAAAAAGTTTCTGTTTTATTTGTTGGCATCATCGTGATAATCATCCAAACAGATATATTTGAGTACCTTAAGAGGCTTTGGAAATTGAGAGAAAAAATAAAGTTCAGTTAATAGGATATTACTAACTCACAGTTCTAGTGGAATGAGTCCTAGGATATTAATTATACTGTGGAAGAAATAAGTTGTTCCATATGTTTTATAAGGAGAGATGATTTTATCATTTCCAAATTTTCTTCTACATTTTTCCTTGGTCCTTCCATTGGCCCTCACACAACTTCAAGTTGAGTATAGTAATTAACTGATAATGAAACGATCATTCATTTTAGTGACAACAAATTATTTTGTCAACTTGGTCTATAAATGTGTGGTTTACTAATTTTCTAATTTATTTTTATATTAGAATAAATTTTATATGTTTTATGAGACAGTATCTTATGGTAAAACAAAGTAGCCTATAGAATTTATATACTTAAAGCTAAGACATTAGCAAATATTTCATTCTGAAAATTTATAATATAAGGACTTATAAATTTCCTATTGCAACAAAAATCAATAATAAGTTGTTTTATATTAGTCCAGGTCCCTCCATTTCTTTTCTGAAAATAGCACAGTCTTTGTATATTAGTGTTTTTCTCCTGTGCTTGCAGTGAAAAAAATCGCTTTAATTAATTAAAACATGGAAATTGTAATCATATACCAGCGATTATTTTATTAATTCTGTTAGGAAGTCACTGGTGTTTGCTTGTGTTTTGAGAAGGGCAATATTTTTGTTCTTGTATAGAATTAGTCATTAACATTGCTTTGTAGTACATTAAATTGATTCTCTGTAATACTAGTATCTGCTCAACTATAAAAAATAGACTTGTAATTTGAAAAGCATGATTTAAACTGAACTTCAAGGCTTTGAAAAAAGTGCTTTAATAACATTTTGTTTCTTGTTTCCAGTCTGAGGACAGAAGCTGAATGCCATATGACATAGCCATTGATGCCTGTAGAATAAGCAAATGCAAACAATGACCTTGATTCCAAGAATAAGTATGCAAGGTTCACTATGCAGAGATACTGGGTAATTATCTCTGATTTTACTGTTATTGAAAACATTAATTATTTAATGAGTTTGAAGTGCTTAAGTGTTTGCTTCTGACTTAAAAAAATGTACTCTTCAGTAATCAACAGTCAAGCTTAGTTGAATGCAAGAAAAAGAAAATGATTTATCAAAACTACATTGACAAATATAGTTGTGCCTTTTGAAAAGACAGAAGTGGAGAAAAAAAATCACTCAAGTCCCAGATTATATGATATTTGGGGTAAAAAAATCAATAGGACAGGTAAGGATGATGAGCTCTTTCAAAAAGATTTGTCTTTGGCGACTAAGTAGCATGTTACTCCCATTTTTAAAATAAAATATAAAATGTAAGCCAATATTTTCCTACCTTAGAAAACAAATATGAAGGTATTCTATATCAAGCTAGATAACTCTTGCATAAACTCTCTGTTCTATATGAAGCACATTTAAAGAAGCTGCCTAATCTGAATAGTAGAGAGCCCCGAAGACAGAGTGCATAAAACGAGGTAGCATACTTCTTTACAAATAAACTTCATTTATAAGATAAACAAAATGGTGGCAAATGGAAAACCATCTTCTAATATGTTCTTTCTTTACTTAAAATTGTTTAAAATCAGGGGGACATCTGGGTCTGAGTCTTACAAACTACTGCAGTGTATTACAAAATAAACCTACAACATAAAAACAGGTTACTGATAAGTATTTTACATTCCAAAAAATGAAAAATGTTTATTTTTCAAACAAAGGAATAAAAAGAAATCACTCTTGTTTTAGCTTACAAGAGATAATGTTGCTAAATGTCACTTAGAAGAATATTGTGAAATACAATAAATCACCCACCCCTCACCGCCCATCCACCACACACAAAGGAAAGATATATCATAGACTAGAAAGACCAAGAATAAAATAAAATATCTGTAAAGTTAAAAAAAGTCAGTTGAAGTAGGTTCAAATGTTAGAGTTATAGAATACAATTTTTAAAAGGGTTCTATATAAGGAGATCCTTCAAATTTCAACCTCACTTGCAATGGCAAGAGAGAATCTCTATAACATAACTACGATTCTTTGCAAAATATTCATTTTTAAGAAACACGAAAAAGACTTGTTCTTTAAATAAAAACCAAAAAGCAAGGAAGACTGAAAAAAATTCAACCACACAAATATAAAATAGATGAAATGAAATAATGTACTGAAAGCCCCAAATAACCTTTCTTCCTTTTTAAATGATTTATCAATAATGTGTAATAAAAGTCAAATATTTTACAGTACCTTGGTCTATGTTTATATGCCCTTATCTAGGAGTTGATTTTGGAAACTCCATTTATCTACAATTATCAGGAAGATAATGTTGGCTGCAAATATTATTTCATTCATAATATTTTTATGTCAATATAAATTATTTAAATTGAATTTCCAAAGTAAAGATGTTTTCAAGGAACAAAAATTATAAATTATTATATTACCCCTTCAGTATACTGTGTGTCCCCTGAAAACTTCTAAGACAATGAATCTTTCTTTTTTATAATCTCAGCAAAATGTTTATTTATCAGGTTCAGTTTTATCCTATTTCTGATCAAATAAGCTCCAAATCCATTAAAAAAGGAACATCATTATAATGAACGGTACATTACACTGAAAGCATTTTAGAATCCTAGGTAATGGCCAAAGATAGAATAACACTATCTTTAAAAAATCTATTTAGAATGAAAATCGTTGTCACAAGTTATTCAGTACAGTAAATGGTTTCCTTTCCCAGCCTTCTTCATATCTTGCTAAAGTTAAAAATAAAAAGACAGCCAAACTTTGACTGAGTGTCTAGCACAAATACAAGGAGGACACAACCCCAACTAGTTGTCACTAGAATGAGATGTGACCTGTAAGTGTTCTAAATTTTCTCTTCTCACAGGGAGCCCGTATTCTATAGACTGAGAAGACAGAATATTTGCTTCATGTTCCAATCCTATACATTCTAAACGAGATCTGAACCACCTTCCAAAAGCAAGTCATTTTTGTCCCAGTTACAATTCTACCTGCTATTCAGGGCTGGCACCTGGGTAAGGTGGGCAAGGCTGTGTGATACAATGTAACCTACAGACTATCACTTACTGATATATATATATAGTTGGAGAGAAGGTTCTTCATGGGACACCTTTCAAACCAGTCCTTGTTTCTTCTATGCCCAGGTCAACTTGTGCTTTTAACTTTGCCGAATTTCAAAAGTCTCATCAGGCCTGATGCTCTCTCAGCCCTCTGTGTACTTTCACAACTGCTCTTCTGACAGTGTCTGCTAATGGTAATGCCCCAGCAATGCTGCATGCCTCTCCTCTCTGTCCCTCTATCTCTCTGTCTCTTTGCTTCTCTCTCAGAACTTTCTGCCCATCAGACTTATATAAAAATTACTGTTAAGAAAATTATACCATTTAATCCACAAAAGTATAGTTGTATTTAAGCACTGCACTAATGAACTATTATAAATAAGACATGCATAACAGGCTTTTGCCATCCAGCAGCAGTGATGATTTTCTTCTAATCCACACATACTGCAATCAATTAACTTTAGATGAAAAACAATAAACCAGATTCAAATGACCCTCAAATACTAGACTTTTAGCCTAAGGCCATAAAATATATGAAATGTTTAATCTCTTGTTTTTCCTACACACTGTACTCTCATCAAATAAATTCCTCTTCCATGCTATATTAACCTACTATAGGAAACCAAAGAAATTTCACCAAAAATAGACTTATTTGACATATTTCAAGACTGCTATTGAGAGGGCTTACAGGCAGGAATTGCACAGAAAAGCTGCCTTTTGTGGAGGAGACTTTCATCTGCGGGGAAAAAAAAAAGTACATTAGTGAAATAAGCAACCAGGTGTTCCTTGAGCCCCGGCTCCCCCTTTTCAAGATCTAGGAAAGATTAACTCCACCACAAACTACCACCAGTTCTTTCTGAGGGCAGCTCCAAGATTATCTGATATATTTTCATCTGTATAACAAGGGAGTGTTTGCTTGACATGCTTTCTTCCCTTCACTCTCTGATAACCTGTGATGCTACCTCCCACCGAGCCCAGAGACACTTGGTCCCAGGCCATGGTTCTGTGTGCTCACTCATTTTATCTGAAAATTGCTTATTGCCCCTCAAAAGAATTGTCTATATTCCCCATCTTTGCCCTACACTATGAAGAAGGGTAAAGAAGCCAATGTACAGCATTGGATTATTGGGTAATCATTCTCCTGTGATTGCCCCGTGCTGTGCATATTAAAACAAATTTGGTATGCCTTTCTCCTATTAATCTGCCTTTGTCAGCTGATTTTGTGGAAACTTCAGAGGGTGAAGGGAAAGTTTTCCCTCAGCCCCTACACTACTTATTCAGGAAATTGGAAGCTCAAATTAAAAATAAATTACCAATATAAACATGCTGGTTACATGAATATGATTTCTAATAAATACTTAGTTACCTAATTCTTAATTTATGAGCTGGATAATTCTAATCTTGAAAATTAATTCAGTTTCTTTTCTCTTGGGCAACACTTTTATAAACAAATGGTCACACATGTTTATATGAATAAATTCAATTAAAATATTGAATTCTTACCATTTAAAGTATTTTGCATTCTAAAAATCAATGAAAAGCCTTGCTTTTTCCTGAAATTTCTAAATTTTCTATATATTCATAGAAGTATAAGAAAAACATACCTTTGATATGATCTTGTGCAATCAATAATGAATTATTGTTTCTAATGAGAAATTTATTTTCTACCTTTGATTTGAATTGTAGAGAACAATAAATAGTTACACCTAACAAGATCTGCAGCTCTTCACTGCTGTGTAGTACTAATTAAAGCTGACACATTGTAGCATTGACCTGAAAATCTAATATTTGTGAATCACGAACAATGATTATTGCAAGGAAAATGCCTTTCTTGTATTCACTAGCATTCATCATCGTATCTACTCAACTCTTTCTTGACTGTCACCTTCACTTGCTTAATACATACACTGGGTTTGCCTTAATCTACACCTGCTTGGTATAATATGTATCTTCTTGAAAGAAAATCAAATATTATAAAATTTAAAATAAAATTTATCATAGATTTCTAATGGTATGTATGAAAAAGCACAGAATCAATGAAAACATTTATTGATAAACACAAATTATATGGATGCTTATTTGAATTTGAATTGGGTGGAAAGGCAACAGCAGTAGGGATTATTAATAATGATATAAAGAGACCATCCATGTTTGCACTCTTTCCCTGCATGACTAAGAAACCAACAAATTTTGTTTGCAATGTGGCTGCAAATAAGGAATATATTTTTAGTCGTAATTCATGTATTTATTTTTATTTTTCAACTTATAAAAAGAGCTGTCACTCTTTTATTGTTCTTTGTCCAATTTTAGCCTCCATCTAATTTCCACAAGCCCACTAAACACAATCAATAAAAAAAAATTGAATGTAATACAAACAAGATTACATTCAAGTTTTCAGAAATCATGCAAATAAAGTTGAGAGAAAACCCCCATTCTCCTAAAATTTTATACCTTGCAAAATTACCTTTCAAATTTTGAAGGTAATTTTGAAGCCCACTAAACACAATCAGTAATAAAATGTTGAATGTAATACAAACAAGATGAGATTCAACTGCTCAGAAGTCATGCAAACAAAGTTGAGAGAAAACCCCCATTCTCCTAAAATTCAATTTTTACTCAAATTTTGACGAGTAATTTTGTAAGGTATAAAATTTTAGGAGAATGGGGGTTTTCTCTCAACTGTGCATGATTTCTGAGAAGTTGAATGTTATCTTGTTTGTATTACATTCAACATTCAATTTTTTTTCCTTTTTTCCTTGTAGCATTGAATTAATTTTATTTCAGATGTTCTTTTTTGTCTTTTTAATGTATTTTATTTTTATAGCACTTTTAGGTCTACAGCAAAATTGAATGAAAAGTACAGAGGTTTCCCATATACTCCCTTGTCCCCCCACATTCACAACTTTCCCCATTATCAACATCCCCCACAGAGTGGTACATAAACACCATCACCTAGAGTCAAGTATCCTTCACATTCGAGTTCACTTTTGGCATTGTACATTCTATGGATTTGGACAAATGTATGACATGTATCCACCATTATGATATTATGCAGTATAGTTCAATTGCTCTAAAAACCCTCTGTGTACATCCCATTTATCTCTCCCTCCCCCATTAAACCCTAGCAAACACTGATCTTTTTCCTGTATCCACGATTTTGTCTTATCTAGAATGTTAAATAGTTGTAATCTGCAATAGGTAGGCTTTCAGGTTGGCTTCTTTCAGTTAGTAATATATATTTAAATTTTCATCATGTCTTTTTAGGGCTTGAGAGTTCATTTCTTTTTAGTACTGAATAATATTCCATCGTCTAGAAGTATCATTTATTCATTCACCTACTGAAGGACATCTTTGTGATGTATATTTATTTTTACTCATTGTTGCATTCAATTTGCTAATATTGTTTTGAGAATTTTTATCTATGGTTAGGAAAGATATTCGTATGTGTTTTCATGTAATGTCTTTTCTGATTTTGGTGTTAGAGTGATGCTGGCCACATTGAGTGAGTTAGGAAGTCTACCCACTGCTTCTTTATTCTGGAAGAAACTATAGAGGATTAAGATCATTTCTTTTATACATTTTGATACATATCACTAATGAACCTTTCTGGGACCATTACTTTCTGTTTTGGAATAATATATTTTTTTTCCTTTAGTAATTCATAAATGCCTATTCAGATTGTCTATTTCATCATGTGTAAGTTTTGGCACATAAGCATTAAGGATTCATATGTATTCTTGGAAAACTGATACCTTCATTATTATGTAATGCCCCTGTTTATCCCTGATAAATTTTCTTGCTCTGAAGTCCACCTTGTCTAAAATTAATACAGCCACTCCCACCTTCTTTTGATTCATGTTCCATAGCATATATCTCTTCATCTATTTACTTTTACTCTGTATTGTCAATATATTTAAAGTGAGTTTCTTGTAGACAATTTAGAGTTGGGTTTAGCTATCAATCCATTCTGACAACATTTGTCTTAATTGATGCATTTAGACCATTGATGTCCAAAGTGATTATTGATATATATAATATTTATTATTGTTTTCTACTTGTCACTCTTGTTCTTTTTTTCCTATTTTATCTTCCAAAAGGCAGAACGTTTTTTGCTCATTGAAGTTTTAATTGAGCCTTTTCTGTTATTATTTTCCTCTCCTTTTTAGCATATTATACATTTTAAAACATTTTTTTAGGGATTACCCTAGATAGATTTGCAATACACATTTACAAGGTGTCTGACATTAGTTTGGGAGAATGTTTACTCATTATTGCTTCAAATCTGTCTTTTTTTTGTCTTTTTCTTCTCTTTCTGATATTCTTATTATGCATATTCTACATATTTTGTAGCTGTCTTGCAGTCCTTAGATATTCTGTGTTCTTTTTCCAACCTTTTTTCTTTTTGTTTTTCAAGGTTTGTACGTTTCTAGTGAGATATCCTCAAGCTCAGATTCTTTTCTTAGCCATGTCTTGTCTACTAATAAATACTCAAAAGCCTTCTTCATTTCTGTTGCAGTGTTTTTTTATCTCTGGCATTTCTTTTTGTTTTTTCTTTGAATTTTCTTCTGTCTGTTTTACATTGTTCATCTGTCCTTACATGCTGTCTACTCTATCCACTAGAACCCTTAACATCTTAATCATAATTGTCTTAAATTCTTGGTCTGATAATTCTAACATTCTTGTCATATAAACTTCTGATGCTTGCTCTGTCTCTCCAAACTGTGGCTTTTTTTTTTTTTTTTTGCCTCTTAGTATGTCTTTTATTTTTTAATTTTTTGAGAGCCAGACATGATTTACTGAGAAAAAGAAACTATTACCAATCAGCCTTTAGTAATGTGGTAGGAAGATGTGGAAGATGAGGAAGCATTATGTAGTCCTTTGGTTAGGTCTCAGTCTTTTGGTGATCCTGTACCTTCGGACTGTGAACTTCACAAGTGCTTATCAATGCCATCAATCCCCCACCCCCTAGGTATGTCAGGATGGGTAGAGTGAGTTGGAGTTTGGTATTTACTTTTCCTGGTCAGAGAAGCTCTGATAAAATCCCAACAAGTTAGACTCTGATTAACTACCTTATCTAAGGGCAGATCATATTAAGAAGAACAGGATGACTTGTGTTCAAAATTGTTCCTTTCCCCTTTAATTTGATGGAAGCCCAAAGGGATTTTTCTCTGATATTCATGGTGAGAACCTAGTAGAGCTCCAAGAGGTAAAAATCAACACAAGTATGGAACCATCCAATGACTAGTCTTCTTGGCATTTTTAATTCTCAGTGTTGTCCGCATTGAACCTCTAGTAATTCATCTGGTACAGTTTGGTTTTCCCTATTCTGGTATTAGTTTTCATGGACGTTTCTACTCCTGTAAGTTTTGATTCTCTGTACCCACCTGTGGGTCTCTCCAATTTTGAGGGCAGTAGTTTGCCCTATGATTTTATTTTTCGGACAGATTTAAGAAGAAGTGTTAATTTTTCCATTTGTTCAGGATTTTACTTGTTGTTAGGACAGAGTGACAGCTTCAAAGCTTCTGACATACTGGACTGAAAATCAAAAGTCAATCAATCAGTCACATGTTAACCTTTTTTTAACTTGCCTATTTATGAAGTGTGAGTCTTTAATGTGTTTTTATTCACAATTAGTAAATGGTCTATTTGTTGTTGTCTGGTCAAGTTTAAGTCCCTCTCCTCTCTTAGACAATAAAATGCCCATTCTTCTGTATAAAAGGGGGAAGTTAAGTGATTGTAGTTATATTTGTTACATCTGAATGTACTTTTCTTAATACCTTGATTATTTTTATAAAATATTTTGCTATACCTCATAAATATTCCCACTATAAGAGTAAATTGGCTTCTGGAAATTTATTTATTTATTTATTTATTTTTATTTTTATTTTTTTTAGGATGGAGTCCAAGACAAAGGTAGAGACAGTTCCTGGGGAAGGGCAATTTTCTTTTATGTAGTACATTTGTTCAGACGTCAGGTACAGAAAACAAATTTAATTGATTGATGTAGTGAGATTCAGGGTAATTTATTTTGAAAGAAAGTCAATATGATAATTTCATAATATTCTGTATAGTTTAATACACAATTATTTTTATATCAAATATCAATGTCATTTTTCTCTAATTTTCTTGATTTATTTAAAATATTTCTGAATATTAAAGAAAAAAGTACTTCTTTAGATGCTCATTTTTTTATTAATCACATTGTTCAAATAAATTTTTGTAGTTTATTTGAATCCTCACTTGTACGAGACAATATAAGATGATATAACCAGGCTTTGTTGCTATTCGAGTAAATCTGAATTATTATTTATCTTTCTTTTAGAGTCTTCTAACACCTCATATGTTAGAGCAATTTTCTTGCTATTTTTGTTTCAATATACATGTCTACAGATTTATTTTGTGTGATATTTGAAATGAGTAAAATGGGTTGAATTTGTAGCCCTAAAAATATATTTGCTGTTAGTGTGTATTATGATTGAAATTCTTTATTTGCAAACAAAGAGCATTTGCTCATGGTATGCTACAAAGTATAATACGAGGACAGAAGAGATAAAATGCATAATCACAATTATATTTAATGAAGTATTATTAAATGGACAGAAGAAGGATATACCCAAGAGTATAGTAATATATTGGAAATGACATTTTAAACATGATTTAAAGAAAGGATGTATTATGTATAATGCTGTTAACGGTAGAGGGTGTCCAGGTTCTTGGTGTCTTGAACAAAGAATTAGACAAAATGCACAAAACAAGGAAGGAATGAAGGGCTTTATTGAAAATGAAAGTACAGGCCGGGCGCAGTGGCTCATGCTTGTAATCTCCACACTTTGGGAGGCCGACACGGGAGGATCACCTGAGGTCAGGAGTTCAAGATCACCCTTGCCAACATGGCAAAACCCCATCTCTATAAAAATACAAAAATTAGCCAGGCATGGTGGTGTGTGCCTGTAATCTCAGCTACTCAGGAGACCGAGGCAGGAGAATCACTTGAACCCGGGAGGCAGAGGTTGCAATGAGCCGAGATCATGGCATTGCACTCCAGCCTGGGTGACAGAGTGAGACTCTGTCTCAAAAAAAAAAAAAAAAATTAAATCAAAAGAAAGTTAAAGTACACTCCACAGTGTGGGAGCAGGCTTGAGCATAGGGGCTCAAAGGCCCTGTTACAGAGTTTTTGTGAGTTTAAATACCCTCTTCTTGGGGTACGCCCTATGTCAATTAAGAGGAAGTAAAGTTACAAAGTCATTTATGGCGTATGCCCTACAGAGAAGATATTTCCTGTTACAGCTGAAGTGTGAATCGGCCTTATGTTCCCTGCCTCCAGACGCTATTTTCCTACCTCATATCCCCCTGAGAGATGTGATCCCCATAAATCTTTATGGGAGGCAGAGGAACTGATGGTCTTTTTTTTTTTTTTTTTTTTTGTAACTCCTTCATGCTGGTTTGGGGAGTAGTCCCTACCTATTTGGGATTACAGAACTCTCACCCTGTTCTGTCTAGTGGAGGCAGGGTAACTTCCTGATGGCCAGGGTGGCATCTTCACCTGGAACTGGCTAGAACCCTAGTTGCATGATCAGCTGAAGCTTGATGGTTTCCAGGTGAAAGGAAATGAATTTGGTTAAAATATTTAATGGGAACTTCAGGCGATGGATACCTATGCTGTCAGAAATGTTTGTTTTAGAGATTTGCAGGAGAAAAAAACAAAACCTCATCTATTCTAGAATCTATGTATTTAAAGTCTTAGCACAAGCTATTCTATTTTGGTTTGGTTTGATTTGTTGGGTCCTAGTGCATGAGCCTAGTCCAAAACAATGGCCTCACAGAATTTTATTTAAAAAATTCCCCCTTTTTGGTCAGGTCCTCACTTAGGTGAGAGTGTGACCAAAACTTAAGGCCTTAGCACAGCTATCAGTTACCACCATTTTGGGGTTCCAGTCTCAGCACCTCATTTATACTTTACGGTGTCCTCATGGTTGCATATTTCTTTCAGCTCCTGAAAGAGCTGAAATATACAGAGCACCAGGGAGACTATTAATATAACTATTGGGATGATAATACCAAGAGTTCAGAGTATGCTCCTTACCGAAGGTCTCCATAAACCAAACTTCCTAAAATCAAATAGATTAAAGAATGAGCTAGATAAAGAGTTTATTCATTTGACTAAGCAATTTCTTCATCAATCCCCTACCACTGAATCTCTATAGTCTTTATTTGATGCATTTCCCCATAGGCCACAAGTGCCAGAAGCTAGACAGATACTTCTCTGTTCAGCCAATTCTCTCAATGAGCATAACTTTCACAAAAGAATTTAAAGTTTGTTGTATAACTGTAGCCTTTACAGTAGAATTTGCTATAGAGCCTATCATGAGGGATACATTTCTAATCATTGCTTCTTTTACATTAAATCATGGATAAAAGACCTAACCAATGATGCCGTTTTAGAAGAGTGAAGGCCTTTTGGCAATGTTCTCTTTAACCCATGATGTGGGTTAAGAGAAGTGAACCATTGTTTTGTTTTTGACTGATTATGAGGCCACATATGTACCATTAAGGTTTCTTACCTACATTGGACCTTCATATTTTATCTATCAAGTATAAGGTTATCCATGTACAAGGCTGGCTGCAAACTCCTTCACAAGTAAAAATGCACCCAATTAGTGCACATAACAGACACCCTTTCCACTTCTGTTGTTCATAGAGGCATAAGCATAAAAAAAATTCAAAGATAAGAGTTTCATGACAGTAGAAGTCTTAATCTGTGAACTTGGGAAACACTCTTCACATCAAGGATACCATCGTCTTCTTGGGAGAAATTTTCCTGGTTAGCTTTACCTCAAGGTTTCCAATGGGTGCACAGCTCCAAGAACATGGAGTAACCCTTCTCAGTTGTGAGTTTATGAACCCAAAGTTCAAGGTCTTGAAGTTTTATTTTAGTGTGAATGGCAAGGACAATCTTTCTTTGATGTTTCCAGAAGATTCAAACTGTAAAAAGCTTTCTTCATCTGGCGAAAATACATAGTAGCATAATAATTTACTGTTATAACATCAGCCCTCTTGCATGGGAAAGCTTTAATACAACCAGAAAACATTCATTGAAAATTACAATTGAATGAAATCCCTTTATAAAATGTTTAAATGGCCAACCAGGTGACCAAATGTACCTGAAGCTTTGTTTTCCCAGGAGTATGGAATCAAGCATTGGTTATAAACTATTTTAAACAATTTTAATATTAGCGGTTTAATGTGAAAGTATTGATATTTCATTAATTTTTTGTTTTACTTGTGTTAGTAGCGTTACACAAGGAAATTTTGTTATTTCTGTGGTTCACAATAAGTTGACATAACTATAATTATGATTTGTAGCATATAATTAGACATTAGAATTCTAGAAATCCCATACAATTTTGAAATATATATTCGTATTATTCACAAAAATATTACCTAAAGAAGATTGAGCATCATTTTGGCAATCCCATGTACCTAAACATGTCAAATAATCCTGTTTACCTCTCTTTTCTGGACACTTTAAGCACCCTCTGAGGTACTCGAAAAGCCAGGGGCCAAGGAAGACAATTTTGAAACTGAAGTTTGATTTTGGGAATGCTAGATTTCTATGTTATTTATTTTGCCAAAATAATGACTCAGAAACTTTAAAGAACAAAAACCTTTTATAACCATTTGAATTTAGTCAACATGTTCACACAGAGAACCTCTTCTGCAAGATTAATTTCCACAATTTTCCACCACTTCTTTGAACCTTCAGCTTTCCCTATCTAACTTAAAACAACCCTTTATTGCTAGGCAAAAGTTTACATTTCCATGCCTTCTTATAACCTTTTACTAAAAAATAACATTTTACTGTTCTTACACACCTTGCATGTAAATCTAATTGTAGTAGTCTTAATTGCATGTTACAATGGTGAGTCTTAGCAATTTTAACTTTAATGTAAGACTTGGTAAGTTATGTTCTGATAAGGTTTGACTATTTCCAGCATAGCTGGGGCATGGCCAACTCCAAAGGTCCCCAGGCCTTACCTAGATGGAAAGCTGGCAAGTTACACAATTTTCAAAAGCTGAAGAAGCAGCTTATGACCTTGAAGTATTTAGCAAACCTAATACTTGAACATAATTTAGACTACATGTTTACCTTTTGAAGAAAATTTTATTTTACCAATAATTTTGAAAACTGTATTTCCCAAAGATTGCTAAAGTTGTGTGAACTAAAAGGCATTACATTTCCTTTTTTTCTGACAAAGCATTTGATTTAAGCCATTATTATTATTAAACCAATTAATTAAAACTTTGCAGAAGAGATAAACAGTGGCTTTTACTTTATATTTAACCAGTTTGCACAGAGAGAAACAGGCCAGTGACTGACTGGTAAGAAATTCTTACCCTTTTGCCGGCATGCTAGATTCCTGGGTTCTCTCTCCCTGAGCAGCCCTGGCAACCCTGCTGACCCTGCTTTACTGCATGCAAACAAACACATTGCCATGAATTAAGAATATTCATAGATAGTTTACGAATTCTGGAGAAACTAGGCAGAGAGAGAAATATGACTCAAATTCTATTTGTGAGACTACATTCAACACACTTAAAGTATCAGGAAGACTAAAATCCAAAAAATTAGTTTAAGAATAAAAAGCTGGTGTGCTCTATTCATTCCTGCAGGCTTGACAAAGGTTCCTTAGGAATTCCAGATAAATTGAATGAATGATGACTTGCTGGAAATGCATGGGAACACAGAACTAAATAAAAGCCTTCCAATAGGAACTAAAAAAAAAAAAAATGTGGTTTTATATATAGAGATACACAAGCAAAGCCAGAGGAGAATAAACAGCGAATAAACAGCAAATAAACAAAAACTAGAAGCAAAAACGAATAAACAAAAACCAATCCTAAATTTTCATACTCAATTTACCCTGGAAGCTACACTGTTACCTAGGGCCCCCCAAAAAACCACATAATGAATATTTTATTCCTGATACACAATTCAATACCCTTAAGTTCACTAATACCATTATACATTCTGTGCAATCAAGAAATCCATGTTAGGCACATGACCAATAAGTACTTTAGCACTATCCACACAAAACAGTAAACATAGTGTGAAGCAATGCAAGCATGTATGTGAAATTTAGCTTTATGCTAAATTTAGCTTCACGCTTAACTATATTAAAATACAACTGCCAAACTGCTGATGCAATTTTTACAATACTTCTTGTTTTACTTTAACCAAGACTAAGAGCTTTAACTATGAAAATGTTAATTAGCCAAATATCTGCAATTCTGTCAGGTTTTAAAGAATATTTTATTGTATAAGCTTTTTCCACATCTTTCTCCCCTACTTAATCATTCCTTACTACATTGTTTTATAAACAACCTTTTCAAATCTGTAATTTGAACTAACTCTTAGATAACTTTTGAATTGGACAAAATTATTCTTTTTTTTTTTTCACTAATAACATAACCCTTCCTGGCACATTTTTTATACAGAATTATGTGTTAACTAAAATTTTTATCCTTAGTACCCTAAAACTTTAGAGAGACCCTAAAAAGTAAAAAAATCCTGAGCTATTAGATATGGGCATTTGTAGATAAGAATAATTCAAAAATTCTAGAAACGCATTTCCCCATATTGTTACCGGGGGGTCCTTGCTCCCAGAGCTCCCAAGATGGTGGCAGGCTGCTTCCAAAATGGAGGCGGGCCACTTCCAAGATGGTGTCAAGCCTCATGTTTTCTGACTTGGGGTTCTTGGCCTCATGGATTCCAAGGAATGGAATCTTGGGCCATGTGGTGAGTGTTATAGCTCTATTAGAAGCCATGGGTCACGGAAGAGAACCGTTGAACCCAGTGACTAGTGTTCAGCTCGATTAGGATGAACCCAGGCACTTAGCCATGCAGGAACAATGGCAAGCCTCTAGCTCAATTGGGAGTGGCAACGGGCACCTCGCTGGATCAGGAGCACAGTGGACATCCTGCCAGATCTGGAGGGATGGAAGTCAGCGGCGGGTCTGCGATGGTGGCAAACAGCAGTGGTGGACAGTGAGCAAAAGCTCAGCTCAAGCCATAACAAACATGGAAGAAGAGTGCAGTTGCAAGATTTAATAGAGTGAAACTGAGTGAAAACAGAGCTCCCATACAAAGGGAGGGGACCCAAAGAGGGTAGCCGTTGCCGGCTAGATTGCCTGGGTTTATATCTCGATCATTATCCCTCCTGATGTGCTCTCAGGCAACAGATGATTGGCTGTTTCTTTACCTCCTGTTTTTGCCTAATTAGCATTTTAGTGAGCTCTCTTAACTATCTGATTGGTTGGGTGTGAGCTAAGTTGCAAGCCCTGTGTTTAAAGGTAGAAGCAGTCACTTTCCCAGCTAGGCTTAGGGATTCTTAGTCGGCCTAGGAAATCCAGATAGTCCTGTCTTTCAATATTACAACTCTTCTTATTTGGAAATGACCCATATATTAAATAAGCATTAAAAATAACCCTAAGATTTTAATTTACATAAAAAGTTTACCTAAAACGTTTATGTCATTCACTGTACTTAATTTTTACTTTTAACAAGGGAGACATGAGACATCAATCAACATATATAAAACAAACATGGGTTTGGTCCAGAAAGGGAGGACAACTCCAGGTGAAGGGGGTGCTGGGGGTCTTTCAGATCACAGGTGGGAGACAAAGGGTTGCATTCTTTTGAGTTTCTGATTAGCCTTTCCAAAAGAAGCAATCAGATATGCATTTATCTCAGTAAGACTCTGAATAGAATGGGAGGCAGGCTCACCCAGGGCAGCTCCCAGCTTGAATTAACACTATTTTAAAATATCTAGCAAAGACAAACATAAAATTTAGACAAAATGTATGCTAACAATTCCAAAGGCATTTCTGTTTTTATTCCACCAATAATTTTAAAGCTAGTTTGTTTAGTAAAGTTATACTTTAAGTCACATGAACTTGAAAATTGCTTAGACTTATTTACTTAATTTATGAGTGCTCTTTTACTTATAAGCCAATTTGGTAGACATGGCATATAACAATTTAGTGTACATACAAGTAAACACATCTAGACACGTACACACACACACACATAAATGAAGATCCAGTAGCTTGGAACCTTAGCCTGAGACAGCAATACAAGCTTGCCAGTTTTACTTTGCCCCAATAGATAATCCAAGGAAGGCTGTGAAACAAAATTCCAGGTAAAGCAGTTTGATTTTTAAAGGCTAAACCTCCCCAGACTCCAAGGAGCACTAGGGCCAAACAGTACCAAAGAAGGGTGCCAAACGTTAACCAGGCCCACTGCTTGGAAGAGCAGCACAAAAGCCTGTATACATGCAACATCACCCCACTTTCCAATTAGACAGTCAACTTCAGATTCCAAACAATTTTGGGGCCAAGCAGCATTGCAACTGCGAGAAAAAATTCTAAGGAGGTTTTAATACTAGACCTCAGAACCTCTGCCAAGAGCATACTCTTTGGAGAGTTTGAGGTTTGCAGAACCCACAGAGTGTCTTCCTTTGGGGTCCAATCTTAGAGCTCCAGATGTCTCTGGCCTTAGGGGTGCGCGCCACATGCAGGTTTCCCCTCCAAAGCGTACCATGAGATTTTTAAGAACAGCCATGAACTGTAATGAGAACTGGATGTCCTGTGAGCCTTTTGTTCCTTAGCCAGTTGAGTATGGTAAGGTAAGGATTTAGTATATGAAAAGAAGGTTTAAGTTGCCTGAAACACGTGTGAGTTTGCTCAGAGCTGCATCACCATAGGGATTAGGAACCATGCTCAGAAAAGAATTTTTTTAAAAACATCCTTACCCCTTCGGGGCAGAGCAATTATTCCCATTTATTCCCAGGCCTTCAGGCAATACTGGGGAGTAACCCCAGCCAATTGCCCTCAATTTCCAAGGAGAAACTAGGAAAAAGCCACTGTAGGACTGAAAAAGAAAGAGAGGAAAAAAATAAAAATAAAAAAAGACCCAGATTCCCTTAAGCAAAGCGGGCGGTGCCAGTTAGGCTTCTCCACATGAAAACCCCTTAGTTTCATTGGCCACGGCCAGAAACCTGCAGTTGCTTCAGTGTTTAGGTGCTGCCCTCCAAGGGTCCCAAGTTGGAAAGGAAATGAGAGAGAGAGAGAGAGAGAGAGACCCTGAATGAAGCAGAAAGGAAAGGGAGAAAAATGAATCCCAAACTTAGGGCCTACCTCTTCCTCCAGGATGGCTCGCCAAAATATGTTAATGGTGGCGGAGGTGGGGGTCCAGGTTCTTGGCATCCTGAACAAAGAATGGGACAAAACACACAAACAAAGCAACGAATGAATGAAGGGTTTTATTGAAAAAGAAAGTACATTCCACAGTGTGGGAGCGGGCCTGAGCATAGGGGCTCAAGGGCCCTGTTACAGAGCTTTTGTGAGTTTAAATACCCTCTACTTGGGATACGGCTTATCTAAATGAAGAGGATGAAGTAAAGTTACAAAGTCACTTACAGGGTATGCCCTATAGAGAGGACATTTTGTGTTACAGCTGAAGTGTGAATGGGCCTTGTGTTTCCTGCCTCTAGATTCTATTTCCATCCTCAGTGCCATAATTTCACATTTATAATGCCAGGTATTCGTTTGTCGGCTGGTATATGGTTTACCTTTTTTTATTTTATGTATTCATTTACTTATTTAAGAGACAGGGTCTCTTGAGGTTTGCTGAACCCATGGAATGTCCTCCTTTGGGGTCCAATCTTAGAGCTCCAGATGTCTCTGTCACCCAGGCTGAAGTACAGTGGCAATGTTACCAGTGGGTCTTTGTTCTTAGAGCTCCCAAGATGGTGATGGGCCGCTCCCAAGATAGTGGCGGCCACTCCCATGATGGCAGCAAGCCTTTTGTTCTCTGACCTGAGGTTCTTGGCCTCACGGATTCCAAGGAGTGGAACTTTGGGCCATGCGGTGAGTGTTACAGCTCTATTAGAAGCCGTGGGTCACAGAAAAGAACCGCGAAACCCAGCGATTAGTGTTCAGCTCGATTAGGACGAACCCGGGCCCTTAGCTGCGCAGGAACAACCGCAAGCCTCTAGCCTGAACGGGAGCGGCAATGGGCGCCTCCCTAGATCAGAAACGCAGCAGACATCCCGCCAGATCCAGAGGGGTGGAAGTCAACAGCGGGTCTGCAACAATGGCGATCAGCAGTGGTGGACGGCGAGCGATAGCTCAGCTCAGGCTGGAACAAGCAGGGAGCAGAAGAATGTGAAGTTGCAAGATTTAACAGAGTGAAAACAGAGCTTCCATACAATGGGAGGGGACCCAAATGGGTTTGCCCATCTGGCTCAAATGCCTGGGTTTGTATCCCGATCATTGTCCCTCCCCCTGTGCTCTCAGGTGATAGATGATTTCATTATTTCTTTACCTCCTGCTTTTAGCCTAATTGGTATTTTAGTGAGCCCTCTTTACTACCTGATGGGGCGGGTTTGAGCTGAGTTACAAGCCCGGTGTTTAAAGGTGGGTGTGGTCTCCTTCCCCAGCTAGGCTTAGGAATTCTTAGTCAGCCTAGGAAATCCAGCTAGTCCTGTAGTCCAGCTAGTCCTGTCTCTCAGCACGATAGTGGCTCAATGAAGCCTCAACCTCCCAAGCTCAAGTGATCCTCCCATCTCAGCTTCCTGAACAGCTAGGAGTACAGGTGTATGCCACCATACTGGCTAATTTTTTATTTTTTTTAGAGACAGGGTATCTCTGTGTTACCCAGGGTGGTCTCAAACTCCTGGGTTTAAGAGATCCTCCCACCTCAGCCTCCTAAAGTATTCGGTTTACAAGCGTGAGACACTGCATCCAGCCCTTTTACGTTAATACTGAGTTTGTTGTACTCTAATGTGTAATATCATACCTCAAAGCTGTAACTTTGAAAGAATAATGTGTCATTTCTCCCACTGGATTCTCAAGAGTCTCCTCCCCCTTTCTGCCATGGTGATTTAACTCTGGCAGAAAAAAGATATTTATATAAACTGTTTAATTTATTTAAATAATCTGCTTTTACTAGGTTTTAAAATATTCAGTAGCAAAATGGAAGCCTCTAAAGCACTGTACACTTCAAAAATAAAATTCTAACTGTTCTCCACTTTAAAATTCTCTTGGTTTTAATACTACAGTGGGTGTCTAATTCATTCTTCTTTCACCTTTTTTGTGTGTGTCTCTTTAAACTTACTCTTTCCATTTGAGGGGCTTTCTTTTTTTAACGTATGATTTTATTAACAAGATATTATTAGAAAAATGGAGCCCTCTGTTGATTCATTTTTATTCTGTACAATCAGATTTTGCACAGGTTTTTTTAAAATAAAAGATAAAATTCAAAACAACAAAAAATAGGCATTCCTCTATGGTAACATCATGTTACTTCTTAAATGTGTGTCCCCTAAAATAATATGGCATCCTTTTCCAAAATACTAAGCATTGTCAGAGGAACAACCCAGGGACTTACAGGATGGGAGCCATTTTCATTGGAATCTGCAAAGCTAGGGTATCTCAGCCTATTTTTGCTTTGTATTTATTTTTGCTGTAATTTATTAAAGTAGCACATTCTAAGAGACTAATATTAATAAATTAAAAAAACAACAAAGAGTCTTGCCAGATGCTTAACTCTTGAGGTCAAGGTTCAGGGAAGTCTTATTCTTAAGTTAGCTCCTTTGCTTAAAGTAACATAGAGAAAATAGGCACAAAGCAGGGTCAATTCCACTCTAGATAAATCATGATGAAGTAGATTATGCAAGTTCTTAGGATAGCTGTAGACAAAATATACTCTCTTGGAGTATATTTTCATTTTGGAAGTAGCACATGCAATTAGACAAATTTCATAAAATCTTCTATGTGAGTTTCATAGGCTCGTGTAAATGGTTGTTCTTCCCATAAAAGGCTGATGGGGTTAATAGGTTGTGCCCTCAAATCAAATAGTTATATCAGTCTGAAAAGGCCAAGTTATTCTGTCATGATAAACAAAATCCCAAACCTTAGCTGCCTAAGCCAACAAAGCTTTGTTTCTTACTCTATTTGTTATTCACCGTAAATTTTGATTGCAAGTTGGTGGTGGCATTTTTCAGTGTTTCCATTATTCTCACCATGGGACCCAGGCTGTTGGAGGAACTCTAATCTGGAACAATTCCACTTGGTCTGATAAATAGTAAATAGCACTCCAGAGTATGTTATAGAACCAATTAAATTCTCAACTCAGAAGTGACACAGTTCACTTTCTCCTCATAATTCATTGACTAGAATGAATCATGACCACTAGAGTGGTCGTATGGTTTCCCCCAAGTACAGAGGCAGAGGGAGTGAAATGCTACCAGATGACAGAAAAATGTAAATATCTAGTAAACAATAGTATTCATTCCACAATAGGCGAAGGTCTTTGTGTCCCTTATGGCCATTTATTTTGTATAATATGTACAAATCCTTGGTTAACAGCACTTTAGGTGAGAAATTAAGTTCATTCCTTTTTTTTTTTTTTTTGAGATGGAGTCTCACGCTTGTCGGCAGGCTAGAGTGCAATGGTGCCATCTCGGCTCACTGCAACCTCCGCCTCCTGGGTTCAAGCGATTCCCCTGCTTCAGCCTCCCAAGTAGCTGGGATTACAGGGGCCCGCCACCATGCCTGGCTAATTTGGTATTTTTAGTAGAGATGAGGTTTCACCATGTTGGCTAGGTTGGTCTCAAACGTCTGAACTTAGGTGATCTACCCACCTCGGCCTCCCAAAGTGCTGGGATCAGAGGCGTGAGCCACCATGCCTGGCCTCGTTCATCTTTGTGTTTTTATAAAATAATTCTTAACAACAGTGTCTCAAATATTGAAAGAATACATTTGAGTCTTTTCATAGACTCAAATTTTTCTGCCTTGGATAAAGTAATAAAAGTTGTAAGTTCACTTTTTTCTTAGAAAGTCATCCTATTCCCCCACAAAAGTGAACTATGTCAATTGTTGACTTTAGACAGTCAGGTATTTGAAGAATTTCACCTTCAGACACAGGAAAGGAACAATGTGAGCAATATGTGGATACCACTTGACACTGCATTTGAAAAGGAATAAAAGAAGAAGAAAAACCATTTCAGATGTTTTCTGTCTGCTTCTCTATTGGCATTTCTAGCTCCTTAAAAAAAAAAAAACACTGAGCTTTGCAAAGAGGTGAGAAATGCTTGATTTTAATTTTGATGGGATCACATAGAAATTAAATGAAAAGAGAATTACCTTTGTAATGTAAAAGAATTATGTTCTAGCACGATCCAACCAGTTACATGTCCTTAGGTAATTATTTATCCTTTCAGAGCAGAGGTTGGCAAATTATGTCCTGTGAGTCAAATTCAACTTGCTGCTTATTTTTGAATGGTTCTCAAACCAAGATGGATTTTACATTTAATAATAATAATTTTAAAAATCAAAAGTAATAATATTTCATGACCCATGCAAAACATATGAAATTTAAACCTCAGTGAAACACAGCCATGCACCTTCATTCGCATATTGTCTATGACTGTTTTCATGCTACAGTGACAGAGCTGAATAGTTGCAACAGAGGCTATGTCATTGTAAACTCTAAAATATTTACTATCTGGCCTATAGCAGAGTTTTCCATCTCTTGTTTTAGAGTTTTACTTTACTTATCTATGCAATAAGAATGACTTATTTCATAATATTGCAATATTTTGGAAAATTGATTTTTTTCTAATTTCATTTTATGATTTATTCTGGCTCTACTCAAAATTATGATTTAATAACAAATCACAGATGGTTTTTCCTCTGTTTATAAGAATTGAATATCCATTGTGCTTTTTAAGTTTATGATTTAGATAATTAGGCTAAAAAGGGCACCCTATTCCACACATACTTTTATGTGACTTTGCTCTGTTTCCCACTTGGGAGACACTACTGCACCTCTTACTATAACTAAAGCCCATGGAGGAAAAAAAAGAATGAAGATATCCAAGTTTTGTGATTAAAGATGGTAGTTGTCTTGACTGTTTTAATTAAAATTCCTTATTCCTTCCATGTGAAGTACCACACCTGACAACAGTTGTATCGTAGTTTACATTTCTTGGAGGTAAAGAGAGAGGGAAGAACACAAAACCTTACACCTCCTTAGAATAAAAGAATGCAAAAGAATAGGTGTAACAAATCCATAAGTGGGTCATTGTTTGCATTAAGTGTGATAATACAGAGGCCCCATAATCAGGGTTGTACTTGAGCCACAGGTAACGTGTAATACTAAAGGGTCTTATTGCTAGGTAAAGTGGTTAAATCTAATTTCCAAAAATGACAGCCATAAAAACATATTAATCCAGATTTTCAAAAAGACAAGATAATAGATTAAAAATAATGAGAAATAACACATTTTTGGAAGGAAAATTGGCAAAAAAAGTATTTAATAACCTAGAAGCAGAGAGAACATTAAAACTAATGTCTGTAAACTTTCATGCCAACAACAAGTAAACAAAATTGTCTTCTGAATCCTGAAAATTCTTAGGAATTAATGGCACAAGCTACCATATATGGCTAACGTAAGATGTAAAGTTGAAAATGTACTTTTATACACCGGCCTCTTCCCTTTTCCTTGAATGCACCATTTCTCTGCATTTGTAATTCCTTTGTACATAATGCCTTTTCCACAGAAATTCCCATGGTTTCCTTCCTCAATATTTTTCAGGAATTTATCCGATTATTATTGAAAGGATAACAAAATATACAGTCACTTCAATGTATCATCCATAATGTCTTATAACCAATAAAAATTTCTAGACATTCAATAGAACAAGAAAATATAATTCATAATAAAGAAACCAATAAGATGATCAGATATTGGAACTAGTAGACAAAGAAAAAGCAACTATAATAAATATGAGAAGATTAAAAGAAGAGATATTTATAATAAGTATATGGATATAACTATTAGTAGAGAAATTAAAATTATAAAAAAGCAAACAAAATATAACATTTATTATATGGGTTTAATGATTAGTTGCAGACAGCAAAACAGGGAAGTCAGTGTATGTGAAATTATATCAATAGAAATTATCGGATCTGAAGAACTAAAGTGTTGTTATATATACAGAAAACTGAAATGAACAAGAGTTCAGTGACCTCTGAAAAAATATGGGACACATTTAGAGTCCCAGGAGGAGATGAGAGGACATTAAAAAATATTTTAAAATAAAATTGCTGAAACCTTACAAAGTTACCCTGTATCAACTTTTGATTAGGCAACCTCAGCAACAATTTAGCGTCTTAAACCCAGAGAAGACAATGTCTAGACACGCTGTATCTAAACCGCTGAAAAACAAATAAAATAAGAAAATTGTTGAAAGTGGCCAGAAAGAAATGCTACATTACATACAAAGAAATAACTGTACAAAAGATAAGAAACTGGTAGTAAATAATAGCATCATGTCAATGTTGTATTACTAATTGAATAATTATATTGTGGTATATTACAGAATGACTTTGTTCTTAGGAAACACATACTGAAACACATAAACAATACAGTGTAACTTTTAAATGAGTGTGAAAAAATATGTAGGTATACATGCATGGGAATACATTTCTTTTTACTATTATTGCAACTTTGTTATAATATGAAATTTGTAAAAAAGAAAAAGAACAAAAAACAGCAAAAATATAAATGTATAACTACATGTGTATAAAATAAAAAGTAAATTAAAAAATGTAATGCGTAATGGTGGAAACTATGAAAACCTTAGCAGAGTAGGCAGCTTCTTTTGAGCTTGATTGTTGACATAGAGAAATATGTGTTCATGATAGTTAGATCTTTTGATTTTTTTAATAGAGAAACCTGAAATTTACAATTTTATGTGAAATTTCATAATTTTATATTTCAGTACAGTATTCACTGAATACCTGATGCCATGATTGACTGTTCATTAAAATAAACACTTTAATTTGGAAACTTTCTATATTAACATATATCAGTAATTCTTGAATAACAAATGATAATTCTGATATTATTGTTTTGGTTGCATCTCTAAATGTAGCTCACATGCTTAATATTGTCTGTGTATAAGAGATAAGCTAGTAAAAATCATGTCTAAGATTTTCTAAATTCTGTATTGTTTATATATTTTGTATATCTATATCAATTTTTTTGTATTATTTTATAAACATGAGTTTGCAATCTAAAAGTTATCTACATCCCATATTTTTTTCCATT
This sequence comes from Homo sapiens, assembly GCF_000001405.40. NCBI lineage: Eukaryota > Metazoa > Chordata > Mammalia > Primates > Hominidae > Homo > Homo sapiens. The sequence continues at coordinate 58,502,578 of NC_000004.12, forward strand.
CTTTTCTTAATTTTAAGAGCAGTGAAGGTAGCAAAGATTAGGATGAGGAGGGAAGTGCTAGGGAGTATATCTAGGACTTTGAAGACAGTACCACACAGGCCACAGAAACTGAAGATTGGAACTAAATCATAATAATTTCAGAGACTAAAGAGTCAGATGGAGACAAAATCAGTGTTATACATTGGTTTATAGTCTGGCTTATGGCCCAGAAAATAAGACAATACACAAATAGGGCAAGAAGAAGTCAGTGTGTGCTACTGTCATCATAGTGGTGAGTTAAGGCGATAATCAGGTATTGAAGAAACAAGAAAATTCTGATCAGTTATGGAAACACCTGTTAGTGTGTCCTTGCCTTTGTTTAAAAAGCTGGCATGAAGTGTGGTGTATGGATGAGTCAGCCTGACTTAGAAAGCCAGAGGTAAAACAGATACTCACACTACAGATAACACAGCCAATAAAGTAAGTCAAATCCGTTTACCCATATTAAACTTTAGAAGCTCATCTGATAGCAGTGATGTGATTGATGAATTCCCATTGTACTTTTATATGTAGGGCAGGTGCTGGCTCTGTGCAAGCTGTGACAACTGTGTCTTGTTCTATAATCTTAATAGCCTGATTGATGGTATGACTGTCAACATTATGATGCTGTTTTGTGAACCTTGAGCCTATATTATATCAAATTCAAAATAACTGTATCAGTCTTAATATACTGTAAAGTATGTAGCATCTGTCTTGTCTTTCTTATTAAAATATCTCTTACATCTTTACCTGACCTAAGTCTATACTCAGAACCCCTAAGGCTCTTAGTTCTTGGGACACACAAAGGGTCTGTTTACATTACTAAGTATTGTCCACCTTCAAAAATTGTCTATTCTTCTTTCCCCATTCCTGTATATTATCAAAGTATTTCTCTTTACTACAAACTTAAATATATTCATGTGATTAAAAGTTAAAGTGATTTATCTCTATATTTAACAACCATTCCTCTACTTACCAAATGGTTTAAACATACCAAACTATTGCTTAACAACTAAATATATTCTGAGAAATGCAATGTTAAGTGATTTCATCATCATGAGAGCATTATAGAGTGTAGTGTACTTACACAAATCTAGATGTATAGCCTACTACACACTTAGGCTATATGGTATGGCCTATTGATCCCAGCCTACAAACCTGTACAGCATGTTACTGTGCTGAATATTGTAGGCAATAGTAAGTAACACAATGGTAAGTATTTGTGAAGCTAAACATATCTACACAAAGAAAAAGTACAGGAAAAATACAGTATAAAACAACAAAAAAGGTATACCTATATAGGGCACTTACCATGAATGGAGCTTACAAGACTGAAAGTGGCTCTGGGTGAGTCAGTGTGTGAGTGGTGAGTGAATGTGAAGGCCTAGGACATTACTGTACTCTACTGTAGACTTAGGCTACATTAATTTATTTAAAAATATTTTTTTCCTGGAAATAAATTAACATTAGCTTCCTTTAACTTTTTACTTAATAAACTTTTTATAAACTTTAAATCATTCTACCATAAAGACACATTCACATATATGTTTACTGCAGCACTATTTACAATAGCAAAGACTTGGAACCAACCCAAATGCCCATCAAAGATAGACTGGATAAAGAAAATGTGGCACATACACACCATGGAATACTATGTAGCCATAAAAAACAATGAGTTCATGTCCTTTGCAGAGACGTGGATGAAGCTGGAAACCATCATTCTCAGCAAACTAACACTGGAACAGAAAACCAAACACTGCATGTTCTCACTCATAAGTGGGAGTTGAACAATGAGAATACATGGACACAAGGAGGGGATATCACACACTAGGGCCTGTCGAGGAGTAGAGGGCAAGGAGAGCAAGAGCATTAGGACAAATACCTAATGCATGTGGGGCTAAAAACCTAGATGATGGGTTGATGGATGCAGCAAACCACCCTGGCACATGTATACCAATATAACAAACCTGCACGTTCTGTACATGTATCCCAGAACTTAAATTATACTAGTAAAAAACTGTTTCAACTTTTGGACTCTAGTAATAACATTTAGCTTAAAACACAAATACATTTTCCTTTTTTTCTTTTTGAGACAGAGTCTCACTCCTTCACCCAGGCTAGAGCACAGTAGCACAATCACGGCTCACTGCAGCCTCAACTTGCTGGAGGCTCAGGTGATTCTCCCAGCTTAGCCTCCTGAGTAGCTGGGACTAAAGGTGTGCACCACCCCACCAGGCTGATTTTTTTTGTATTTTTGTATAGATGGGATTTTGTCACGTTGCCCAGGCTGGTCTTGAACTTCTGGGCTCAGGCTATCTACCCACCTCATCCTCCCGAAGTTCTAGGATTAGAGGTGTGAGTCACTGCACTTGGCCTAAGATTTTTCTTCATATCCATAATCTATATGTGGTTTTCTATTTTTGATTTTATTAATTTTTACTTTTTAAAAAAATTTTAAACTTTCTTGTTAAAACTCAGACAGAAGTCGGGCGCGGTGGCTCACGCCTGTAATCCCAGCACTTTGGGAGGCCAAGGAGGGCGGATCACTAGGTCAGGAGATCGAGACCATCCTGGCAAACACGGTGAAACCCTGTCTGTACTAAAAATGCAAAAAAAAATCAGCCAGGCGTGGTGGCGGGCGCCTGTAGTCCCAGCTACTCGGGAGGCTGAGGCAGGAGAATGGCATGAACCCGGGAGGTGGAGCTTGCAGTGAGCCAAGATCGTACCACTGCATTCCAGCCTGGGCGAAAGAGCAAGACTCCGTCTCAAAAAAAAAAAAAAAAACTCAGATAGAAACACGTACATTAGTCTATGCCTACATAGGGTCAAGTCATCAATACCACTTTTCCATCTCCACATCTTTTCTCACTGGAAGGTCTTCAGGGACCATAATATGCATGGAGCAGATAGGAATGCCTTTCTCTGGACCTGCTCGAGACTATTTTACAGTTAACTTTTATTTTAGTAAGTAGGAGTGTACTTTAAAATAACAATGAAAATGTAGTATAGTAAATACATAAACCAGTAGCATAGTCATTTATTATCAAGTATTATCCACTATATATAATTTATGTGTTATATTTTTACACAATTGGAAGTGCAGTTTGTTTACATCAGCATCATTACAAACATGTGTAATGCATTGTGCTATAACGTTAAGACGGCTACGACATCACTAAGCGATAGGAGTTTTTTAGCTCCTTCATAATCATATGAGACCACCGTCTTAAGTACAGTTTGTCCTTGACTGAAATGTTATGTGGCATACGTTTGTGTATATCAATATATTTATGTATGTATATTTGTCTGTATATATATGTATATAAAATAAAATCTGTTTGTACGATCCTCTACAGTAATATAGGACTTCCATTCAAAGTCTCTGAGTCTTTTTGAAATCTAAGGTTTTTTTCTATTCCTGCCTTTTTTATTTTTTGTTTATTTTGAGACTGGGTCTTTGTCACTCAGGCTGAAGTGCAGTGGCACAATCATGGCTCACTGAAGCCTTGAAGCCTTGACCCCCCCAGGCTCAAGCCATCCTCCCACCTCAGCCTCCTGAGTAGCTGAAATTACAGATGCGTGCCACCAAGCCTAGCTAATTATTTTATTCTTCATAGAGATGAGGTCTCACTGTTTTGCCTAGGCAACTCTTCAGTTCAAGTGATCCTTCCACCTTGGGCTCCCAAAGTGCTGGGATTACAGGAGTGAGCCACCTCACCCAGCTGAAATATAGGATATGTATGTGTGTGTGTGTGTGTGTGTGTATGCACATGTATATATAAATATATAAAATTATTTATGTATATATAATCAATGTATAAACATATACATTTAAAAATATAATTGGACCACACATGGTGCTGTAATCCCAGCACTTTGGAAGGCTGAGGTGGGAGGATCACTTGAAGTCATGAGTTCAAGACCAGCCTGGGCAGCAAAATGATACCCTATCTCTACAAAAAGTGAAACAAAATCATCTGGGCATGGTGGCATACACCTGTAGTCCCAGCTACATAGGAAGCTGAGGTTGGAGTATCCTCTGAGCCCAGAAATTTGAGGCTTCAGTGAGCTATGATCCTGCCACTGAACTATAGCCTGTGCAATGGAGTAAAGTTCCCATCTTAAAATTAAACAAAAATTAAAAATAAAAATAAATAATGAAAAAAACAAAAATATAATTAATCAACAAATTATTTCTGTTATTCAAAGGATTTTTAATATTACTGTAATATGCAACAATAATATGAATGGTCTTTAATTTGAATACATTTGGATTTATCTATGTACATATATAGATATATATACACATCTCTTCTCTCATATTCCTTTGTCACAGAGACACATACACACACACAAGCACAAACATATGATTTCAGAGTCCTACTTTTAATAGGGATTGAAAGTATATAAAGAACAGAATAGCAAGACACTCTTTAGACATTCTTTAGTTCTTTTTTTTTTTTTTTTTTTTTTTTTGAAACAGAATCTCATGTTGCCGCCCAGGCTGGAGTGCAGTGGCTCACCACAACCTCTGTCTCCTGGGTTAAAGTGATTCCCCTGCCTCAGCCTCCCAAGTAGCACCATGCCTGGCTAATTTTTGTATTTTTATCAGAGACAAGGTTTCACGATGTTGGCCAGGCTGGTCTCTAACTTCCGACTTCAAGTGATCCACCCGCCTGGGCCTCCCAAAGTGCTGGAATTACAGGCATGAGCCACCACACCCCACTCATTCTTTAGTTCTTTATTTGGCAGGAGGTGTGGTTAACTCCCTGGAATACATATGTATTAGAGACTGCAATTGTAATTAAACTTAACATGGGCTTGATGGAGTTGTTGTTGAAATAGGAGAGGTATCAGAAAAGCTGATTTTTCTATGCTTTCTAATGCCATTAGAATTGATATTGACATAATTATTAAGTTAAATGGGACAGGTTAGAAAAAAATTAGTTCTTTCACCTTCTGATTGCTTTCTGTTACACCCTGGCTCTTGGAAGTTTCTTGTCACATAGAAGTCCTGAGAGCAGATCACTGAGGAGATTTCAGAATGGGCAAATACAAGAGGCACACAGCAGACACCAACTATCCGTAAACAGGACTGATATTGCTAATCTATTATAGAACTTTTTCTTAGAAAAACAGTATTTGCCCACTCTACTCAATATGGAACTCCAATCTGTTCAAGTCCACAACCTATTTCTCAGTCTGGGAGGACTGAGAGTTCAAAATACCGTGGTACAAGGCTTGATGTTTTTTCTGAAGTTTGAGCCTGGACTTTTTCTTATGAATCCATTAATGTAAAGTGTCTATGAGAGAAATTCCTTGTACATTCAACTGACAGAATATGCAAAATCAACCAAATAAAACAGCATACAGAAGACTGAGTTGCCAATCATGGGTGATTTAGATAGTTTAGAAAGGGCTCTCATAATTACAAACTTTTTTTTCTTATGCAAAATAAACTGGATTCTAAGAATTTTATCTACCTCTAGTTGCAAAATAGAAAGTGTCTGGTTGTTTCAGTGATTTGTGCAGGTAATTTTCTAACTATTTATTTAAACTTCATATGCATAATGAATTTATATCTAATCCTAACCATGATTATAAATATAAATGAAGTATTGTAAATTATCATATGAAATACAAAACTAGAGAATAATATCTTACAACTAGTGCTAAATATAAGAAGCAAAAATGAATACTTACAAGTTGGTTAATTATTGAAATGATGACAATAAATATGTCTCTATTTTGGATGGACTCCTGCTTCTGATTATCTAATGTTAACTTGTCCCTCACTTTTAAGAACTCATTTAATTCAAATGAATCATATAGTGCAGAAAAAATTCATTGTAGAGTAAAACATATTAATTATGTGCCAGATTTTAAAGGTAATGCTGCACCAATACCATGCTAAATTGTGAAGAATTGAAATAAATATGTAGGCTAAATGAGACAGACATGTGGCACCCATACATACAAATATAACGAGGAAATCACAGAACCAAGTTTTCAAACTTGGCCTAGATAAAAGACTAGGCCAAGTTAACCATGGAAACATATTATTTGTAAATTTTCATTTCATCAGGATTACACACATGCACATAGACACACACACAAACCCATACACACACGTTCAACCATTGCCCTTTGCCCATCATTGGCAGTTAGGACCACTTCACCGTATACCAGTTCATTTATCTCATTCCAAAGCCTGAGTCCTACTCTGACCTCAGCAAAGCACAGCATAAGTAGTTCTAGGTTAATAAATAATCAATAATATGGATAATTATGTAGGAACTCTTCAATGTGTTATGGTCAGACAACCGAAAATACAGTTAGTTTGTGAGAGTTAGTCTTTAAAATATACGAGCATGTGATTAGTAAGATTAGTGACTTTTCTAGAAAGCATATAGATCTGTACTCAAATCTTTGCTCCCACATTCCATGTTGGTGACCCTGGGTAAATTAAACAGTCCATTTTGGACTTCATATGTTTAATATATAGAGTACAGGTATACATTTCATACAAATATATCAATACATAATAGTTATCCCATGAAGATTTTGTGGAATTTAATTAATTAATTTACCTAGCATGCTCATTACAGTCTATAACACATAGTGTGTGCTCAACAGGTTTTCTCTCTTAAGGCCTGATGGCTTCCTAATCAAGAGAGAGAACAGAGAAAATATCATAGACTTGATTGTGAAAGGTACTATTGCTTTTAAATGGCATAGTCAAATTATTAAAGATAAGTAAAATGAAACTTTAAAGTAAGTAATTTTAAGTAAAGTGAGATAGATAAAGTAAAACTCATGAACAGCAAAGAACTTGACAAGGGGACAGTAAATGTTTGGCTGTTTATCCAGCACAGTTTAGGCAAGAGGTACAATGAAGCCAGGGATATGAATGTTTTGCTGTGGGGTAATGATAGCACATCTGGCTTTTTCAGTGGACTGGAAAAAGCTTACATCCACATGACATCATGACATCCTTGATTCCTCCGTTTCCCGCACATGCCACATGCAAACCATCAGCAAACCGGTTTTCATCCCTTCTACCTGCATTATTCTAGTCCAAGCCAGTAGTATCATCACAACTTCTAGATTGGCTCAGGTTATTCTTAATGCAGCCACCGGAGCTGTCCTTTTAAAATGTATGTTAGATCGTATCATTCCTCTGCAATAACCCTTCAGTGGTTTCTCATCTTACTCCGTAAAAAGCCAACATTCTTTACAGTAGCATACAAGCCCCTTTTAAACCTGGCTGCTTTGTTACCAATGTTTCCTCATTCTCTACCAGTTTCTTGTCCATTTTGCTTCAGCTATGATGGTCTCCCTGCACACTCTTGCCCTAGAGTTTCTGCACTCGCTGTTCCTTTCATCTAAAACATTCTTCCCTGAATACCTCGTGGCTTCTCATTTACTACAGGTCTGAACTGAGATGTCATTTTGATAAGTCTCTATAAATAGCATCCAGCCTGCCCTGATAATAGACACTGTAATTTCCTCCTCTGACTTTTTCCCCTCTGTTGTATTTATCTTCTTCTGACATAATACATATTTATTTGTTTTTTTTTGTTATATGTATCTCTACCTGTCCCCCACGCATGCCTTCACAAGGTAAGTTCTATTATGCCAGGGACTTTGCATTGTTTATGATTATATACTTAATACCCAAAAGAGTTCCTGGCTAAACGTAGGTGTTTACTAAATGTTTGTAAAATTAATGAATTGAGATTATACAACGCTCTTTATTCTGATGACACGTTCTAAGAGCAATATTACAATTATTTTTTCCTTCTTTCCAAATACCATAATGTAGGAAAGGGGCACAGTATACTCCTGGCGCAATTAATCACAGGAAAAGAACACATCTTTTTTAAAAATATAAATTAGTACATTAACAAAAAGATTGCAAGAGGAGGGAAAACAAATGCAAAACATCCATTTGATGAATTGGTGGAGGAATTTCAAGATCAAGATCTGATGATATTTGACTAATGAAATTTTTTTCTTAAAATATAAAAAGGAACATCCAACACTTTCCCATAAAGTTACTTGAGTAGAAAGTTCATAAATCAGATTTTCATAATGAATTCAGTCTATCCTTTCAACCTTAGCAAGGTTATATCTAATTATTCCTAGAGTGATTAGTATGTATTATTTTTAGGATTCTCTTATTATCTTTTATATCTTATATATCTTTTCTAAAAGATGTAACCATTAGAATTTTAAAACTTACATGTATGACGTCAGTATCCTTAGGAGGACATGTATTTGGATGCACAATGACTTTCATAAATCACATAATAATAATCACTAAATGTGTTTCAGTCTTACCAAAGTTCTTAAATGTTTATTATTAGCACTTTCGATACCATCTGGCTTATTAACTCCCTGCTATATACCTTGCTTAATTTGTTTTTTGGGTTATAGATATAATATTAAGTAGATAAGATGAGAATAATTGAGAACTGGTTCTTAATTATGTTCATGAATGACAGAATTTACCTTTGGTATGCCTATTTCATACAGCGAAAACTGATGGGAAGGACTGGAAAAAAAAATCTCAGGGGAGGTTGGCTTTTGTGTCAACTTCCCCAAGGGGTGACTACATCTCGATTAATTTTGTTGCTGCTACACTTCTGTGGAGTTCAGGAAATTACTGCCCCTAGAAACGAATATCTGAGATCAGGTAAGATATTGGCTAGCGGATTTTCTAAAGAATAAAGGCCAAACTTTCTAATTTACTCAGTGCACAGGATTCGCACTTTTCTAGGTATTTTGTAAGAAACAAGTAAAATACATAAGCTACTATTTAAAGACATCTTCACTGTATAAAATTAAAAGCATCTGCTATTTATATTAGCAGACTTTTCATTGTTAAGGGGGCTTCATTTTCTTCAAGATTCTCTAACTACCTCTCAAATATATATTAAACAGATTTGCAATGTTTTAGTACTGCATACTTGCATGCCAAATACAGAAATATATTAAATGTAACCCATGTACTAGATAGTAGTTTAGGAACTTTATATCTATTAGTTCATTGAAAATACACACACACAAACACACGTGCACACACAAAAAGTAAAGAAGAGGGATTGAAGCTCAGAAATTAAATAGTATGCTCAAGGTCACAGAATCAGTGTGTTCAGAGAAGGTATTTGTGCTTTGATCTTCTGGCTCAAAAAATCCTGTAGTATTTCTCCTATATCATATAGATTTAGATCTTTTGATGATCTAAAATGGAATAAATACATTCACACATATTTCAATATTATATTAATCTTGCTAGTATTTTCAGTTATTATTTACCTATGTCCTATCATGTCCTTGCAAACAGTATCCTTGCTTTACCTGGGGAAAAGTAATTGTCAAAGTTAGTTGCTAATGATATCATTTCTTGCTTGTTCTACTTCTGAGTTATTTTTATCTTGTGGTTTATTTATTTTGGCACAGCAAGATTCACAGCTTCCTCCACAATTTCATAAAATGTTTCTTGCTTCATAACCTTGTTGGCTGCCCTAATTGCAATGTTCCTTTAAAATAAAGTTAATTTGGACCTTTATTTAAGTACTCGTAAAGGTTTTTGTTTAATCTCATATGCTTTAACCACATATAAAATAGAGTATATTTCTGAGTGTAATGCACAATCATTTTCATGGAGACTACTATATCCTAAGGTTTTGGCTTCAGATAATGTCTAGTACATATTTTTGATTAGTTTCTACATTGGATTGAAATAATTTATTTTTATAGTAGCAGAAAACATTTCACTCTATGAATTTCAATTTTCATTGCTTGTGTGTGTATATATATATATATATATATATATATTTATTTATTTATTTATTTATTTTTTTTTTTTGAGACAGAGTTTCACTATTGTTGCCCAGGCTGGAGTGCAATGGTGTGATCTCGGCTTACCGCAACCTCTGCCTCCCGGGTTCAGGCAATTCTCCTGCCTCTGCCTCCTGAGTAGCTGGGATTACAGGCTTGCACCACCATGCCCAGCCAATTTTGTATTTTTATTAGAGACCGGGTTTCTCCATGTTGGTGAGTCTGGTCTTGAACTCCCGACCTCAGGTGATCCACCTGCCTTGGCTTCCCAAAGTGCTGGGATTACAGGCGTGAACCACCATGCCCGGCCCATTGCTCTATTTTTGAAAATGCTAGTTAAGCAGAATTTATTACAGCAGCCATATGGTCATACTTGACATACCTGTTTAACACTTGTATTTTATACAAATGACTATCCACCTTTGGAGGATACTGCTCCATCATCCATTCAGCAAATGTTTGTTGAGTGTCTGCAATAATGAAAATTGTGGGAAGTTTTGGGAAAGTAAAGATAAATAATAAAGATCTACCCTCTCAAGGCTTATGGTATAATGAAGATGTATGTATGTTAAATATTGCAATGCGGTGTTAAGTCCATTTCAGGTCATCATACAGGGTGTTGTGGGTTTACAGAACAATTGAGAAGAACAGCAAATGCAGGAGAAAATTGATGTGTAGAATGCCAGATGTCTGAAACAGAATTTTGATGTCAGGAATCTGCAATTTCCTTTCACTACAGTGAAAGTTGCATGTGCGTAAATGGGAGACTTGACTAGAGCTCCAGAACCTAAAGCATAAAATTTAAATTTTTATAAAAGCTAGGAAAAGCTAAATATACTATCTATGGGTTTACTTGAAAACTTTTATATGTATGGTAGAAGGACTGATTTCCCAGTGTGGTTAGCTTTTTGATGATTAATCTATAATAAATATCTGAACTTTCCAATTCTCTCACTGTACACTTGGCTAGCTCTATCAACTACATGAGGCCTAATTAGAAATACCAAATTTATTTTAATACTAACTGCTGCAATTGGGATTTAAAATAAAAATTTGGAGACTTGAGCTCCAATAATTTACTACTACATGGATTAAGGAAAGGATATGTGTCAGACACCATCTTGGGAATTTATAAACATTTTTATTTCATTCTTACCACCGTTCAGGATACTGGCACTATTATCTTCATTGCGTGGGTATGGAGGTTTTCTCAAGCAATTAAGTGTAAGTATCTTCACCAGGTTTGCAAAAGTAATAGGTGACAGAAGAGTCTTAATCCAGGTGTGCTTGATTCAGAGTCTGCACTTTATATCCCTCTTTCCTTCCATCCCCAGTAAGCCTAATTACTTCTGCAAAGTCATAAATTTTATTACATCAATAGTTCTTCAAAATGTAATTCCTAGATCAGCATCATTTGGGGACATTTAGACATACAAATCCCTGGGCCATATCTCAGACCTACAGAATAAAAAACTCTGGAAGTGGAATCTATCAATGAGAGTTTTACAAATCCCTCTAGCTTACTCTCGTGCAAAACAAAATTTGAGAACTACTGTATCAGGGTTTTACATTGTGTTTCTCAACCCTGACTATACATTGGAATCATCTCAAAGGCCTGAAAAATACCAGTACCATGGCAACCACCTCAGAGATTATGATTTATAATTATTCGGAAACGAGAAATGTGTGTGTGTGTGTGTATGTGGATAAACACACACGACACAAACATACACATATACATACATTTTCCAAGGTGATCTTAAATGTGTATTTAAAATTGAGAAACACTATGGCATATCAGTGCTTCTCAAGTTTAGTGTGTATTTAAAGCACCTGGGGATCTTGTTAAAATGCATATTCTGGTTCAATGCATCTGGCTGAAGCTGATATTCTGTAATTTTGATGCTGAAATTCCACAATTCTAAAAACCTACCAGATAATGGTCATTCTGCTGGTCCACAGTACACACTGAATAGTAAAGTATTATATTTAACATGCCACTCACTGTAACTGAAATATATGATTTTTGAAATCTTTCAATTCATTGCCAAAAGGAGGCAATATTGCTTTGTCTATGAGTGTGGGCTGTGTTGTTAAAATGGGTTTGAGATTTTGCTTCACTGGGGATTAGTTGTATAACCATAAGCAAATTTTTTACTCTCTCCGTTTCTCAGTTTCTTTATTTTTAAAGTAATTTTCAAAGTTAGTTTTTAATGATAATAATGGTAACTACCATAATAATTTTCTGAATATTTAATAAATAAATCAATAAAAATGATTATTACAGTGTCTGCCATTTCATAAGTGGTTAATAATTCATTATTATTTTTATTAATAGTATCATTATAAACTTTTCATTTCTAGTTTGACCTTCATTAGAGCAATTCAATACTGACATATGTTCTTATATTAAGAACAAGATTATACTGAAAAATTACAAACATAATTGAATTAAAAAAAGGAGAAAGCCACAAAACATTTATTTATTCTCAGCACCAAAATGTTAGACACTCAAGCGGAAGTATAACATTCAACAATGCATATTTTGCAAAACAATGTAATTTGCTACTAGGTACAGCAATTTTAATCACCCTACTAGAGCTTTAACAAATTTAATATAACTCTTGTGACCTGTTTAGATATGTAATCTGTTCTAAAACTACTTAAGTCTGGAGACACATGGCTTTTAGCAGAACTATTCTTTGATCCAAGTGCTTCCCTATTATAAAGGATTTCTTAAGCATTTCTCCACAACCAGTGGTCCAAAACAATATTAATAAAAGTTTGTTGAATATAATAACTAATTAAATTCATAGTTTCTGATTTTAACAGACCCCAAATTGCTTTATATTTTCTATTAGAGAGTTTGACCTACTTAGTAGATTAGAGAACTTTGTCATCTGAATGATATTCCTGCCTGACAGCAGGAATTCACATTCCTTGAGGACTTACCTTAAGTAGGACTCATTAGTCCTCTGTAGTCCAGTGCCCCAGCTGCCTATGCTGAAGACAAAAGGGTAGCCAATTTAATTAACCACAGCCTCGAGGAGCATAATTCATTATCAATTTTTCCAAGTAATTTAAGACTGTATCAATGCTCCCAATGAAAGGATAGATGGAGCCAAGTGGTCTAATAAAGAAAGAAATCCCTTAAATCTAATTGCTCTTTTGACTATTTAATTGAAGGTAAAATTAGAGGCCATGACAAGACCACAAAACATATCATCAGAGTAGAGAGACCTATATTTCTTTTATGTGATAAGAAGTCAATAAAGTACACAACCAAGCTTTGTGGGGAGAACTGTCTGTGACTCATTGTACAAAATACTGTAGCCTTTCTACTGCCCTTAGCTTATGTAACTAATTTCGTAGCAAATGAACAACAGTTGAAAAAAAAATAAATACATAAATAAATAAAAATGAATTCTAAAAAAAAAAAATTGAAACATTTATGTTCATGTTATTTACAATAATTGACACAAATCAATAGCTAGAAATAGCTTCTCAATGACTAATTTAATTTGCTTACTCGAATATTAAGTGCCTACCTCGTGCTGTGTTAAACAAAGAGAAGGCTAAGTAAAATATTTTTATGCCTTTGAAATGCTGACACTTTACTAAGTGATGAGAGGTAATCATATATAAAATGATATGGTTAAAAATAAGAGAAATGATAAAGTTATAAGGATTGTGAGAATTGTAGGGGAGACAACTTATATAAAGTGAAAATTATTTGAGTAGGGCCTGAAACAAATATTTATAATTTACAAGGGAGAAGATATGTAAAAGAGATGGCTGAACACAGGGAATACAATGCCCCTAACTTTTCTTCTTCGAACGGCTGGAGAATGAATGGGAGTAAGATAGATAGAAAATTAGACTGTTGACACCAACTACACCCTGATTTTATGGATCATGTGCTTGAATGTGTTCTTTCCATCAGTTAGTTCATTCTATTCCCTCAACAGATATTAAGGTATGCAATCTTATCTTCACCTTGATGAACTGAGAATTAATTTGAGAAGGTATGTGGAATGCCCAATGCCATTTTCTTGATCAGTGGAATCCCAAGGCTTAACTCACAGGACTTTCTGCTTCAAGCCTGCAAATCTTTTTATATACCATACTAGCAAGAACTTGTATGTCATATTAGGTGGAATGGAATACATTCCATAGACTACTATTAATACATTTTAATTAGGAGATCCATGATTATACTTGATTTTAACCAACATACACACACACACACACACACACACACACATAACAAAAATGACAAAACTAGAAATCTAGCAACAGATTAAATATTGAATGGAAATGGTGTTGATTTTTAAAGGTGTATGGTTTTTAAAAAATACATTGCTCTTGTCATCATGAAACCAGCATTGAATAAGCAAGAAAGACATAAAGCAAAGAGATGCTCTAGTCAGTACATTTTCATATAAGTCTCATTGACTTAAGAGAGCAGTAACAATAACATGCTGTGTGTTACTCAACTAAGTAGAAGTATAACAACAGCTTTTGGAAATTCAAGCACAATTTTCAAACACCTCAAAAGAAAGTGCTAGGAATACATCAGAAGAAGGAATTAAGTTTTGCTGCTTGTTTTCTAATAAATAACAAACTCTGTAATTTTCCTAAAGTAACTAGTAAGTAAGATTTGAGGGCCTATATTGATTTTCATCTACAGTTCACTAACTCTTTGAAACTAGATGTGATTATTTCAAATTGGGGCATCAAATCTCAAAAATATCTGCGTGCATGGTCTGACAGAAACGTAATAATATAAACGATTAGGAAAAACTAGTTCTGACAAGCTCCTCAACTCAAGAAATTCCAGTTTATTTATACTGAGCTCTGCTTCCTCCTCAATCCATATGCCACTGAAATGTGTGTTATCTCTCTCAACTCTCCAACCTAATGTACAAGCATCTGTTTCTATAATTACAAAAATTTAGCAGTAATCGTATGGAGTTGTATAGTCAATAATATTAAATTCTTGCTACAGTAACTTGAAGATTGATTAGATAACTGTATTTTTGAATATACAGTGGCTATGACTTCACTAGATAAAAACAGAAAACATGGGTTTAGAATCATAAAAATAGAGGAAAATATTTAAATAAGGTAGTTGAGTGGAGAACACTAAACAAAGGTGGAAATTCTAAATATTTTCAAAGATGGAATCTGAATTTAAAGGGGCCTTAGTTATCTATCATTATATAGTAAATTACACCAAACTTAGCAGCTTAAAACTACCCATCTTTATTGTCTCATAATTTCTGTGTGTCAGGAATCTGGGTACTGTTTACCTAGGTCCTCTAGCTCAGGGTCTCTCACAGGCTGCCATCAGGTAGAGGCCAGGCCATAGTCATCTCAAGTCTCAACTGGAAAGGGCTCTGCTTCCAAGCGCCTGTGGCAGGATTAAGTTCCTCATGTATCTCTTCAACATAGCAGCCTGCCTTATTAAAACATGCCATCCATGAGTGCAATAAAGTCTCCAGCATTACAGAAGTCAGTAACCTAACCATGAAAGTGATGTTCTATTATTTTTGCTGTATTCCTTTGTTTAAAAGGAAGTCACTAGGTTTATCCTATGCTCAAGGTATGAATAAAATTAAGGAAGGGAACCAGCTTATAGTCTACCTACTACAGTGCTTTTGTGTATATCTATGTTGTAAGAACTCTCTAGAGACTATAAATACCTACTGGTATAATTTTGGTATTGAAAAGCAGAAATACTGTAAATTACCACTTACCAATAAAAAATCCAAATTGTTGTTTGAACTTTTAAATGTAAAAATATTTGCGTGTGTGTGTATTTTATATATATATATATATTTAATCTGATACTTATCAATTATAAGAATTTAGAGTTTTTTTCATTTTTGTAATTTTAACAGCAATGAAAACATAGAATTACCTTAAAGTTGTAGTTATTTGAAAATTGCAAGGCCAGACGTGGTGGCTCGTGCCTGTAATGCCAACATTTTGGGAGGCTGAGGTGGGTAGATCACGAGGTGGGGAGTTCGAGACCAGCCTGGCCAAAATAGTTAAACCCCATCTCTACTAAAAATACAAAAATTAGCTGGGTGTGTTGACGTGTGCCTGTGCTCCCAGCTACTTGGGAGGCTGAGGCAGGAGAATTGCTTGAACCTGGGAGGTGGAGGTTGTGGTGAGCCGAGATTGTGCCACTGCATTCCAGCCTGGGCAACAGAGTGAGACTGTGTCTTAAAAAATAAATTAAAAAAAAGTAAAAAAAAGAAAATTGCAGAGATGGATATTTGTGATTATTTATTACGCCTTTATGCATTGCTATAAAAAATCTGTGACTGGATAATTTATAAAGAAAAGAGGTTTAATTGGCTCAAGATTCTGCAGGTTGTACAAGTATGGCACTGACCTCACTTGGCTTCTGGGGAGGCCTCAGGGAGTTTTCATTCATGGCAGAAGGTGAAGTGGGGCAAGCACATCACATGATGAGAGCATGAGCAAGAGAGAGAGAGAGAGAGAGAGACAGGTTGGAGGTCCTGCCCACTCTTAAAGGACCAGATTTCACAGGAACCCACAATTACAAAGACAGCACCAAGCTATGAGGGATCTCCCTCCATGATCCAAACACCTTCTACCAGACTCCACTTTCAGCATTGGGGATAATAATTCAACAGATTTGGGCAGGCACAGATATCCAAACTATATCATTTATCATCTTATCAAAGCAACTGCAAATGGGATCAAATCTCTTTAAAATTTCATGCATAGGTTAATTAATATTACTTTAAAACTACATATATATGTGGATGTGAGAAATATTCAGGGATACATAGTTAAATGTTTGCATGTATTAAACAGAAAATAAATTCCATTGCCTATTACTATGTACCAGAAACTGTTTTATGTGTCTATCAGTAAATAAAACAGAAAAGGTCCCTGTTCTCATTTTACTTGTATCCCAGAGTGGTAATAAGACAAGTGTTGAACAAGTAAAAAGTCAATTGTAGATAGTGATATGAAGAAAGTAAAATAGTCGATGAGGGTGACAGTGGTGGGCAATGCTACTGAAGGAAGTCTGGGTATTGCAGGTCTCTGGGGATAACGGCATTTGAATGGAAATCTGAATGATAGCACTGTTAATATCTGGAGGCTGAGCTTTCTAGAGAGAGGGAAAAACAATTCCAATGATCCTTAAAGCAGAAACGCTACGAGCCTGCTTAAGGACATGAAAGAAGAGTAGTGTGGCTGTACATAGTGATAAGTAAGGGATGTGGAGTAGTCAAAATGAATTTGGAGAAGCCCCAGGGTGTACTTTATAGAGGTTATTGTAGGCTGTGTAAGTATTTTGAAATTTATTCTAATTCAAAGCGGAAGCTATTAGAAAGTTCTTAGGAGGAGAATGGCAAGAACTGGAGACAGCCTTTTAGGAAAATCTTGCTAGCAGAGAACTTGTGTTTTGAAGAGCTGTGAAGTAAAGTAGATATTTGTGAAGACAGAAAAGTCTAGAGCATTTTGTTTAATGATAGAAATGACTCAAGAGAAAACGATGTTCCAGAAGAGAGGTGGCCAACTGCAATTTTGAAGGATGCAGAAAGTAATTTCCTATTACAAGTGGAGAAGTTGGGCTTTAGAGACCCTGAAGGTCAAATCAGTCATTGAAACAAGAAGACAAGTAGAGTGGTGAGGGTGGATATGAGATATTGTTGTAAAATGATAAAATGATAAAATAACTTCTTTTTTTTGCAAGCAAGATATTAGATTTTCAATATTTCCTTATAGGTTGAGATTCTATGATTCTCAGGTGAACATTTCTTTAATTATGCATTCATTGAGATTCTATGACTTGTAAGATTAACATTCCATTATGCTATACATTTTAAAATGGAGGAATAATCTAAACCAGCCATTTGCAAATCTTAGTATACAGCTAGATGCACTATGAGAAATACGAAAATACTCTTTGGTGAATTTTTCATGCAGCAAATTTTTCATTTATTCTGAGATTATGCTCTTTTCACTACTTGTGTCTTAATGCCTTGTTTTTTATTAAATGATGATGATAAAAGACATGAGATATGTTCAAATGTCGTTAATTTGGAAAGGCTTAATAAAGCTGATGTTCATAGATAGAGGGCACAACCCTTCTTTTCTTTTTTATTTCTGAGCATCAAACATTTTTTGCCATAGTGCTTTTTTATTTGGGTTTTAAAGAAAAATAAAATTAAATATTTAGCTTCTTTTGTAGAAAATAAAACATTTTGAGATAATATAAATTAAACAGAAAATAATTACTTCATGAGAGAACAAATGAAAAGTAAAAAGTTTAGTTGACTAATTTCAGTGCTTCCATTATAACTTGGTTGTTCAGAGAGGCCATTCTAGGTTCTCATTTTTAAGCATTTAAAGCATCAGTCATTGAAGAAATAAGACAACTGTCACACTTTAGCTACCTTTTCCAGCACATGAAATTTATCTTACTACCTAAAACTGATTACTTGTCAATAATGTAATTCATCTGTGTGTCTGTTTAAAAATCAAGAAATGGAAACATGCTATCTTAAAAGGAAATGTTTTATTTTCCTTTTCTATGAAAAAAAATGCAGGGTAAGTAAATACCCTAGAAACGATTAGTATGTGTCTATGTATATTAGAATAGAAAACTATCAACTCAGGGTGTCCCATGTATTTAAAACACCCCACTAAGAAAAAAAAGACGTATGATTATTGATATAGTTTGGATTTTTGTTCCTTCTAAATGTCATGTGGAAATGAGATCCCCAACGTTGGAGGTGGGGCCTAATGGAAAGTGTTTAGGTCATGGGACAGATCCCTCATGAATGGCTTGGTGCCTTCCCTGTGGTAGTAAGTTCTCCTTCTATTAGTTCACGTGAGAGCTGGTTGTTTAAAAGAGCATGGCACCTCTCCTCTCTCTCCTGCTGCCTCTTTTCTCTCCATGTGATATCTGCTTCCCTTGCATTCCACCATGATTGGAAGCTCCCTGAGGTGTTCACCAAAAGCAGATGCTAATGCCGTGCTTCTTGTACAGTCTACAAAACTGTAAGCAAACAAACCTCTTTTCTCTATAAATTACCCAGCATCAGGTATTCCTGTACAGCAACACAAAACAGACAAAGACATTATCTTTCTACTCATTTATCTTTGCAGCTGGATACCTAATATGTGCTATGTATGTATGCATGTGTAAATGTATCCTCTCTCTCTCCTTCTGTCCCCCATATGTGTGTGCGTGTTATGTGTTTGTGTGTGTGTATATATATAATATTTTGTGTACCAGGCACCATTTTAAGCACCCTCCAAATAATAATTTTCCAAATATGTAGGTTAAAATCTATATTAACTTTATTGTAATAATTTCTGAAATTGTAATTAAGAAAATAACAATAGAAAAATGAAATATAAAATAATTGTAATGTCATGCTGGTGCTTTCACTTATAATTTACACATCACTTTTAATGATTACTGTGAGTCAAACCTCCTTTTTGGGAAAACTAATGAGATTATGCTGTAATCTCTTTAATAGTCTCCTAAATGTAAATAACATTTTCTGCAATTAAATCCAAGAATGTCCAACTACTCACTTGCATCTCAAGTCCAAACCATTTATTTATATAGTGACATCTGAAATTTTATTGCTGCTTCTCTACTTCTGTGAAAGCATTGCATTGTGACCAATGAATTAGGCTCAAGATGTCAGATTTATTTTAATTAATAATGGCCAACATTTATTGGAAATCTGTTATATCTCAGTCATTTTCCCCATCCATTATTTTAGTCAATTTTTACAACATCAAAGGTAATTACCATTATTTATTTGCTTTACTCAATTGAGAAAGTAAGACTGCAGAAGTTCAGGGACTAGGTAGAGGCATAGGGCTACCCCATGATGGAGTCAGGAGTTGAACTAGGTTCTTTTGGTTCCTAAGCCCCAAATTCATTTCAAAATAATACATGCTGCAGCTGAAGAGAAAATGGTTACTGGTATTTCAGAAAGCAAATGTTTTATGTTGTTCCCTCTTTTGGAAGTCAATAAAAACTTCTGCTAAACAGCAGTCATTGAGAACATATTATGGATAAAGATCCATGGCTTCTGAGTACTATTAAAATAAACATTTCCAACAAATTAACAAACATCTCTCAAAACCAACATATTTTTCCTTCATTATTGTTACCTATCAGATGTTTCTCAGGCTTCCTTGGGGTACATGCAGGAAGAGATTCAGATTTTTTTTATATGTCAAAGAAAATCAGTTAATTCATTTCAAAACAGGTATTGTAAAATTTATCCCAGCCATTCATAAACTTTTTAATTTCTTTTTAATTTCTATTCTAAAATTATGACTAATTATTGTATTCCAGATTTGTGTATCTTAAGTTTGATTTTCAGAGATCACGAGTAGATGATATTAAAAATAAAAAAATTATTTGTTTCTAAAAAGTCAGGAAATCATTTGATCTGACACATTTGTTTTACTAGTATTTCATTATTTAATACTGACTAGATTTCCTTTTGTTATTTTCCATCCTAACAGTATTTCTTTCAAACTTTCTCATTTTCTCCCTTCCCTTCCCTTCCCTTCCCTCCCCTCCCCTCCCCTCCCCTGCACTCCACTCCCCTTCCCTCCCCTCCCCTTCCTGTCCTTTGTCTTTCTTTCTTTCAACGTGAGTGCTACCATAAATATATATTTTGCTTACACATTTCACATTAAATTTCTTCACCTTTTCCAGCAGAGAAGGTGGCCACATGAAAAAATAGAAAGGACACCATACTGGAAACCAAAATATCTAGGTTCTACACTTGTGTTAAACAAACAGTGCAAATTAAATTATAATCTTTAGTATCTTGGCCTCCATTTGGTCATTTCCTCAATGAAATAGTAATCTGTCCTTATTTCTGGAATGGTAAGGATGAAATTGTACAAATAAAAGACAGAGAGGTGGAAATACTGGCATTTGTAAAATGTTGGAAGTGCCTATATTTTAGAGGTATTATTAAGAAAACATTTCCTATGTCTGAAATTATTCCATCTGCTTGAATCACTCTGTAGGAAATGGTATTATAACTACAAACAGTAAATTCCTCCTTGTCCTTGTCCTCTTTCATAGAATATACCTCTCTTCAACTAAAGGAAATTACTTAGAAACTACATTTTTTGTCATGGTTTTACTCAAAATCTCTTTTCAATGTAATAGACTTAACATTTAAAATTCTTTAGAAATGTACAGATTCTAGTGATTCTGGAATAAATATAAATTGCAGTAGTACTGGGATATAATTTTCCCTTTGAACACAGATATTAACAATTCTTTTTAAAATAGTGATTTTCTTCAACAATGCAAGATTTTTTTCTTTTCTTTTCAAGGAAGAAAAGTGGTAGATAAGCATAGTATAATTTTTAAGACATAATGATGTGGACCATTACTGCCAATTTCTGTGCTTAGATAGTATGGCGACACTGATCTAAAAAGTAAAACCACCTAATAAAAAATACATGAATACATTTTATAGGTTTTCTTCCTACTTTCATTAAGGTTTTAGTATATTCATATAAAGTATTGAATTTAAGCAGTTTGCATAAGATAGCATGATTCTTGTTTTTGTTTTGCATATTTTGGTTTGGTTTGGTAAAGAGATATTTAATTTTAGTAAAGTTAATAGCATCATTTTTCTTTGGAATAAGTTAGAGTCAGCCAATTTTTTATCAGTGTTATTGAGCAAGTTTTCTATACAAAGAACTGATTTAGGTGATTGAGATAAATCGGTGAACAAAACAGACAAAGATTTCTATATTTGTGGAATATACATTGGTCAGGGGAAGCAGATAAGAAAAACAAACACTAAAAAATATAAATGTCAGAACCTCGAAGGTACTGTTGATTAAAGGTTGTTTAGAGCAAAATAGGGAGATCAGGGATACCTGAAAAAGGGTGGAAAGGTGAAGATTTACACTGGCCTAAATTTCCTATTCAATCTGGCTGCTGGTAAATCAATATAATCTTCATCTATATTAGCTATGGTAACAACAGCTACTCTAACAGAAACGTCTCTAATTTCAATGATAATGTTAGCATAATTGGATTTATTTCTTACTCATGCAAATTCCAAAATATATTTCTTGGTAAATAAGAGCTTCTCTTTCAAGTAGTAATTCATTCCAAACTTCTGCCATCTTGTGCTCTGCCATCTTCAAGCCTGTGGCTTCTTAGGTTGTGAGTTCCTCTGCTTCAAGTCAGAAGCAACATATGAGTATTTCCGAGTAGGAGCATTGACAGCTACCTTGGGAGTACACATATCACTATAACTGCATTTCACTGGCTCAGACTCGCTGTAAGATGACTTCTATAGAGGCTTGAAAACTGCTCTGTATGCCTAGAAAAGAAGAGGAAAATAGCTGGGTAATCAAGTTGCCCTGTTTAAAATGATTATCACCCATCACTCCCTCTCTCTTACTTGAGCCATACTAACTTCTTTGTTGTTTTTAGTGTACTCAGATGCATTCCTGCAAGAACTTTGCATTGACAATTCTAAATGCCAGATTACTTTTCTGTAAATATATATCTACATGGCTCCCTCCCTTGCTTCATTCCTGCCATAGATCAAGGGCTACTATACTACAGAGGTCTTCCCTCACACGTTATCATTTTACTCTCTCCTTTTTCTGTTTTACTGTTTTCCAAATATGTATACACACACACACACACACATATACACACATACACACACACTTATGATACATAAATTATATAATGTGTGTGTAATACATACATAATTAACATATAGTATTTGTTTTAAATAAATAATGTGTCTCTGTTTTTATTTCTATCCAGTAATTTCTGCTTTGGAAAGTTAAATATTAGATTGAAAGGTTATATTCTGCTTAATTTGCCTGAATATGTGTATCTTCCTAGAATATGTATTTATTTTCTGTGTCCTTTACTTAGCAAAAAGCTATATGAGTTTGGATTTTTACATTATTTCATCACAGTATCACCAGCATAAAAAATAAATGTCTGTACCACATCACAGGTGCTCATTAAGTATGTGTTGAATGAATGAATGTGTGAATATCTCTATAACGAAATTTATTCTATTTGTGTTTTTATATCTATATCTCTCAATAGGCTTCCTGAAGGCAAAAAATTTATCCAACTATTTTCTCCTATACTTCCAGAATACAGCTGTTTTCCTAATATGTGGAAGGTGCATGATAAACATTGGATGAAGTGATGAAGGAATTAAAAAAAAATCACACAAGGAAAGTGATGCTGGGACAGTTGAATACATTTTCCATCACAGCAATGCATAGAAACCATGTCTTTACTCATGTTGGTCTCACTTTAAAACTCATATATTGTATTCTCTATCAGATTGTTTCCAAGCACTTACAAGTCTCTTATCTTTGTGTTGCTAAATGCAATAAGGCTTCTCTCTTCATCAGTACAATAACCATAATTTGACATTCTTACTTTATGTATAATACATTCAATTGAACAATATGTATTGAGTTATAAAGTATGAGTGTGGCATATATCCTAAATGAGGATTTGAATGAAACTAGAATATCTTTATCTTTGAAAAGAAAATGTATTCATGTAAACCAATAAGTCATTATTTTTAGCCAACAAGAGAGAATGTGCCCATATTTTATGATATTCAAAAATATGCTAGCATTTCTTATCCAGTCTCATTATTTCCTTTATGATAAGGCATTCCACTTTCATTTACTTTATTAGAGTATTTTAAATTATTGCATAACATGCCTTAGCCCACTTGTAACATAAATAGAATAGTTACATTTGATTATCACTGTTTGGGATTGGATTTTCTGGAGAATTGGAAAAACATCTGTGTCTTAATTTTTATCCCTAATTTATGTCATTTTGACCTTCACTGCACTTTTAATATCATCTTATCTTTCTAAGGTACAAAATGCTGTGACCTTTTATTACAAAAGAAAAAAATAAAGTAACTTATTTGAAATGAAATAGAGAACCTCAATTTGTTAAATTCAATACCAAGAGAGCACATATGACTCATTCAGGGCATAAGAACTTTAAATTGCCCAAGAACAGGAATCATAATATAATACTTAATACTAATGAAGAGGGTATGATTGTGACTGGCTTTTATAAGTAATTCAGGATACGTTTAGTGTAAGTTCTTGAAAATGATATCTATCTTTAGAAAAATTAGCCCTTAAATATCTAGTGTCTTAATTTTCTAAAATAAAAAAAAAATTAAACACAACCTGGAAATAATCAAGGCAGTAGACAGTCCTTTTAAGCTTTGTGGATTTGGTGTCCCTATTTCTGTAACCTAAATTATTTTAACCATTTTATACCATTGTTCTGAGACTAATTTAATATAGTCATGTGTGCTGGCTAATTTTATGTGTCAATTTGGCTGGGCTATGGTGCCTACATATATGGTTATTCTGTATGATTATGTGAGGGTGTTTTTGGATAATATTTACATTTAAATCAGGGGACTCTGAGTTAAGCAATTTGCCTTCCATAACATGGGTAGGTATCATTCATTCAGTTGGAGTCTGACCTACCCTGAGGGAGAGTATGGAATACCACTAGCAGACTATTTTTGGACTTTACCTGCAACACTGGCTTTTCCTGGTTTGCTATGGGTCTGTATATGGGTCTGTAGACTTGGAGTGCAACTCTATCTTTATTCTCCAGCCTGCCAATCTCCTTCTCCCATCAGATTTTGCATTTGCCAAGACTTCATGATTGTGTGACTCCATTCCTTAGAACAAATCTCTTTACATATTTATATACACCCTATTGATTCTGTTTCTTTTAAGAAACCTTACAAATATACCACATAAAGTATTAATTTTGAAATTTGTTAACATAATCTTTTCTCAATACTTAAATAACTGTTTGAAAAATTTTAAAAAATACATCAAACTCATCTAATGGAATCAAGCCAGGAATGGCGGCTCATGCTTATAATCCCAGTACTTTGGGAGGCTGAGGCAAGAGGATTAATTGAGGGCAGGAGTTTGCAACCAGCTTGGGCAACATAGTGAGACCTAGTCCCATTTACTAGGGAAGCTGAGGTGGGAGAATTGCTTAAGCCCAGAAGTTAGAGGCTGTAGTGAGCTTATCATGGTGCCACTGCACTCCAGACTTGGTGACAGAGCAAGACTGTGTTTCTAAATATACACATAGATGGCTATAAAAATTATTCTCTATTATCCAGAAATTAAACATTTCTTAAATTTTAATTCTTTTTCATTGTTAGTAATAGAGAGGAAGTACAGTGTTTGCTTACACTGTGCTAGGCAAAATTATAGCCACATCAACTCTTAGTTTTTTTTGTTTTTTTTTTTTTGAGACAGAGTCTCGCACTGTCGGCCAGGCTGGAGTACAGTGGCGTGATCTCTGCTCACTGCAAGCTCCACCTCCCCGGTTCATGCCATTCTCCTGCCTCAGCCTCCCGAGTAGCTGGGACTACAGGCGCCCGCCACCACGCCCGGCTAATTTTTTGTATTTTTAATAGAGACAAGGTTTCACGGTGTTAGCCAGGATGGTCTTGATCTCCTGACCTGACCTCATGATCTGCCCGCTTCGGCATCCCAAAGTGCTGGTATTACAGGCGTGAGCCACCGTGCCAGGCTGGACTCTTAGTTTTAGCTTATGTTCTCATTTCCCATCATAGGTAACCTCTTTAAAAGACAGTCGTGTTATTTAGTTGTTTCAGAACTACTGATTGTACTGCCACTATTAAAATAATTTTATAAAAACACCTTAACACCTTCTTCATACTTACAAGTTGAGGTTTAACATTTGTATTGTATATTCAATTAATGACAAAGGGTGTAATTTCTATTCAATTTAAAATGTTAATATTTTTAAATAAAATAATTATATTTGTTGTTTAACATATTTTATAGATGTAATTATAATTAGTGATTATAATCTTTTTGAGCTATTTTTTCCATACTTGTTGACTTAGAATTTTATTCTAATGTAATAAATTGTGTGCTTCCATTTATACATTTTCTTCAACAAATACATTTTTTCTTATTTTAAGCCTCTCTATGTTAAAATTTACTCTTTTTGGATTGAGTTAATATTATATTAATTATTAATATATAATTTATCATTATATAGTTAATAAAAATAATAATGTGAATGTACTTATTAAATTTGAATATATTTTTAATTTGATGGGATTTTTTCTTCAATTGGTTCATGTATCAAACTAGATTATAAAGGTTTCACTGTTATTTTACTTTATTTTAAAAAAATTCATATGGGTACAGCAATGCAAGTCAATTATTTTTGTCACCGTCTGAGTTATATACCAAAAATAACACTGTTCTATCATCAAAAATTATTTCGTGATTTTTTAGCTGAAAATTTGATTATTTTTCCTTCAATTTTCTTGAAAGGAAAGAGTTAGAAACCCCCTGCTTTATAAAGTGATTTGTTACTCACTCATTAAAGTCATTCCCTTTCTCACTACTGACACCAATATTTCAAAGTGTTACATTTTTGGCACTCCTGATTGTTTTGCATCCTGGGTAAAATCAAAATTAGGGAATGTGTTAGAGACATATCTTCCTTTTAGAATCTGAGAGAAGGAAATTTGTGACAGTCAGATGTAAAGGACACAATCACAAATGTTTTCTTAGGAGAACTAGCGTTAACAGAGAGGAGCATTGGAAGTGGATATCTCAAAAGCAATGAATGTCTCTTGGAAAATTATTACATACACCCAGTGGAACACTCACCCCATGTTGAAGATGGCAGCTTGTTGACTGAAGTACCCAAAACATCTTAACACTGCTTGTCACTGCTCAATTTGAGAAAAGAATGTGTGACTAATAAACAAATAAAATACAAATGAATAAATGAACAAAAAAACTATTTGAGATTGGTATTACGATTATCCTCATATTTCCAAAGAGGAAAATTAAATTGAAGTTGGGAATTCATCATATTTATTACTGCAGATTAGCTGCTCTAAAATGTTTTGCCATTGTTGTACAAAACATACTTGATTACGCATAAATGATGGTTCCTCTGAGACCTCATGAACGTGACTCCTGCTCTGGAGCTATTCACATAGAATCAACTCCCAATTGATTTGGATAATTAAGGTTACTAGAGGAAATTTCAAATTATAAAAATGTGGTTATTCCTGCACCCCCAGCACACTTGGTGTGAAACTATGATTTATACATGATAGCTATATAGGCAGAAATCTGTACATTGCTTCCATATATATTTTTCCGGTACACATACACACAAATCAAAAATTTTGTTTTCTTTTCTATTAAATATGATGAATACTCATAACTCACACATATATGATTACTGATGTTTATATATCTCAAAATAACATTATATACTATGCAATCATTATATAATATATACACTAAAAAGTATTATTTGAGCCATTCTCTCTACAATGTTGCATAGTATTACCATCTACGTTGTCCTCAAATATAAAATTCTGGAAAAGATTATACAATCTTCTTCCCATGAGCTTCTTTACTAATGATAGTGATTATTTATGTACTTTCTTCATGTTTCATTAAAAAATATATTGGAAAGTATGCATACCAATTCACAATAAGGCAGTTGACTTCTAGTCTTTATATGGAGTGTAATTTTGGCCCACATTACATGTGGAACATAAATTTAGAAATAAATGCAAATATAGATATGTATAGATATGTACTATGCAGGTAGATACATAGTTAGAAACATCATCATTTTGTTGTTGTTGTTGTTTAGAGACTGGGTCTCTCTCTGTCATCCAGGGTGGAGTGCAGTGGTACAATCATAACTCACTGCAGCCTCAAATTACTGGCCTCAAGCGATCCTTACACCTCAGCCTCATAAATAGCTGGGATTACAGGCATGAGCCACCATGCCTGGCTATCATCAGAATTTTTATTTTAGTGCAGGATTTTTATACTGAAAAGCAAACAGATGGTTTATGCAATATCACAGAAATTAATAAGATAGATATGAGGTTGAGGTGGAGACGAGTGAAAAACATTCAATACTGATTGTAATTTTGAATTTCTTCACCCAATATATTCACAAACAGTAACTACAGCTCTATGTGACCAAGTTTATATAGAGATCATAGGAAATATTACCACACATTTCAGAGAAGAGCAAGAATAGCAAGATAACTTTCTTAATGTAGAATTAAAAAGTAAAAACAGAAATATTTTATTCTTAATCCACACTTTAGCGTATCATTCTATTTCTTAGACTATGAACTTGAGATCCAAAATAATGGCTTTAAAAATTTTATTCCACACATATACTCAGTATGTGGTGTTTGAATGAATATATACTGGATATGGTTACTGACTTATTTGCACTATATGGTCTATATAGTATGATTTTATTAACTACATATCGATTTTATTCAGTTAATTTTTATTTAGTTTTACTTGGTGTTTCTCATAATGCTGGAGGTTTATTCAGAAACAAAATTTGATTTAAGTATTTCATTTTTGGGCTTGGTGATATCCAGTCAGTTACACATGTAAGTCATCAGACCAATTAAGTTAAATACATAATCACAGTCTATCCTGCATTATATAAATTGTTTGTTTTACAGTAATATATATTTTTTCTCTTGATCGCTACTTCAACTATACCTTCATTTCTCCTAAAAAGACAAGTTTGGTATTTTTTTTTTTCTGGTACTCATGGATGTGCTTTAGGGAGATATTAAGATTGAGTCTATAAATTTTAGTAATGAGTTTATGGTAATGAAGTTTAAAGGGTCACCTATTCTATATGTGTGTGTGCATGTGATTATATATATACATAAATACATAAACATAAAATATAAAAATATATATGTCTTTAAGTATAACTATTTACTTTATATAAATATATGATAGATGTATATATAAATATAAAAAGTATGTAATTATCTGGTAAATGCCTTCCTAACAAATATTTACTACCTGTAATCATGTTCTTCTCTTAGCGACTATAATCCTAAAATTATAGAAGTTTATTTCTCTCTGTGTTAACATAGTCTAAAACTGAGCTATCAAAGGTCAAATACTTATATGGTAGCTCTATGATCACAAAATTCAGGCATCTTTCTGTGACTGCTGTAGTATTTGACATGTAAGAATTGTGCCTCATGCTTTCAGATGCCTTTCTAAGTTCCAAATATAATGTCCACATTCCATTATTAGAAAGAGAAATATATAAATACGTGTGTAACTTCTTCGTTTAAGAATACATGTGTATAACATTTTTACTTATATTCCACACAGCAGATGGTTCTGCTTGGCCACAGTGAAGGTTTGGATATGAGGTCTTTATTCCATGTATCTCTGTGCCAAGCTAAAATGTGAAGATTTTATTAGAAGAGTTTGCATATTGGTAAAAATGATCAATTTATGGTACTGATTTATAAAAACCAAGTGATCAAAGAATTAAAAAGGAAAATATTTGATATGGATTATAATAGTAGTTTACCATATCTATAATATATAAATATCTGTAAACCTACTGGTGTGAAAATGATATTGAATAAGAAACTGTATTTTTATCTTTATTTTTCTAAATTTTTTTATTTTTAATTTTTGGGCACATAGCAGGCGTCTATATTTTTGAGGTACATGACATATTTTGATACAGGCATGAAATGCATAATAATCACATAGTGGAAAATTAGGTATCCATCCCTAAAAGAACGTCTCATTTCTGTTAGAAATAATACAATTATATTATTTTAGTTATTTAAAAATGTACAACTAAATTATTATTGACTATAATCCCCCCATTGTGCTATTAAATATTATTTCCTATTTATTCTTTCTAAGACTTTCTTTTGTACCCATTAACCAGCCCACCTCTTCCACACCCTACCTCTGCACTTTCCAGCTTTTTTTGGTAACTATTCTTCTATTCTCTTATCTTCAATTGTTTTGATTTTTGGATCTCACAAATAAGTGAGAACATGTGATGTTTCTTTCTGTGACTGGCTTATTTTACTTAACATTATGACCCCCAGTTCCATCCATGTTGTTGCAAATGACAGAATCTCATTCTTTCTTAGGGCTGAATAGTACTTT
Source organism: Homo sapiens (assembly GCF_000001405.40). Classification (NCBI taxonomy): domain Eukaryota; kingdom Metazoa; phylum Chordata; class Mammalia; order Primates; family Hominidae; genus Homo; species Homo sapiens. The sequence goes on from NC_000004.12 coordinate 58,532,542, forward strand.
GTTGTGTATAAATCCCATATTTTCTTTATCCATTCATCTGTTGATGGACACTTAGGTTGTTTCCAAATCTTGTCTATTGTGTACAATGCTGCAACAAACACGAGAGTGCAGATATTGCTTTGATTTTTCACTTCCTTTCTTTTGGGTATATACCCAGCCGTGGGATTGCTGGATAGTATAGTGGCTCTATTTTTAGTTTTTGAGGAAACTCCAAGCTATTTTTCATAGTGGTTGCACTAATTTACTTTCCCACCAACAGTGTATAAGAGTTATTTTCTCCAGTATTTGTTATTGCTTGACTTTTGGATAAAAGCCAGTTTAACTGGGGTGAGGTAATATCTCATTGTAGTTTTGATTCACATTTCTCTGATGATCTATTATGTTGAGGACCTTTTTATGTGCCTGTTTTCCATTTGTATATCTTCTTTTGAGACATGTTTATTCAAATCTTTTGCCCATTTTTAATTGGATTATTAGATTTTTTTTCTAGAGAGTCGTTTGAGCTAGTTATATATTCTTGTTATGAATCCCTTGTCAGAAGGGTAGTTTGCAAATATTTTCTCCATTCTGTGGGTTGTCTCTTCACTTGTTGATTGTTTCCTTTGCTGTGCAGAAGCTTTTTAACTTCATGTGATACCATTTGTCCATTTTAGTATTGCTCAAGAAATTTTTGCCCAGACCAATGTCTTAAGAGATTTCCCCCAATGTTTCTTGTAGTAGCTCATAGCCTGAGGTCTTAGATTTAAGTCTTTAATTGATTGTGGTTTATTTTTTGTATATGGCAAGATATAGGAGTCTAGTTTCATTCTTTTGCGTATGAATATCCAGTTTCCCAGCACCATTTATTGAAGAGACTGTCTTTTCCCCAATGTATGTCCTTGTCAAAAATGAGTTCACTGTAGGTGTGTAGATATGTTTCTGGGTTCTCTATTCTGTTCCATTTATCTATGTGTTTGTTTTTATGCCAATATCATACTGTTTTGGTTTCTATAGCTCTGTAGTAAAATTTGAAGTCAGGTAATGTGATTCCTCCAGTGTTGTCCTTTTTGCTTAGTGTAGCTTTGGCTATCCTGGGTCTTTTACAGTTCTGTATAAATTTTAGGATTATTTTTTCTATTTCTGTGAAGAATGTCATTGGTATTTTGATAGAGATTGCATTGAATTTGTAGAATTTGTAGATAGCTTTGGATAGTATGAACTTTTTTTTTTTTTTTTTTTTTTTTTTTGAGACAGAGTCTCGCTCTGTCACCCAGGCTGGAGTGCAATGGCACAATAGTGGCTCACTGCAACCTCCGCCTCCTGGATTCAAGTGATTCTCCTACCTCAGCCTCCTGAGTAACTGGGATTACAGGTATCTATTATTATGCCTGGCTAAGTTTTGTATTTTTGTAGAGAAGGGGTTTCACCATGTTGGCCTGGCTGGTCTTGAACTCTTGACCTCAGGTGATCCACTCACCTCGGCTTCCCAAAGTGCTGGAATTACAGGAGTGAGCCACCGTGCCCAGCCAGTATGGACATTTTAACAACATTGAAACTTCAAATCCATAAACATGGAATATCTTTTAATTTTTCTGTGTCCTCTTCAATTCTTTTCATCAGTGTTTTATAATTTTCATTGTAGAAATCTCACTTCTGGCTGGGTTCAGTGGCTCATGCCTGTAATTCTGGCATTTTGAGAGGCCAAGGTGGGCAGATCACGAGATCAGGAGTTTGAGACCAGTCTGCCAACATGGTGAAACCCCATCTCTACTAAAAATACAAAAATTAGCCAGGCGTGGTAGTGTGCACCTGTAATCCCAGCTACTTTGGAGACTGAGGCAGGAGAATTGCTTAAACCCTGGAGGTGGAGGTTGCAGTGAGCCAAGATCACACCATTGCACTCCAGCCTAAGAAATTTGGTTATTTCCTAGGTGTTTATTTAATTTTTGGCTAATGTAAATGTGATTACTTTTTAAATTTATTTTTTACATTGTTCACTGTTGACATATAGAAATGCCACCAATTATTGTGTGCTAATTTTGTATACTGCAACTTTGCTAAATTTATTTATCAGTTTGAATAGTTTTTTGGAGGAATACTTAGGTTTTTCCAAATATAAGTTCCTATCCTCTGCAAAGAAGAATAATTCTTCTTCCTTTCCAATTTTGATGTTCTTTATTTATTTCTCTTGTCTGGCTGCTGTAGCAAGGACTTCTAGTACTATATTGAATGACAGTGGTGACAGTGAATATCCTGTCATGTTCCAGATCTTAGAGAAAAGGCTTTCAGTTTTCCCCTGATTCAGTAGGATACTAGCTGTAGTTTGTCATATATGGCTTTTATTATGTTGAGGTATGTTCCTTCTATCCACAGTTTTTTGAGGATTTTTATCATGAAGATGTTGACTTTTATCAAATGGCTTTCCAACATCAATTGAAATAATCATGCTGATTTTGTTCTTCATTCTGTTGATATGTTTCCCATTGATTGATTTTCATATGTTGAACCATCCTTGAATTCCTGGGATAAATGTCAGTTGGTCATGATGAATAATATTTTTAATGTATTGTTGAATTTGATTTGCTAATATTTTGTTGAGAATTTTTGCATTAAAATTCATCACAGATATTAGCGTGTGATTTTGTTTTGTATCTTTTTGTGGCTTTGATATCAGGGTAATACTGGCCTCATGAATCTGGAAGTATTTCCTCCTCTTATTTTTTTTAACAGTTTAAGTAGGATTGGTATTAGTTCTTCATTAAATATTTGGTAGAATTCAGCAGTGAAGCCATCAGGTCCCAGGCTTTTCTTTAATGGGAGACTTTCTATTACACCTTTGACCTGGTTACCTGTTACTGATCTCTTCAGGTGTTGGTTTTCTTTATGGTTCAATTTTGATTGGTTGTGTGTTTCTAGGAATTTATCCACTTATTCTAGATTTTCCAATGTATTGGCATATGGTAGCTCATAGTAGACTCTAATGATCCTTTGAATTTCTGTGGTATCAGTTGTAATGTCACCTTTTTAATCTCTAATTTTGCAAGTTCCCCTTTGGGTGTGTCTAGAAATGTCATCTGGGAGCTAGGGCCTGGAATGGGGGCCTAATGATTCTGCCCAGTGCTCTATCCTACTTTGGCAAGTAGGATGCAAGACAAAGTCCTCTTTATTCTTCACTATCATCTCCTTAAGCAGAAGAAAGGAGTCACTTTTGTTGCTGCAAGTTGCATTGCCTGGGGGGATGTATGGCTAACACACTTCCTTAGCCACCTCAGCTGGTGTCTCCCTAGGTCATGTTCCACCCTAGTTTACTGGCTGTAAGCATAGCCTAGCACTAGGAGTGGCCCAGGAATTACAGTCCTTGTGTCCTAGACTGCCTTTAAAATTTACCTAGGACCCCACAGTACTTCAGCTCATGGTGGTGTGGCTTGCTGAGAAACTCAAGTTTTGACCACTGAAAAGGGCAATACCCCTCTGGCAAGGGCTGCTCCTAATGCTTTCTTCATGTATGGATGCTGGCTGATCCTGGCAGAGATTTTTTCTTTACTATGACAGGGCAGCATAGAGTTTAATGTAAATTTCCTCAGTTGCTGTACTGTCCCTTCCAAAAGCACACAGATTATCTCTCTGCATCACTCCGCTGCTGCCATGGGGATCGGGGAGGGGTGGCATCAGTGATTCAAGACTTTCTCTTCTGCCCTCCTCAATACCTCTTTCAGTGATATAAAGTTAAAACCTGGTACTGTGATCGCTCACCTGATTTTTGGTTCCTGTGACAGTGCTTTTCTGTGTGCAGACAGTTAAGATTTGGTGTTCCAGCAGGGGAGATGAAAAGTGTAGGCTTCTATTTCACCATCTTGCTCTGCCCCCAAAAACATATTTTTAAAAGAGTAAATACATATGTCTAACTTACAACGCTTCCTGTCTTATTTCCATTGAAATGAAAAGTTCAAAAATAGTTTTTATAAATATTGGAGAGCAGGCAAATATGGCGTAATAGCTCTTGACTAAGCAGGGTTTCTTTTAAGACATAAAGTTTAGATAAATGTTGCAAAATGTAAGATAATATAGCCAATTAATAACAATTAATGTCTCCCTTGGACACCCAGCTTTAAAATTTCTCTCTTTTGTACTCTGTCCCTTTATTTCTCAAGTCAGCTGATGCTTAAGGAAAATAGAAAAGAACCTACGTGACTATCAGGGCAGGTTCCCCGATACATGTTTAGGGTTACTATATTTTCTTAGAGAAGAATTGACCTACTTATCATTAATGACCCACTTTATCTCTAATTATCTTCCTTGTTTTGAAGTCTATTTTGTCCAAAATTAATATAGTTACTCCAGCTTTTTAAATTAGTATTTGCATAGTTTATCATCCTTTATTCCTTTTCTTTGAGCTTATCTAAGTCTTTATAGTTAAAGTCAATTTATTTTTTTGACAGCATAGATTTGGGCTTGCTTTTTGTATAAAATCTGATGATATTTTTTAACTGGTCTGTTTAGAGCAATCCCATTTAAAGCGATTACTAATATTGTTGAATTAAAATCTACCATCTTGCTGTTTGCTCTTTTTTACATTTGCTCTGTTTTCTTCTCTTTTTCTGCCCTCTGTTTTTTTATCATTTATAATTTATAACTTTTTAAAAGTTTTTGTTTATATATTTTTTCTATGACTACCATAACCAATTACCACAGACTGCATGGCTTATAATAACAAAAATTTCTTATCTCACATTTCTGGAGGCTAGAAGTCAAGGTGTTGGCAGGGTCACTCTCAGAACTCTCTAGATAAGGACACTTCCTTTTGTCTTTTAGCTTCTGGTGGTTGCTGGCAATTCTTGATGTTCCTTGACTTGTATCTGCATAACTATAATCTCTAACTTAAACTTTACATGGTTTCCTGCCCTGTACATCTGTATCTTAATTTTCCTTTTCTTAAAAGGTCACCAGTAATATTGAATTTTGGACCCATCATAATCAAGCATGACCTAATCTTAACTTGATTACATCTGAAAAGATCTTATTTTTAGATAAAGTCACATTCATAGATAATGAAATGAGTGGACATGAATTTTAAGGCAGTCACTATTCAACCCAGTAAATTGTTCAAGAATTTACAATATACATTTTGTAATAATATAGGATCATATACAAATAATACAATACTGCACCATGTGTACTGAAGTTACATTATAACATAATATTCTTGTCTTCTCCCTCCTGTCTATTTGACTAGTTTTCACTTATTACACTTTTACATTTTCTTCAAATATCCAATACAATATTGTAATTATTTCTTTAAATAATCAGTTATTTGTTAGAGCCATTAAAAATAAGGAAAAGAAGCTTTTATGCTTTTCTTTTATTCATTCCTTTCTGACACATTTTTCTTCCCTATGTAGATTCAGCTTTCTAAACTACAATAGTTTTCTTCTGGCTGAAGAATATGTATTAATACTTATTGTAGGGTAGATCCGCTGACAATGAAATAAATACTTTTTTCAATTTTTGTTTGTACGTTTATTTCTTCTTTACTTCTGAAGAATATTTGTTGAATATAGAATTCTGACTTGGCAAGTTTATTCATTTCAGCACGGTAAAGATCTTACCCTATTGTCTTTCTGCTTGCATAGCTTCTATACTAGTCAGGGTTCTCTAGAGAGACAGGACTAACAGGATAGATGTACATATGTAAAAGAGTTTATTAAGGAATATTGACTCACAGGATCACAAGGTGAAGTTCCAAAATAGGCAATCTGCAAGCTGAGGAGGAGCAAGGAAGCCAGTCCAAGTTCCAAAACCTCAAAAGTAAGGAAGTCAACAGTGCGGGCTTCAGTCTGTGGCCAAGGGCCCGAGAACCCCTGGCAAACCATTGGTGTAGGTCCATGAGTCCAAAAGCTGAAGAACCTGGAGTCAGATGCTTGAGGTCTGTAAGCAGCCACCATGGAAGAAAGATGGAGGACAGAAGACTCAGCCAGTCTAGTCCTTCCACATTCCTCTGCCTGTTTTTATTCTAGCCATGCTGGCAGCTGATTAGATGATGCCCACTCAGATTGAGGGTAGGTCTGCTTCTCCCAGTCCACTGACTCAAATGTTAATCTCCTTTGACAACACCCTCACAGACACACCCAAGAACAATATTTTGCATCCTTCAATCCAATCAAGTTGACACTCAATTTTAACCATCAAAGCTTCTAATAAGAAAACTACATTTCTTATCTTTCTTATATCTAGGTAAAGTGTCCCCCCATTCCCTGTTTTGGGTGCCTGAAAGACACTCTCTTTGTTTTTTTATTTTCTTTAGTTAGACTATAATATGATGAGCTGCAGGCTTTGTTGTTGTTGTTGTTGTTGTTTGTTTTGTTTTGTTTTAATATTTATCCACTTGGTGTTCTGAACGTTTTGGATCTATGTTTTGATATTTGTTAGTATTTTTGGAAAAAAAATAGAGGCCTTTATTTCTTTAAATATTATGTTTTCCTTGTTGATTTATTTATTCTCTTTTTGATATTGTAATTAGGTGTATGTTATACTGTTTGGTATTATTCCATAGTTCTTGAATGCTCTGTTCTGTTCTTTTATTTTTTTTGTCTGCATTTTAGCTTGAATCATTTCCATTCATTTATATTCAAGTTAAATTAATTCTTTCTTATCCATGCTAAATTTACTGATGAACCCGCAGAAGGCATTCTTCATTTCTCCGCTTTTTATTTCTAGCACTTTCTTTGGATTTTGACATTATCTATCTGGTTTTGTTATGTTTTCTGTTCATTTCAACTAAAGGCTCAACATATTAATGGTATTTATTCTTATTGACCCAAAGGAAGAGGCTGAGGCACAAAATATAATTTTAAAGAGTTTACTTGAACCAAAGTGAAGACAGCTGCCCACGACACACTTCCAGGTTGCTTTGGGGAGTGCTCTTTTCAGCCTTTTTTGCAAGCAGGTTTTTAAAGGCAAAAAGAAACCAGGAGTGGGCCGATACAAAGTTGTTTGACAGGGATTCTCATTGGCTTACGGAGGTAATATTGATTAGTGATTGGCTATACCCTGTTTTACTATAGGGTATGAGTTATGGTGTCTAGCACATGGCATTCTATGACTGCTTGGTATCAGTTAGTCTAGAGCCCATGTAGCAAGGGGCTTCAGGAGGTAATTACTTAGCTCAAGGTGGTTGTAGGACATCACTGCTGTCACATTTCAATGCTTCTCTGGGATGGATAATTTAAAGGGGCTTGCATTCTCCAGATAAAAAGTTGTCTTTTTTTCTTATTCTAAACTCCTTGGTAATTCCAATGTATGTGTCATATTTGAACTTGGTTTGGTTTATTGCTTTGTTTCTTCAGACTGTTTGGTTTTTACTTTTTGGTATGTTTTGTGTGTTTCTTTCATTGAAAGTCAGTTGTGTTGTAGATAATTAAATTAATAGGACTTTAGTATGAGGAAATATGCTCATCTGGCTGTGAGTTGTGTTGTGTTGTGTTATAACAATGAGAACAAGCGGCTTCAAACTCCCCTTGTTATTTTGTTTTCCTTTGTACTATTTTCTTTGGAGCTTCCCTATGAGCTGCACTTCAGGAGAAGTCTCTTACAACTCTCTTCTCACTATAATTCACTGTGACTATTACTAGAGTTTTATTTTTATTAATGTGGTAGTATGGTGTGAGGGAGGGTTGTTCTCTAGTCTTTGAATTGTGTGGCAATCTTTAACGCACAATGGGCCCACATGTTGAGAGTATGGCCTTTTCAAGTGTTCTGGGGCTCCTCAAGGTTGAGCTTTATTTCCCTGCTCCTTGGTCTCGTCCCATACTGCAGTGGGTATGCTCCAACATCCCTAGAGCTGTGTTAGTAAAGCCCTGTCTCTTGCATATTAATATTTTCCCCGCTAGATGAGATAAAGTTGGAAGTGGGAAGAGCAGAGTTTTTTCCTACAATTGAGAGAAGTTTCTACTACTATCCTCTAGGGATGTCCGAACCCTACAGATTTAGTCTTCTGCTACATAAGAGAGAAAATATTCTGAGTTTTCACAATGGCTACACTTTCCTTCCTCTTGCCAGGACCATGACGGGGAGGGAGTAGAGGCTTTCTCCATATTTTTCCCTATTATCCTTGGGAAAGCCTGGCAGAATTCCTACAAACAACAACAAAACAAAAACCAAACAAAAACCCTGCAAAACTGCCCCTTGCCCCACTGCCCTGTGACTGTAGCCCCGCAGAGACTTTTACTCTCACTCTAGCTCACACTTGTCCTCCAGTAATTAATTAAAATATGTAGTTTAATGTTCCTACTGGCTTATATGACTTCTGGCTGCCTCTCTCAATGTAAGGAATGGCCCAGATCTTGGGTTTCCTGGAGATATTTGCCTCACAAGATGTCAGGATGATGGTTTTCTCTGTGACTTCACTTCTCTAAAGAAAAGTTGTTGCTTTTCAGTGTGTCTATCTTCTTCTTCTTGTGAGAATGGGAATGAGGATTCCCAAGTTCTTTCCTCTCTACACCGAAACCAGAGCCTCTGTGTGATATTTCAATTAAACACCACCAACAAATGGATAATGATGAACTGTTTGGGCATTATCATCAAAAAAGGAGTAATTCTATCATATAATTTAACAGCTTTTCACTTTAGTTAATGGAACAAGAAGTGGTATTATTTTCTTCTTTCTACTGTTGGCCATTCTTTCTTAATTTCCCATAACAAACAGATTATTTGTAATGAATTTCATACAGAACATTTGAAAGCGTAAGTATGTTTAACTAAATTTCAAAACCTTGTTGAAAATACACTGTAAAAACAATATAGATATTTAGATGACCCGAAAATGAAGAAATGAAGAAAGTCACATAAGCATTCAAAGTATAATTGTCAACCTAATGAGACTGAAGTTTGCATTTGTCTCTAAACTTCCAGAAGGCAAGAAAATAACAAGTGAGGTAAACATGATCAATTATCTAGTGTTCTTCAGAAAGTCTTCAGAGAAACAAAAACTTTTCAGTACTAAATTGCACAAGTTTATCAGTTGTAAATATTTATAAGAAAGATGATAAAATAAAGTGTCCTCAACAATGAGACAATGAATTTTACAGTTCTATTAATTCTTAAAACCTTAGAGAAATGTCAAAAACCAAATATAAATGATATTCACAGTCATAGATAATAATGAAGATACCTCCAAGTAAACTAATATGGGCCAAGTATATACAATTTTCATTATTCATTTTGATCGCAGAATGGAATTGATAAAATCTACAGAAGGAGGTGTTGCATATTGCATATTGCAGTAGCCCAGTTCCAGGATAACTCCCAAAGATCCCCTACTTTTGGTATGCACAACATTGTGTAGTCCTCTTTCACTTGTATTAGGTTTGGTCTGTATGATCAATAGACTATGGCAGAAGTGTTGGTTTGTGGCTTCTGAGACTCAAATATAAAAGGCCTTGTGACTTTCTCAATGTTTCTTTTCTTTTGGATGATTTGCTCTGAGGAAAAGCAGCTGTCACATCATAGAGCACTCAAGCATTCTTGTGTAGAGAGCCACATGGCAAGGAACTGGGGACTTCTGGCAACAACCCATCTTGGAAGAGACTCTTTTATCCCCAAATAAGTGTTCAGATGACTTCAGTAGCAGCCATCATCTTGACAACAACCTCATTAGAGTATCTGAGACAGAACCACCCAGCTAAGCCACTGCCAAATTCCAAACCCTCAAAAACAGTGTTGTTTTCAGCTAAGTTTTGGAGTAATCGGATATACAGTGATAGATAACTAACTCATCTTCCTTTTAGCAAGTCTTTCCTAAATTTCACTTGTCTCATCTAGATTTGGAACAGGAACTGAAGAACAGCATATGGTGGGACTTCTGAAAAACTGCTTTTTGGCATTGTTTTTATTCTAAAATGTTGGTTAAATGCAGTATATTTTGCTTTCAAAACAAGATCTTATAACAGTTTAAAAACTTCACTAACTCTTGCTGAAACTAAAGATTATCAAAACAACCACACAAAGGTGAATTATGTTCATTAATTTTATATATATTTATTTATACCCTGCTCTTTCCAAGGCGTTGTGTAGGTCATATGGGCGTACAGACTTACCTTCCTCTTGTGTGGAATAGATCTGTGCCTGTTGTACCTTATATATATGTTCTCAGTTGAGTAATTAGAGGCATTACTTCCAAAATATGGACAATAAAATGTTGGGCTTAGAAATTTTTAGTTGCTTTTACAACATTGGAAAAACAAAATCAATACATCTTTCATGGAATATCTGATTTTAAATAACTTGGTTTCTTAGTGTTCCTGCCAGGATTAATTATGAACAAACTATTCCTCTTTATACCTGAATTAATTGACTTGTTATGAAGTAATTTGATATAAACCTGCTGATCTTAAAGAAGTACCTATCATGTTTATTTAAGAATAAAAATTCATTGATTAAGTCCCTATTGTTGGTCATGTAATTTATATAAAAATTTCAATTAAAAAAATGAGGAAGAGAGGCCAGGCGCGGTGGCTCATGCCTGTAATCCCAGCACTTTGGGAGGCCGAGGCAGGTGGATCACGAGGTCAGGAGATCGAGACCATCCTGGCTAACATGGTGAAACCCCGTCTCTACTAAAATTACAAAAAATTAGCCAGGCGTGGTGGCGGGTGCCTGTAGTCCCAGCTACTCGGGAGGCTGAGGCGGGAGAATGGCGTGAACCCAGGAGGCGGAGCTTGCAGTGAGCCGAGATCGCGCCACTGCCCTACAGCCTGGGCGACAGGGCAAGACTCCATCTCAAAAAAAAAAAAAAAAAGAGGAAGAGAAAGAAAATGTGTTTGGAGACTTTTTAATGAACGAAAGTTAGCTATGTTCTGATTCTCAGAAATAGTTTATAAAATGAAAATGTGTAGTGGTAGTTTCTGATAGCCTCTATTATTCTTCAGGTAGAAGATATTACCTAATGGACGGGAATAAGTCATTATTTATTTTGAAAATCCATGTCAGTATAGTCAAATATGCAAAGTCACACATTTTCAAAATTAAACACTGAAATTTCTGATATAATCATTGTTCTCCCAGTGTGCCCATGTGATTACATCCACACACTCATCTGCCCTAGCACCATCTCTAATGTCTGAAGCTGACTGAAAATTATTCATAATTACTTTGTCAAATCTGCCATGCTTCACCCAGATAGATGATAGCTACTTAAAAGGAACAGCATCAATGCAGAGAAAACTCAAAAGCACTTCCATAATTTGCCATTACTGGGGCATATGATGTTTCAGGTAAGCAAAATTTTTCTGATTATGGAAAATTGGCTTGTTTATCACTGAAAGGGCTACAACTATTTTTTTTTCTTTGGAGGAGAACAGGGAAAAAGTAAAAATGGAGGCTCCCAAACTATTAAATAAAATACATTATATTATTTGCCCGAGAATTAACTCGATAATTACAATTCGAAAAAAAAAATACTTCATGATTTTCTATCATTGAAAGTTGGCAGAATAACAAAGATTACTGAAGGTTATCATTGCACATGTCTTGAGGGTTCTATTAATACTTCAGTAATGTTTGGACGAATACTAAAGATACATATGTAAGGAAATATTCCATATTTATCTTATAAAATGCACTTTCCTTGGTTTCGGTTTATCAAAATTGCTAATAATGTTTTTATACTCATTGTTTAGTCTTGAAGCTTTTTATTAGTTTTAATTTTTACAAATTTTGCTTTGTGGAGGCAACAGCAATCAGAATTCTTTTAAAATTTCTAAAGCATTCCTTAATTCATGGAAGTAAAGCATGGATTTTATAATCAATGTTAACATATTGCAATGTAGTTGCATAAATTACATTTTTAAAAAAATCACAGACAATAATGCTGTGAACATCTCAAAACACCATCATAAAAGTTGGCTTAATAGGCAAAGCAGATTATTAGAGTAATTAAATAAAGAAGAATATCACCTTGACTGAATTTTTGTGTCTCAAAAAGAGTTTAAGAAATATGTATTTATACTTATGTCCATATATAAATACATATTTTATCAAATATATATTTACATATTTTATGTAATACATATTTTATATGTGAATATATAAATACATATCTATATATGCACAGACGTAGGTATATATAGAGAGAGAAAAAATGAAAGAGAGAGAGAGACAGAGAGACAGAGAAAGAAACAGAGAATTTAGGACTGAACTCAACAGTGTAGAGAAAGTCAGTCAGGAGACTGATTCAGAAATTAGGCTGCTTTGTGACATGATAGTTTCATATTTGTGGACATTGCAATGTCATAAGAGTAAACTGTCTATCTCAAAAATAGTTTGAACAGCAAAATTATGTACTAATTTACAGTTTTATCCTGTTAAAGAACATATTAGAATAAATAATCACATTGTGTTGACATAGATGGTTGTTGGTATCATTACAAAATGTTTCAATGTAATTATATAAGTGACTATCACATAGATCATAAATCTTACCGTCTTATAAAAAATCTATCATCTATCTATCTATCTATCTATCTATCTATCTATCATCTATCTATCATCTATCTATCTATCTATCTCTACTGGTTCTTCAATTATACTCTTAACATTTTTATTGCCAAATTTTTACAGTGAAAACTAATTTCTAGAATAAAACTATTGCAGAGTAATTTTGTGATTATTTTTACATGAATCTTCCTCTTCATAGTCATGCAGATTGTTTTAGTGTTCTTGTAAATTATCACTTTTGTTGCATATATGTTATGCTCAGAGTTTTTTAATTAAGGGAAATGTCTTTAAATGTTTTAAAATTATGTTTTAATCATTTAAAGTTAAATAATAACTTTATTTATTCACAAATTTTCTAATAAACAGTGTGAGTAGAAAGTAAGTGTTGATACCAAACAACTACAACAGAGAAAATGTTAAATTAATTTCATGTTTTGGCGAAATACCACAATTAGGGTTAGCTCTTTGAGGATTTTCTGTGGGATTTGAATGGGATCTTCCCTCTCAACTTGTCTCGTGCATCTTTTATCTAGTCTAAATGAAGCCTAATTGCTTGAACAGAATTTAGATAGGACTACCATAATGTTTCCAAGAATGATTATTATGTCAGATTCAATGCATGTTTTTTCAAGTTGTCTCACTTTTAAATACAAAGATGCAAGTTGAAATTAAAATTTGCAGTCTCTAAATAGTAAAGAATTTTATTACTAAGTATAGATGAAGTACAAAAAAGTACTCTAGATTTTTTAGCAAACTTTGATGCTTATTGTTTTGTTTTGTTTTCTTTCTATTTTTCCTAGAACAACCACAGTGGTAACATTTTTATAAGCTTGCTCTCAAAAAACTTTTGTATTAATTTCAAAAATTAAGCGTTCTTGTTTCAATTCTTCACTTGAGTCAAAACTTATACATTTTAAAACCTTATTTTCATATTTTCTTTTAATAGTTCAACAATCTACAAAATAAATATTTGCTGTTCAACAGGTTTTTACCCTGATATCATCTAATTAAAGTGAATAATATTATGTTTAAATTCTTATGGTTGACTTTTATCTTAGTATATGGACTGATAAATTAATAATATCATTTTGGCTTCAGCCTAGAAAGTGATTGTATTAAAATTTTCATGTTTATTCCATGTGTTCATTTATTCTAGTATCAATTTCAAAATTATTTTAAGTAAAGCCAATTTTTCTATTGTTTCTGTATACGTATATTGCTTCTAGTAACACCAAAATATAAATATAAAAGAAACTGTATTTTAAAATAAAGTTACAATTATAATTTATAAGGGTACCACTCTGTCTTTGATAAATTCTGTTAATGGTTTGGAGTTTACATTAGCATTTTTTCAAACCTAGAATTTCATGACTGCTGATTTGTACACAAGTAACATTTCATAATTAACAATTAAATATTTTATAATTTGAAGTTACAGAAATTACATCTGACCTGTTTAAGTTGTGAATTTGATGAGAATAATTTTCTTGCTAATTTTCTTTGTTTTGATCCATAATTAAATCTTCATTAAATCAAGGATTTATAATATCTTGATTGCAAATTTTATGTGAGTGATGTTGGAGAGAAATCTGCTCACTTTGTCTCCAGATTTTAAAATGTAAGCATGCTGTGTTTCAAAGTTTCCTTTTTTAGCTTTGCAGTTTTTAAAAATAAACTAAATTTCTATCTTTCATTCCTTATCTTATTCTAACTTACACTAGCTCTGAATAACAATCTAAATAAAGTAAAAAATAAAAAAAATTGTATTCAGAGTACATGAAATTTAAATATCCACTTATCACTAAGGCAGTGCAAAATTAAATAGTAAAATCATTTTTCATACATTTCTAAAGCAACTTATTTCTTTTCTAAAATGTTAAAAATTTCTAAGATATCCAAATGTATACAAATTATGATTAATATCAAAACATTAAATAAAACTTTAAAAATCAGAAAATTATAATTTACATAATAAAAAAATTAATGAAAATATATTATTTTTAGAAATTAAAATTATTGGGTTAATCTGCCACTAAATGGTACTTCATGAACTAAAAAATTATATGTAGCGCATTCTATATGTTATATCTAGCCTTCTATTATAAAAACTTCAAAGAAATATTAATTATTTATTAGAAAATGTTTCTTAGCTGCTATGTTCATCTAATATCAGTGTGGTGTGAATTCATGATCACCTCTCTTAGGACAAACTGGAACAAAAAAAAGAAGCAAGAAAATGGACACAGCACCACTGACAAAAGATTCTTTCCTGTGCAAAAGTCCGTTGCACTAACACATATCTGAAAAAAAATGATTTGATAAAGAATTTTCTATAAATAAGTGCTTGTGCTGCTTAAGTCCTCCCTACGCTTCAAAGCAATGCTATCTCCAGCACCGGCAGTGCCACTGCACTCAGACTTTCACTCACTCTGTTGCTTTTAGTCCTAAGGAAATTGAAGAAAACAAGCCTTTCCCTGAGGCTTGAACCTTGCTAATCACGAAAATGAATGTCTAGGATGGGGGCTACAAGTGTCAGTGTTGAGATAGATGTCAAGGGACAGAAGTGCCAGAAGTTTCATAAAGGATTTTGTAGTAAGTCACTTTGGAATTTGTAAAACCTGGGCCCAGGACGAGGGTTTTCTTGATGGAATCATACTGTGTCCTGCTACTAAAACTGCATTTAATTTTCAATAATATGCATTTTCATGGGAAAATATTTTAGAATATTTACTATAAAAATTCTTGTTAAGACACTTTTTTTTTGTGGCTGAAGTCTGGTTATGTATAAACCAATTGAAATGAGTAAATTAATATAATTTTTCTTAAATTAAATATAATAAGATATATCAAGTGTAGAGAGACGTGTTATAATAAAACAAAAATTGAAGATCTAAAATTAGATTTTTCTGAGTTTGTGTTTCCATACCAGCATTTCAGGACACTTGTACTTTTCCCTTCAACTAGACTGTCATGCTGGGCACACCTCCAATGGGGGGTCACTGGGTTGCCTGTGGCGTTCTTCTCTTCTTCTCTCACTGACCTGAACTCCTGGGTTTTTGGACCTATTCTTTTCTTTCCCCAGGAATCCTTATCTTCATCTTGGCTTCTGGTTCAAGTTTTCAGACAACAGATTTAATCTAATGTTTTCTTCAAGAAACCTGGAGTACAGCAGCAAAACATGCAGGAAAATCTCTTTTGGTTTAGCCCCACAGTAAAACAAATCCTGGCTGTTTATTTTTATTGCACTGAAGCAATACATATTATTTCAAATTTCTATTATTATTTGTAAAGGGTTGCATTATAAAGACTCTTTAAAGAGTCTTCAATTTTTCTGTGATATCGAAGAATCTTTCCTATTATCTTGGCTGATTTTAGACCAGAGTCCTTGGAAACTAGTGGTGAAATGCCATACCTCAGAAAGGAGTTAGGGCTGGGGGAAAAAATGTATTTATTTAAATACACCCCCGCCAACACACACATATATATGAAGTTTAGTTACACTTACCTAGCAGAGTTGTTGAGAACAATAGAAACAATGTCTGCTAAACACCTTGCATAAAGTACGTATTTAACAATTTGTGGCTATGATTCTATGTGAAGAGAAGTTTTACTTTAAGAAGCAGAATCACACTAATGAACATTAATTATTACACTGTAGTATCTTAAAGTTTAGGTTTTCTTTCACAAAGTAATATTTATAAAATACTGTGTCTAATTTGATATGGTTCCTTTCTTCTGCTGCCAACTATCAGTTTCATTTTTCCAGCTTCCAATCTGTATTTTTTAATGTGATGAAAATTGAAACAAATATAATCAAAATTTTACTTTGTATAACATCTAATTAAATTGAGCTTTAAAGAAAATATCAGGTCCAGACTAAATTTATTTGATGTGGTAAGCTAACATTGATGACAGCAATCTTGAAAGTTGATGAGGAGATTCATGGTTATGTATAGGTTTAGACTGAGAGCGTGACAAGGAATTCACACATCCACCAAGGGCTCAAAGAAAGGAAATTCTGGCAAAGTTACACTTGTTAGGTATATAACCTAAATTTACACCCCATTGGGCTACATGATTGATATTTTGGACTTTGTATCAATCACAAATCTCAATGACTAAAAGCAATGCATTATTTCTTTCTTTGATACATGATAATTGTGAGTTGGTGAGGTGTCATGGCCGTCTCTGTTCAAGTTTAATCAGGAACTGATGTCTCTGTGGCAAGAGTAAGAGTGTATTATCACGTGCTTTCTCTCAAAGACTTCTACCTAAAAATGACAAGTTACTTTTTCCCTCATACTTCATTGGCTCAACTGATAGGGATTAACTTGAAGGAGTTGGGGAGCTCATCATATGCCAAAAGAGAGGAGGAAGGAGAATATGGGCAAATGACTTCTAATATCTACATTATGGCACAACGGCATCCTGACATCATTGTGGCTTTTCAAATAAATTTTTTTTGAACTTTTATCAGGTGGCTGTGGTTATCAGAAGTTTGTTATTTAGAACATTTTTATATTTTATTTTTATATTTTATTGTTAAATAAACAGTGAACCATTTTTGTATTTCATTGTTAAATCAAATTATTAAAAATTAAAGTAAAATTTTAGATTGATTTTTCCATTTTCCAACTCATTAAAAAGTCAGACGTATGAAATTATTGAATCTATTTTCAGCATTTCAGCAAGTATAGGAAAAATAATACCTTCATACCCAGAAAATAACTATTAGTATTAGTGTAATTTTTTCTAACTGCCACTTCTTCCATGCCATGTTTCAATAACAATAATCTATTTCAATTGTCTTATTTTTTTCATTTAAAATTGGAACTGCCAAAAAGATAGTCAAATGAATTTATCTTACAAAAGAAAAAATAAAATAATGTTTGGAATTCATAGCAGTAGAAGGAAAAATATTTTGTTCTTACACAGTTTTAAATAGTGTATTATTTTTCCAATCAAACTTCAAAAGAAAATCAGTTATATTAACTTATAATTATATAATCAATATAATGTTTTATAGAATAATTTTATAAACTTGAAGATTTATTTTCTCCTTTGAAACCAGTAAGAAGGGAGTTAATAATATATTAAATGTACACAGGAAATGGTACTTCTAGTAAACTTAGGTAGGTCACAGAACTGAAAATTACTTTCGTATTTAACTTTTTGCTGTTTTGAATCTCAATGTGGCTTTCTGTGTGTGAGTAGGGCATGAGGAATGTGGAAAGATGGATATATCATCAAAAACAAGTTTTCTTAATAATTTCATACATTGCATATTACTATAGTAAATAACAGATTGATTTGGGCATTTTAATTACTGAATATTATGAATATTACCAACTTTTGAATACTGCATATATCATTAGATAATGATGTTTCTAGACTCTTTCATAGAGGATTGGCAGATAAAGTGAAGGTGACTACAATGAGCTATTCAATTTATCATTCAGGGTTTTTGACCTGTCCAGATCCATTGTAATTGTGAATTAACAGTAATTATGCAAACAAAAGTATTTTAAACCATTTGTGTGATAGGTGTTTTTTCTTTTTTCCTTTCTTAGAAAAATCAGAAATATTTAGATAAAATATCTTTCATCCTCTGACAGTATGAGATAGACACTTGGCGAATCAGGATATAGGAAACCAGAAGTAATGCAGATTGAAATTAAGCTAACACCTATCTTCTGAATGTCTGTGTGTCCCCAAAATTCCTATGTTGAAACCTAATCCTCAATGTGGTGGTATTACAAGTTGGGCCTTCAGGAGGTCATGAGGGTGGGGACCTCATTAATGAAATTTGTTTTCATATGAGGAGCTGAAAAGACTGGGGTCCTTTCCTTTCATCATGTGAGAACACAGAGAAAAGGTGACTATTTATAAACCAGGAAGCAGGTGCAGTGTTCATCAGACACCAAACCTGCTGGTACCTTGGTCTTGGACTTCCCAACCTCCAGAATTATGAGAAATAAATTTCTATTTTTCATAAGCTACTTACTTTATGGTACTGTGTTATAGTAGTCCAAATAGACTAAGACACTAACCCAATATGAATCAACCTGTAGGCATCTCTGCTGTATATTATCAAAGTTATTAAGATATACTGGGGTCATTTTTGGCACTACTTAGTTGCATATATAATTATGTCTTCTTCTCATTTGATAACTACACAGTGCCATTAAACATATTTGCTTTAGACAAAAATTAATAGTTTTTATGTGCAGAGTTGTTTATATTATCACATCATTTACTCTTCATTGTAAATGTCCCTGCAAAGTAGTTGTCAATATACCTAATTATAATGATGAATAGTAAATTACTCAGGGAGCTTACATGGCTTTCTTAGAACCTCCAAGCTAGTCATCATGAATTTAGATTAAATTATTAGACTACAAAACACATTCTTTTTCTGCTATACCCTACTGAATATTTGGTAGATTAGACTAAAGACAAACAAATTAAAGAGTT
This sequence comes from Homo sapiens, assembly GCF_000001405.40. Taxonomy (NCBI): domain Eukaryota; kingdom Metazoa; phylum Chordata; class Mammalia; order Primates; family Hominidae; genus Homo; species Homo sapiens. Next base: position 58,551,484 of record NC_000004.12, read on the forward strand.
TAAAAAGAATTTCTTTTCTTGTTACTCCGAGTAAATGGAATGCATTTCTTATTTTAACATTGTGGTCATGGATATATTTCTATTTTATTATAATTATTCAGACAGATTTTATATTCCAATAATGTCCACAATATCTCGTATCCCACATGCTCTTCTACCAGCATGACTTAAACACTTTTCTCATTGACAGGTAGGGTCTAGATTTCCTCCTATCAAATCTGAGAGGGGTTGTGACTTTGAATAAAGTGATGCTATGTCATTTCCACATTTAAGTCAGGAAAGGCAATACAGCTTCCACTTGATTCTCATGAGATGCTTGCTCTTGAAATCTGGCCACTAAGCACTTTCTGGGTAAGCCAAGCTGTGGGGAGGAGCCAGAGCCCACAGCCCCTGCTAAGCTCCCAACTGAGAGCCAACCCCAGCTTGCCAGCCACATCAAGGAGCCACTTTGGAAGTGATTCCTCCAGCCTCTAGTTTAGCCACAGTGACTGGCACCTTTTAGAGAAGAGATAATTGTCATTTTTGAACTCTGCTGATATTGAATATTTGTGAGAAGAATAAATTATTGTTTCAGACACTAAGCTATGGGATGATTTGTTATGCAGCCGTAGATAGGAAGTTATCTAAGGTACAATTTTCTCTAAGGAAGGTTTAACAATTTCTATCTTTAAGGTAAAACAACAAAATTATTTAATGAGTATTCATAAGGGTTTTTTATTTGCTTGCACTCATAACTATTCATCTACGATGGGACTGCCTTTTGTCTAAACTACTGTAAAATAAAATATATCTAACAATGGATCATTACCTCATTACCTCATTAAAAGCAGCTCTCTTATTGAAGAAGAATACATTTTAAAAGACAGCATTTTCATAAGAGAAATGTTTTTAAACCTCTGATTTG